>NC_000016.10:49107954-49410985 GCF_000001405.40 Homo sapiens
CTGGATCAGCACGTGAAGGTCAACAACCAAACACCTACAGTGCATTATGTGAGCAAGAAATAAAATTCCAGTGTGCTAGGCCACTGAGATTTTAAGGCTGTTTATTACAACTCATCTGCTTGGACAAAGACAGTAATTTATCCCAGATGCCAGAGCTTTTTAGAGAAGAGTCATTGTGTTAATAACAGAAAACCTAATGGAAAATAGAAAGAGTTAATCCAAACACAGCACACTGTGAACATTTAGCTCCCATTGTCTGCATCTTCAAGGTCCTTATTCAAGGTCTATATTCTCTGACCACATTAGGAAACAGTAGGGTACAGCCCTGGATTCGCACTGTGAGTTCAGATCCTGGCTCTGCCACTCATTTGTTGTATGACCTTGGGAAAATCATTAAATTTCTGTAAGCCTGAGTTTTCTCATTTGCACAATGTGCATAACAACATGGCCTACCTCATAGGGATCTTGTGAAGTTTCAATGAGGAAAGGTAGGCAAGATGCTAAACACTGCAGCTGACACATCAATGAACAGAAAATGTCATTCTTTACTACTATTATTGGCCACATTTGAGCCTCAGGAAATCCCAAGAGGTAAGAAGGTATCTTTATTCCTATTTTACGGGCTGGGAACTTGGAGCTGTAGACTTTTCCAAGGCCCCTATCAGCAAGCAGTATCCCACCCCGGACTTTGGATCTTGCAACTCCTGATTTCCTGCTATTCCATGCAGGATGGCCACTTTCCCTCTACGTCTCAGTCATGACACTCACAGCCACCTCAGAGGTGGTTTCACTGTTTCCTGTTAAGATGCCTTTTCCGATGAAGGCTGCTGTGGCACAGCTGATGCCTAAGCTGACAGCTCTCACTGCTAAGGTGCCATGTCATTGCCAGGCATGCAGGAAAGTCTGCTCATTCCTGCCTGTAGGCACTCTCTGGCCTCTGCTCCCCATCATCCTTCCTCCTCCCCACAGCCAGGTCTGCATGGGGGCCAGTGCACCTCATTAGCATCTCCCACAAGCACAGGTGCTAGACTTACATGGGAGGACTCTCCCTAGGGAGATACACTCAAGTATTTAGTGGTTACTGTACCATAGTATTTTCTCAAAGGACAACATTTAAGAGGCAGGGTGGTGTATCAGAAGAGGAAAGGATTTATATTTTATATTAGTTAGGATTCATTCAGGTACAAATAAATGACACCAACCCAAGACAGCATAAGCTATTTCTATTGATCTATCTATCTATCTATCTATCTATCCATCTCTATCATCTATCGATCTACATACTATCTATCTTTCTATCATCTATATATTTATCCATCTATCCATCTCTACCTATCTATCATCTATCTATCGATCTATTATCTATTTAGCCATTTATCCATCTCTTTCTATCTACCTATCTATCATCTATTTATCCATATATCTATCTATACCTATCTATCATCTATCTATCGACCTATCTATAATCTACTCTTCTATTATCTATCTATCCGTCTATCCATCTCTATCTATCTATCTACCTATCATCTCTCTATCTACCTACCTATCATCTGTCTATCCATCTCTATCTATCTACCTACCTATCATCTATCTATCTACCTATCATCTATCTGTCTATCTGTCTGTCTGTCTGTGTATCTAGCTATCATCTATCTACCTATCTACTATCTATCTGCCACCTCTCTATCTACCTATTATCTATCTATCTGTCTGTCTGTCTGTCTGTCTGTCTGTCTGTCTACCTACCTATCTATCTATCTACCTATCTATCAGTTCCTCTTTCTAGTACTATGACTGGTTTCAAGCTCTGCTGGATCCAGAAGCTTCAATAATTGTATCAGGACCTGACCTCACACTGTCTCTCAGTTCCAGTTTTCCTTGTCTTATGTCCATTCTCAAATAGAATTTTTTTGGTGGCTCCCAGACGATCTCTTTAGAATGGGAGATTTTCTGTTTTCAAGAATTTCAACAAAAGTCCCGGAACCAAACCTTGCTGACTCCACTTGGACTGTGTGCTTCTTCCTGAGCCTGTCACTGTCATGGTGCTCTGGTTGGCTAGGCCTGGGACACCTGCTTCACCTGCTTCTCTCTGGAGTTGGGGGGAGTCAGCTGCATTTGAAACACATGGACGGAAAATGGGAGAAGTGTGATTCTATAAAGAAAGTTAGGAGGTGATGTTGCTATTGAAGGGAAAAGGGAAACTGGTCAGACAGAAAGAAATAAATGCCAGTACATCTAGGATTTTAGCAGCATGGAGTCTGGTTCCTGGCCCTAGCTTTCGTCATTTCTAGGGACTCAAGCAAGTCATCTTTTTCTTTGCTACAGTTTCTTTGTTGTGGAGATTTGTCTCTTGAATCCTAATTTTCTGTACTTTTACTTGGATACTTCCCAGGGTACTCACGATAGTATCCATTGCAGAGTTCAGAACTGACTTGTGCTTGCACTGAGGTGCAATGAATGTTTATATTTCTATTGTACGGTAGAAAAATTGCCTAATCAATTTTTCAAATTACCTCACATCAGCTGACACATCAGTGACATGTTACATTTCTCCTTGATCTCAGGAGATGCCTACTTCTTAAATATCAACAGCTGGTGTTTGGTTTTAAATTTCTTCTGTGCAACTGTCCCCATAGGGTCTCAGTTGGGTTCCAATTCTTGAACTGGTAATATTGCTTTAGAAAGCAGGATCTTTATAATAATAAACATTCTGTGTGCTTCTAAAATTCAGATAAACTGCTTAGATAACAGAAGGGTTATTAAAAGGTACAAGTTCTCATTGTTAATATTTTTAGTATATAATAATAATTATTATTTATCATGTATTGAACACTCCTAGGTGCCAAGAACTGTACTAAATATTTTACATACACACTCTCACTTAATCCTCTCAAAATGCTCCCAAGTCCTCTCTCCAGTCTGAGTATTGGAGGTTCTTGTGTTTTCTTCTTTCCCTTTTCACCATCCACACCATCCTATTCTTTGTAAGCAGTGTTTTCTAATATATAGCTCACCTTCTTCTCTGGCTTCTCTGTTTGTTTTTGCTTCCAGATTTATTCATTGCTTCTGTTAGGGTCACAAGTGGCCAGGTGATATCCAGGTAACACATACTCCTTTTGAATGCAGAAGGTAAGGAAGAAACATCAAACCAACAGCTCCTTAGGCCAGAAGTGGCTCCCCTCCAACACCAAAAGCCATGCTCACTTGGAGAGGCAGGGCAGAAAATTCAACACACAGACCCTGTCAATGTTGCTGAATGAGGGTAGCAGTGCTGTGTAAGTCAGGGGAGGCTGTGGTAACCCCTGGGAGTAACCTTTTCCATGCCGTGTGTCCACAGAGCAGGGCAAGGCCAGCCCTAGAGCTAAAGAGATCCACACTGGTGGGAGAACAGACGTTCCAAGGAATGCCAGAGGGGCCTCATGAGCTTAAAACTAACAAATGAACAAAGTCAGTTTGAGACAAATAATTAGGTAGGTGTCCTCAGTGCCCGGCATTAATATGTTTGTGTTTGTACACCAGCAAGCCCTTAATAAATATGTTCTTTCCTGTCCCATAGAAATAGTCTGTAAATAAATAACAGGACATCCCACTTTTGCTGACAAATCATTTTTCCTTTCTATCTGGGTGCCAGTTGCACTTTATAAATGACTTTAATTTACAGTGCATTATGTTTCCTTGTATTTCTTGCCTCTAAATCCCCATGCAATATTTTGTATCCATTCCCATGATAGTTTAACTGTCTTTAACCTTTTCAGTGAGGGGTGTGTGTGTATGAGTATAAATATGTGTGTTTGTGTGTATTTGTGTGTGTCTGTGTGTGAGTATCTGTGTGTGTTTGATAACACCATACATTTCATTCCATCATTTCTAAATGGATCAACTCAACATTGTCATTTTTGCCATGTGTTTTATGATCATTGTCTTTCTATGAACATCAGTTGTGTTTGCTTTGTGGAAATCTGGTCCCTGGATGGCTGCGGCCAGAGCAAGCTGATCACCTTTGGTGTGAACAGACATTGAGTTGGGCTGGGGGAGTTCATTGTGGAAGTCAAAGCGGATGTCACTGACCAGACTTGTCAACCATTTCAAGTGAAATTCTCTAAAAACTCACCTGAAGCTTTCCCCAGAAAACACCAAGGTGCAGTATTCAACAAAAGGCAAACTAATAAGAACTACTATTTATTAGGTACCTACTGTGTGCAAAGTCTTCTACTTGTACAGTTTCATTAATCTTCATAAAAATGCCCTAGGAGGTGGGTATTATCATCATCATCTCCACTTGAGAGCTTGAAACTGAAGCTCAGAGAAAGTGAAGTTAGTAAAAAGCTCAGCTGCATTTGAATCTGTCACCAAAGTCTTCCTCGTCTTGAATCTGACTCTACAGGGTGCGGGGATAAGGACTTTGCATACAGAGTCAGGCTATTTTGCCAGTGTTGTGTGCTCTTTCCTTGTAGCTTGGCCCTAGGCTGCCCATGAGTTTGCCAAAGGTGTACTGTAGCCCACTCTGAGGCAGGTCAGGGCAGAGCACTGAGGTTGTGCGGTTGAATGCAACTGACCCTGGTGCCTGAGATTCTCACAATCTAGTGAACTCCTAGACAAGCCAACAGACACCCCCACTCCATTGCAAAGTAGAGACCCATCCATCCATCCATTCACTCATTCATACAACAAATATTTATTCAACTCCGTGCTAGGCACTGTTGTAAGTACTGGGGTTACAAGACAGACAATAGCTCTGAGCTCACACTAAACAAACTAGTAACATAACAGCCAATAATTAAGAGTGTTCTGTCTTAGTTTTGTAGTGCTGCCACAGCACACTACCATGAATCTAACAGCTTAAAACAACAAACATGTATTATCTCACTGTTCTGTAGGTCAGAAGTCCAGAAAGGCACATGTGAGCTCTCTGCTCCAAGTCTCACTAGGCCGACATCAAAGTGTCAGCCATCTGGACTCCTATCAGGAGGCTCTGGAAAGAATCTTCCAGGCTCGTTCCGACTGCTGGCAGAACAGCCAGTTCCCTGTGGCTGCAGAACAGAGGTCCCTGCTTCCTTGCTGGCTGCAGCCTGGGGCCACTCTGTCAGCCTCTGGAGGCTGCCCGCCTTCCTTCTCATCTCATGGACCCTACACCTCTTCTCATCAGCTACTGTGCATGCTTGGAATCTTGCTGCTTTCCTTTTCTGCCCTTACTCTCCGCATTTAAGGGCTCATATGCTTGTATGAATCTACATGGATAATCCACAATTATTAATATCTCCCTATCTTAAGGTCAACTGATAAGTAACATTTATTACATCTGCCGAGTCTCTTTTTTCCCCATAAAATTACACCCTCATATGTATACCAAGGGGCAAGGAGGGCCAAAATGCAGAAAAAAATAATGTGATCATCATTCATTCAACAAATACTTATTGAGCACCTATTATACACCAGGCACTGTTCTAAGTGCTGGTTATACCTAGCCTCCTGGAGCTTACCTTTTAGTGAGAAAAAGACACCAAAAAACAAGAATAAATGGGTAGAAGTATATGCTGTGTTTGGCATTGATAAATGCTATGGAGAAAGATACATTGAGACAAGTCTAGGGAGGCATTGGGAATGTGGTTATACTTTGAAACAGAGTGGTCAGGGAAGGGCTCACTGAGAAATTCAAGGAAGAGAGAAAGCACACCATGCATGTAACTGGGAAAAAATTTTCTGGAAAGAAAGAACAGTAGGTGCAAAAGTGGTGAGGTGGGGGCATGCCCCACAGGTTCAAGGAGCAGCAAGGGAAGCAGTAAAGTAATAAAACAGGAACGAGAAGGACCCTCGGAGAGAGCAACGACCAGGTCATGTGAAGCTGGGGCATGGCGTGATGGTAAGAGGAGGTGCAGGGTGGAGACGGAGGTGCTGATTTAATTTTTGTGGTCAGAGAAGGTGTGTATTGGTCAGCTATTTTTGTACAACACATTAGCAATTCAAAATCACAGATGTTTGTTTTCTCAGTTTTTAAGGGTCAGGAATCTGGAAGTGGCTTACCTGGAGTGGGTCTGGCTAAGGGTCTCTCACAAGTCTGTAATCAAGTTGTCAGCTGGGAGCTCAGTCATCCGAGGCTTGACTGAAGCTGGTGGATTTGCCCCCACATGCAGTTGTTGGCCTGCAACTTCTGCTCCTTGCCAAGCACGTCTCTGCACGGGACAGCTGGAATAGCTTTCCCCAGCGCAAATGATCTGCAGGAGAGGAAGATGTCACACTGTCTTTTATGACAGTCTCTGAAACACACACACACATGCACACACACACCTTATTTTGTTCTTTAGACCCAAGTCACTAGGTCCAGCCCTCACTCAACAGGAAGTAACTACACAAGATTGTGAATACCAAGAGGTGGGTGTCACTGGGGCCACCTCGGAGGCTGGCTGCCACAGAAGCCTTCTCAAGAGATGGGATATTTGATCTGAGGGCTCAATAATGAGAACGGTCCAGCCAGCTCTTCCAGGGCAGCCGGCTCTTTCAGACAATAAGCCTGAAAGAAGCTGCACCTGCTCCTTGGACAGAGAGAATGAGATATTCGCACAGACTGTGGTTCTCTTCATTCTCACCAAGTCCAGACTCATCATGCCTCCTCCACCTCTTCAAATGCTTCCCTTCTTCCTCCTCCACTTTCCTTTCCCATCAGGCCAGTGGAGTTTATAGTTGAAACTGCATGCCCCGGGTGTTCCTGATCCCCTGCTCTTTGCTTAGGCTATTCTCCTACCCAACATGCCACCACCTCTTCCCTACTTCCCTAAACATGGACGATACTGAGACCCAACCCAAGCCACCACCTCCTCTCAGAAGCCTCCCCTGTTGTTGCAGCCCATATTGATCCTTTTTCTGAATCAAGGATGCCTCATAGCAGCCTTGGATTAACAGAAAGTCTGGTCCCATTTCTATCTGTGACTCATGTCTCCAACTCCATTGTAAGCTCCTGGGTACAAGGGCTGTGTTGTACTCACTCCCGACGTTCCTAAAGACCCCTGCCACAGTTGGAGTCCTGGTGGTCAAGAAATGGCTTACCCAGATGGGGTTATTTTCGTAGTATTTTATTAATACTCTGAAACAAGACTTGTTTACAAAGTTTAGAGAAACTAATAAAGGATAGTATGGTATCCAGGACTGGCCAAAGCAGGGAGCCAATACCCCCACCCGCATCCCCCCATCAGAGGCATGAAGGAGCAAAGGGAGCTGGCAGTTCCCCAAACTGGGGAGAATAATGTAAAGGAAGAGCCACCTGATGGGAGAGGTGTCCTGCGGGGCCAAGCCACAATGACCTGGCAGGAGAGAACGAGGAATAAAGCCTCGCCTCTTGCTCCTCCCATCTTCCTATCCTCATTGGCAGCTTTCATCAGCCAAATGCAAGCAGAAGCCAGGAGGCAGGGGAGTCGGACCATGTAGTTCACATAGGTCAGCCCCTGAGGTGCAGCAGAGTGGAGAAGAGTAGAGAAGCAATCTGGAGAAGCCAAAAGACTCCACAGTGTAAGACTCAGAGCTGGAAGCCTGCTTGGTTCTCTAGTGCCTCCTCCCAGCCTGGTACCCAAATCTCTGCTGACAAGACATCTGCCCCATCTGCAGTCCCTTCTCCCATACAGTTAATGTGGCTCCATAGCTGTCTAAAAAGTGCATCTCTGAACCATTGACTTTGTGATGTAAATATCCCAAGAAAGCAAATCATATTTGTGCTGGGGTTGACCCTTTTCATGTTCATGGTAAGCTGACAACGAAAGTAGGATCTTTACTCCCTGGCGAGAGCAGGTGCCTCCATGATTAAGAAGCATGTTGGAAAGGGTGGGAACATTGGGCTCTATGATAATTGGCCCGTTCTTCCATCTGGTCCCTTTACAATGCTTGGAATTTATAAAGCCACTGCTGGAGTTTATGCAAAATCTCTTACTTTTAATTAAGTGGCCTAGTTTCAGTAAATAGTGTGACAGGGATGAATCTGTCAGTAGGGACTGATGTTATGAGCAAAAGAGCTACCAGGACTGGTGGAAATGCAGTCCCCATATGGAGAGACTTGGAGGGAGCTGCTCTGGCAGGACGCTGCCATTTCAGTGATCACAGACCAAACAGAAGCCTCCAGACGCAATTCTGGAGTGAAATGAAGCCAAGACTGTCTGCTTCCTAGGAGAATAGCTGCAGACCCTAGACTGCCCTGTGGACGCCGCAAGCCCAGAACTCACACAGCCGAAAGGGGCTTATGGACCATCTTCCCAGCTGCTGGGCCCAGGGCCAAAGATGGGGGTGGATCCGTGGTGCAGTTTTCACCACAGTCCAAAGAGAAGTGAGAAAAATGACAACAAAGTCAGCTCTTTAAAACTAATGTAAAATTCGGCCGGGCAAGGTGGCTCACGCCTGTAAGCCTAGCACTTTGGGAAGCCAAGGCAGTTGGATCACTTGAGGTCAGGAGTTCAAGACCAGCCTGACCAACATGGTGAAACCCCATCTCTACTAAAAATAAAAGAAATTAGCTGGGCATAGTGGTGCACACATGTAATCTCAGCTACTTGGGAGGCTGAGGCAGGAGAATTGCTTGAACCAAGGAGGTGGAGTTTGCAGTGAGTCAAGATGGCACCATTGCACCCTAATCTGGGCAACGAGAGCGAAACTCTGTCTCAAAAACAAAACAAAACAAAACAAAACACACACACACACACACACACACACAAAAACCACTAATGTAAATTCCATTTAAACAGTTATTTTTAATTTTGTATTCTTATACATTGTATTATTCCTTCTTTCTTTACCTGATATGAAACTGTCTTTTGTTTAACAAGAGATTTTAAAAGTAGACAGTCAGGTTTTTAAAAAATGTATAGTTTCCTAACTTGAGCTCCATCCCCCGCACCACACACATACACATTAGAAAATATGAGTGGTCCATGAAATCCCAAGCACTGGCCACTCATGGTCTAACGATGTGTCAAGATGCCCATGTTCAGATGGAGAAGCTGAGATTCTGAGATTTAAAACAGGTCCAGGAAGGCGGGTGGAAAACTGTCATCCCACAGCCTTGCTGCTTTTCCCCAGCCCCCACAACACCGTGGTGACTTAACAGTGGGGGGAGGAGGCAGGGAGCCTGGGAGCACCCTGCAGACTTCTGCCGGGGCATGCCTCCTCCAAGTGAGTCACCCCGGCCTGGCACTCTGGGAGTAGCATAACAGAAATGCCATCACCCATGTTAGAATCAGGCTGTGGCCCCTCCAGCTCTCTTCTTCCTTGACTTCCACGGGATTCAGATGGCATCCATATCTTCAGCTCACATTTTTAAGGTTCACGCTTTACTGCCCAAGAAGATGGACCAGAGATTTGAAGTTAAGCAGGCCTGGCCTGGCCACTTAACCAGCAGAATCTCAGTGAGTTTCCTAACCTCTCTGATTCCCCAGTGCCTGATCATTTATTTGCTCTACACTCCACTAAAACTCCAGGTGGGCAGGGACTGTGCCGATCTTGTTTACAGATCTATCTGTAGCACCTAACACAGGGCCAGGCTCATAGCTAGCACCTAGAAAATACACTTAAAAAAAAAACTCATTCTATAACGGTTTCAAGACTACAAGCCCGCATCTATGGAATGGATGTGATAATGATACCTTTCTCTTAGGTTTCTAGGAAAGCTTTGCAAAATTATGAAAATTATGGCCACAGATACACTTGCAAATTGCCAAGTTCCCTACCACCCAGACACCAAGGACAGTAGCAGGGAGTGTCAACGTGACCAGGGAACAAGATTTCCCATGATCCAGTCCTGGGAGACATCAGCTGTGTAGCAGAATTCATGGAAATCCAGCAAGGTCCAGAGCTGGCCCTACAGAGGCTCCCAGAGAAGCTCCCCAAGAAAACAAATCAAAGGGAAGGCTTTGAGCACATCCCCACTCTCCACCAGACCCAGGCTGCCTTACTCAGGTGTCTTTCCTACCAGGAGACACTTTCACAAAGTTGGTATTTGTGTCACACAGGGAGATTGTAAAATGCTGTATTTGGAAACATGAATGTGTAATGTCTCCCTGGAAATCTACACCTTCTCAGTGAAAGATACAAGTGCAGTCCAAGACAGACATGTTTAATTAGTGGGCAAACTTGACATTTCCAGTGTTTGGACTAGACAGAGGGAAAGCCAAGAGCAAACCGAGGTCTTCTCTTCATCCCCTCCCCCAAGCTTGCTGACAGAGAATAATTTATTGGGTTTAAAGAAAAATGAATGTCTTTACAGCAACAGGAGAGAAAAGGCCAGGAGATCCAAGAGTGGTTATTAAATAACTGTCACCACTAAACACGCGTCTCCCTCATCTTCTCCATGCCTGCCCTTCTTGGGCCCCTGCTTGATCAAATGCATATGCTCATGCTGGCGTTTCTGTCCACCCAGAAGGGTATACTGAGGTATGACTAAATGCCAGATTAAATATTTGGGCTTCATCTCAAGGCAACCGTAGGCCTCATTGACTCCCAGGTCTTGGGTGCTGGGCCTCAGAGGTGCTCTTGTGTCACCCACATCTGAGATCTGCAATTCTAATTTTTTGATATGTAAGATATCTGAGTCCTCCTTATCTTTCTCAGGCTCATGATTGCTTGCAGTAACTTTCTTTCTTTCTTTCTCTTTCTTTCTTTCTTTCTTTCTTTCTTTCTTTCTTTCTTTCTTTCTTTCTTTCTCTCTCTCTCTCTTTCTGTCTTTCTTTCTTTCTTCTTTCTCTCTTTTTCTTTTTTTCTTGGAGACTGTGTTTCACTCTGTGGCTCAGGCTGGAGTGCAGTGGTGTGATTCATAGCTCACCATAACCTCAAACTCCCAGGCTCAAATGATCCTCCTGTCTCAGCCTCCTGAATAGCTGGGACTACAGCTGTGTGCCACCATGCACATCTAATTTTTAAAATTTCTGTAGAGAAAGGGGTCTCATTATGTTTCCTAGGCTGGTCTCAAACTTCCAGGCTCAGGCAATCATCCCACCTCAGCCTCCCAAAGCACTGGGATTACAGGCATAAGACACTGTACCCAGCCAGCTTACAGTCACTTATTAACTGGTCCCCACCCCTCCTGCCCTCCCACCACTCTGAGTTTACACATTTCTGCCAGAACAAGTTTTGCAGAGCATGGCTCTGTTTATGTCTTTTCCCTTTACCAAGCTTTTCAGTAGTTCCTTACTTATTAAACAAGATTAATTGAATACCTTTCATGGCCAAGCCCTGGGAGTCAATGATACCTACAGTTGCCTTGAGATGAAGCCCAAATATTTAATCTGGCATTTAGTCATACCTCAATATACCCTTCTGGGTTTATTCCTCCCAACTTTCTCCAATCTTGCACTTTTTATTTATTTATTTACTTACTTATTTATTTAGAGACAGGGTTTCACCTCTTGCCGATGCTGAGTGCAATGATTTGATCACAGCTCACTGCAGCCTCAGCCTCTAGGGCTCAAGTAATCCTCCTACCTCAGCCTCCCAAATAGCTGGGACCACAGGTTTGTGCCACCATGCCTGTCTACTTTTTTATTTTTTGTAGAAATGAGGTTTCGCTATGCTCCCAGGCTGGTCTTAAACTCCTGGACTCAGGCAATCCTCCCACTTCAAAATGTTGCATTTTAGACACATCCACAACCCATTGGTTCTCTGATACTCCCTACATATCTCCATCCTCAAGTGCACCTTCACTGAAGAACTTCTTCGTTTTGCAGTGTTGAAGACTTTTCATCTATTTTTTATTCATTACTGGCCATTATTTACAAGACCAGGATTCTTACTGCTCATGCCTTTGCTTACACAGATCCCTTCACCCAAATGCTCCTCTCTCTTCCAGCTCCCTCGTTCAGCTTGGCCTCATTAATGGCCAAGCTAAATGTCACACCTGATGCTCCTGGTGGTATTATCATTACCCACCTTCATGTTGCCATAGAATCTTCCTTGAAGTCCCCTTACACTACCTGCCACACTTTACCCTATAGATCATGGAATAACTCAGAAATTGATAACCAAAAGAACATAACAGTCAGAGTTCAATCAAAAGAAAGGAATCATATGATAAATGTTTGAGGTGATGAATATCTTAATTACCCTGATTTGATCACTATCCATTGTATGCCTTTAACAGAATATCACATGTACCCCTAAAATATGTACAATCATTATGTATCAATTAAAAAGGAAACCACTCTGATATGTCAAACAGAGGGAATGTAATTGGTTACACAACTAATGGGAAAACAGAAAAATCAAGCAAAGGATGAAAGTTAGCCAAAGATTGGTGATGGTAGAAGCTGCTACCACCACAAGACTGGTGGGCGGGCAGGAACTGGGAGGAAGGGGGTTACCAGATCCTGGGTTTCACATCATCCAGCAGAAGTTGGAAATGTGGTAGGTCATTCAGTGAGGGCTAGAGCCTCAGAGGAGACGTGACCTCTAGCAGAGATGTTGCTGGAGGCCATGGAGGGAGATGTCCTGCCTTCTTTCTTCTTTCCACCATCTGAACCCAGATGGGGGTGAGCTGGCATGGGAACCTGAGGCTCTTGGCTCCATGATATAGAGCACGGCAGGGCAGGAATGGGGAATTGCACAGCTCGCATGCAATACCTCATGCTTCTAAAACTAGAACACTTCATTTAAGTAACAGCATGTTTCATTAACTCATCTCCAGCATGAAACCTTACATAACACTTTTAAGGAAATGCAAACCCTTCAGTGTAGCTTATTTCCCTTATTTACCCTCCATTCCTAGCAATTCTTCACTTTGCTCCAGCCACCCTGAGCCTGACACCGAGGAGAACCACCGTGACCTTTCCCTGGGCTGACGCTCATGACTCATTTCCCACCAAGCTCAGCTCTTGGTTTGTGGAGTCACTTCATTTGCCCTAAGGAGACTTCAGTGGGTTATTCTCTAATGCTCATGACCCAAAAGGCTTACACTTGCCCCGTTGGTCTCTTCCAGGATGTCATGTTTTCCTGCCATGGCAAGGCTAAGGGAAGTGCTCCACCAGGGGACAGCAGAAAGTAAGATGAAGGCTGTGGACTCAAATCTCAGGGTTTGAACTTCAAACGCACACCCCGCTCTCTTGGCTACTGACCTTGGGCATTGACTTGATCTCTGCAGAGTTACAGCTTGCAATGGGAGCATCTACCTCATAGGGTTACTGTGAGGATTAAGTAAAATGATACATGTAAAACAGTTGGCCCAATTCCAAGTATGTAATGCATTTAGTAGCTGTGAGCTATCATCATTTTTCCTTTGCAATCAGAACAGCCAAAACATCATGAAAGCCCATGGGTTGTGTTGATGTAGCAGCCAGCTCCACATTCTCCAACAACTTTGTTTTTAATCAGGCAAATATTCTTTTCATAAATACTTTTTGTGTCACTAAGTCCAACTAATTTCCAATGTTTCAGAATCAGTCTTGGAATGTTACAGCTGGTAGAGAGCTTAAAGATTGTCTGGTTTAGTTCTCTCTCACTACATAAAGAGGGACAAAAACACAGGGTAAATTCTTCCTCTGTATATATATATTTACATATATATATACACACACACACATATATATAGATAGATATAGACATAGATGATATAGATATAGATATAGATACAGATATAGATATAGATATAGATATAGATATAGATATAGATATAGATATATCCATACATACAGTCATGCACCACATGGCATTTCGGTCAATGACGGACTGCGTATATAACAGTGTTCCCGTAAGATTATAATATCACATTTTTATTGTTTTTTTCTATGTTTAAATATGTTTAAGTACACAATGTGTTGCAATTGCCTACAGTATTCGTCATAGCAACATGCTGTCCAGGTTTATAGCTTGGGAGCAATAGACTATAACACATAGCCTAGGTATGTAGTCAGCTATACTATCTAGGTTTGTATAAGTACACTCCATGATGTTCACACAAATGATGCAATTACTTAATGGTGGATTACTCAGAACATATTTCCTTCATTAAGCAACGTAACATATGACTGTATATATCACAGCAAAAAGAAACAAGAAGAAAACATATAAGCATTTATAAACTTACCACTTAGAGATAAGTTACCATTTTCTACATAACCATTTAGTCTTTCTTATAAATATTTTTAAATAAAGATGAAATTGTAGCATACTTACTGTTTTAAAAAGTAACTTTTTATCCAAATAACACCATTTCTTCATCATCTTTCCATGTCTTTACATATCATTTTTAAGAGCTTCACTTCTCTATTTTATTTAATAAATCCCACTTTTTAAAAAATTGGAAACATTTAGGATGGTTCCAGTTTTTCACCATTATAAACAATGGCCCCAAAATGCTTCTGAAGGGAACAAAATACCACCTTTTCCTCTGAGCACTTTAAGTCATTTGGGCTACAAAAAGCTGTTGAGTTTTCAAGCAAACTGTCTGGTTTCTTCAAGCTGCCTCCTCCAGCAAGAAGATTTCTTACCTGTTGTTACATGAACCTGTTCTTGCAGCATGTCCATGAGGTGAGCCCTTGTGGAGCTGCAATGAGTGAGTCTGAGGAACAGATCTCATCTTGGCTGGCTTCCTTGGCCTTTTGCCAGATAAAATCTATCCAAATATTTTCCCCAGGTATGGGCCCACGTTAGAGGCACAGGGGCTTTACGTGAAGCTCCACAAATGCTTTCTTAAAGATGATGCGTGATATCACAAGCTGACTCTATGATGTGTTTTCCCATCCTCTGCCTTTTCGGGACCTGCAGGGCAGGCTTTGTGTAATACAGGAAGCTTCTGAACTGAGAGCAGCCTCTGGGAGCATCAATCAGACTCCCCAGATTAGAAAGAATTTAGAAGTAGTGGCCAATGCTCTTGAGATGTGGCCAATGATGTTGCAGTCTTTTGTGTAGTCATAAAAGTCTGGTGTCCTGGAGATAACTATGGGGCACTGGGAACAATCCCTTGCCCCAAAACTTATTCTCCAACAACCTGTGACAGTTCCTCAAGCTCTGCCCTAACAAGATATTAAGGTAATAGATACGAAGGCTTTCATAAATTCCTCTGATAAAATCCACAAATCTCAGGGAGAAGCAACGTACTAGTCCATGACCAGCCCCTGGCCCTCCCGTAGGATTCCCCTGTGAGAGGCAGTCAGTATTCGTTTGCTTGGACTGCCGTTACAAAGCATCAGACTGGATGATGAACAACAGAAATTTATTTCCCACAGTTCTTCAGGCTGGAAGGTTGAAATCAAGGTGTTGATAGGGTTGGTTCCTGCCTTCTGAAGGCTGTGAGAGAAGGATCTGTGCCAGGCCTCTCTCCTTGGATTATAGATGCTACCACCTTCTCCCTGCATCTTCACACGACCTTCCCTCTGTAGGGTTCTATGTCCAAGTCTCCTCTTCTTATAAGGACATCAGTCATAATGGACTAGGGCCCGCGTTTGTGACTTTATTTAAACTTAATTGCCTCTTTTAAGACCCTATCTCCAACTACAATCACAATCTGCAGTACTGAGGGTAGGATTTCAACACGTGAATTTGAGTGTGTGACACAATTCAGCCTGAAATGAAGTCTAAGTACATGAATTAACAAAGAAAGAGCTCCAAACAATTGTAGACAGAAAGAAAAAGCAAGTTGAAGAATGACATTCTATACACTATCATTTATGAAACAGTTTGAAAACATAAAAGTTTATATCCTACATTTGTCTATTAATTCATAAGTGATAGAGACATGGACAGAAAGGATAAACATGACTTTCATAATAGTTCCTTCTGAGGAGGAAAAGTAAGATGGAGTTTTGAAGATTTCAAAGGGTAAACTTTGCTCTGTCTATCATGCATTTTTTAAGCTGGGGCATGTATATTAAACCATCAGTACTTGTTCCATCTGGAGGTGATTGTGTATGTGTTATGTAGAATACTCTGTATTCTTCTCTGTTTCTGATGTTTTCCATGATTTGGACAATGGAGAAAAGAGCCCAGGGCTCACTGAGGAAACCCTGTGTCTGCCTGGCTTTTCTGATACTCTGGGGAGCGATGGCATTGACTCATTTTACCTCTTAGGGTCGGTGGGAGGGCCGCTAGAGATGAGAATGTGCATGATTCAGGAAAAAGGCTCTCAGCACTAACAGCCCTATCCAGGCTTCTCGGGACATGACCCTGGAAGTGTCTGAGATAGAAGCATAAAAGCCACAGGATGGAGCCTGCCTCTATCCCAGTAAGAGGGGTGAGGGTTCTCCACAGCCTTTTCACTTTCCTTGTACAGCAACCTCCTCATTGTTCCCCAGCACTCCCACCTCTGCCACCTTCTTCTCCAAAGGCACCAAGTGCCTGTGAAGTGTTTACCAGCCTCCATGGGAAGAAGGAGCCCCACGGTGACCTCATTAGGGGGCAGTGAAGCAGCTTCTGTCCAGGTCGCTTTTGTGCCAAGCACAGAGACCAGCCAGGAAGGGTGATCTACCAACTCCATGCAAGCAGAAAACTCACCAGGAGGTGTGCCAGCCACTTAAAGGGCACCTGAAGCTCTTTTAAATTTTTTAAATTTTAATTTTAATTTATTTTTAATTTTTGAGGATGGAGAACATGCCTTTTTGTCTTTACATTTATTCTCTCCCAAACATCCAGTTGGAGCCCACCTAGTGCATGTCTTACACAATATTTTTGGTAAACTGTTCTGTGGAAAGCATACAAAAACAGCAGAGTGAGAATAGAAAACCAAAGTATGAATGAAGAAGCACAAACATCAACATCATTTACAGTCTTTCTGGCTTTTTGGCATTTGTAATATCATTTGATTCTCTCAATAAACTATGGGCCAGCTGGGATAGAGAGAAACAGACCAGCTTGCAGTCAGGAGGCCCAGAGGCCAGAGGTGACTTGCCCACTCTCCTACCTACCCAGCAGCGCCCTCTTCCCTCAATTCACCTAGACCCCATCACACCCGCCATTGTCTGCCCCATTCCTTTCACACCCACCACCCCTTGTCTGCCTTGCTTTCTATTTCAGTCTGATCCCTTCAATTAAGTTAAAGTGTGAGAGCACAATTCAAATGCTACCCTCAGATGTTCAAACGTGGCATTTTTTACATTCTGTAGCTGAGTTAAATTTCCTGTGAATCCCTTACTACTGACTGGTAATGGAGCATACAGAATTTAGGCTTTCCAATCAACATCTCAGTATCAAATGGTTGCTAACATTGTTGAGTAAACATTTAGGAAATTCAGGTTTAATCCAGGCTGTCTCTGCTCCACCTTTTCTGGCTTTGTATTTTAATGATGCTGAATTCCAGGGGATTTTGTGCGGCAACCTAGTGATGATGAGGTAGGAGCTGTAGAACCAAGTGCTGTTATTTTGTTTGTGGGGAGGGAATTCTGGCCTGTTTGTTTCTGGCTTGGCCATGTTCTGACACATACCATTAAAGTCATGGTAGTAAAATGTATAGTGCCCCCAAATAACCAAGCCTTCCTTGGTCCCAGCTGACACAGTCCTTCCCAAGATGTAGGGATCCCTGCAGTGCAACTCAACTGCCAGCCTCACTCCCTTTGAAAGCCTATGAGATCTTGGTGCTTCTTTCATGGCTCAATAGAGTCAGGGTGATTGAGAGACACCAATGTCAACCCTCTCACTTCCTACATCATCGCTGCAGCTGGTCCCAACTACAGCCTGTGTGGGATCATGCTATTCCAGCTCCACGTTAAACATGAGAGTTTTTCTCGGAGGCTTGCAATATTTTTCAAATTGACCCTCATGAAATAAGAAGCAAATTCCCTAATCCAGAAGTTCTCCAAACCTATGGGAGTTTTTCTAACTTTGTCTAGGTCTCCACAACTCCTCCCCTCAAGGGAGGGCCCAGAACCCCAACTTGTGATCTCTTGCCTTCCTTCCACCAATTGTTTTCTCCCAAGAAGATCTCTTTCTCTTCCTTCCTGGTGAAACACACCTCCTGGTGAGTTTTCCACTTGCACAGAGTTGGTAGATCACCTTCCTGGCTGATCTCTGTGCTTGGCATAAAACAGACCTGGACAAAAGCTGCTCCACTGCTCCCATATGAGGTCACCATGGGGCTCCTTCCCATGGAGGCTGTTAAACACTTCACAGGCACTTGGTGCCCCTGGAGAAGAAGATGGCAGAGGTGGGAACACTCTCTTTATTTTAGCTGCTGAATTTTCTCTGCCTGTGCTTACTAGTGAAGCTGTAGGGTCCAAAGTAGCAAGACCTGGTTATTGATTTATAAATAAGGCAGCTCTTGAAACTCAACCTAACTGTGGTCTTAAAAAGTCAGCTTTGAGATTCAAAACTGACTAGGAAAACAGGATGTTCAGGTAATGACTATACATCAAAAACTACAATCTGGTGGTGTAACCATAAGCATCTTGGATGCTTGAGTGAAGAGTATCATATCAACCTTTGTTAAATTGGGGAAAGAAGGTATAAAAGATGCTCCTTTCCGCCTTTCTCACCTCCTGCTCTGCCACACCAAAATGCCTCCAGAGGTATACCGGATGGCTGAAGCATCATTCCTACATTCTATTTTGCCATTTTGTGCAATGTAAATATATTCTCTCAGGTTCTTTTCTTCACTCATTTATCCCTTCCCCCTCACTCATCTAATAGAAAACTGGGCAGCCACTTTGAAATGTCACACCTGAAGTTAGCTCAGCTTGAAAAGTTTAAAAATAGTCAACACAAGGAACAAAGGTGTTTACCAGAAACAAATACTGTTAACAGCTCCTCCTAGACACACTTCAGGTTGCCAGAGGGTGACAGAATTGATGTGTGAACAAGGACCCTCCTGCTTCTGCTAGGCTATGACTTTCAAAGTCCTTTCTCCATGGGCAAGCCGGGTCTTCCCCAGCCCCAGAAAGCTGAGCACAAGGGAGATGCCTTTTCCCACATCTGAATCCTTGGACCTTTGTCACAGTCTGATTACTCTAGTGTCTTTCAATATCAGTGGCATAAAAAATACAAGTTTTATCTCAGTACATATCATTCTATATTATAATCATTCATTTTATTTGTTTGTAGAAAGGCAGTGTAGTGATTAAGGGTATAGGTTTTGGAGCAAGATTGCATGAGCTCAAATTTCTGGCTCTGCCACCTGCTATGTGTGTAACTTGAGCCAAGCTATTAGCCTCTCTGTTCCTCCGTTTCCTGTTCTGCAAACTAGGATAATAATAGTTCTTACCTCATAGAGTTGTAGTAACAATTAAATGACTTAATATTGTTAAAGTCTTACACTAGAGCTTGGCAGAAAGCACACTTTATTGTGAGTGTTTGCTATTACTAATATATACCTGGACCCCTTTCCTCCACGAGGTGGTAAGCTCCCTCATGGCAAGGACTCCATGGTTTGAGGGCTTCAGGACCATGGACAGGACCAACACCCCATAAAGGTCTTCACTCTTTTTTTTTAATTCCCTCTTAATCATATTCTAAGAACATTTTTAAAATCTAACTACAAGATAAACATATATTATTGGCAGAAATGGATATTTGTTGAAAAATTGGATTAATGAATGAATAAAACAGCTCCACCTGTTCAGGGTCATCTCTGCACCCTGCACTCCTACCACTCCATCCTTCAGTGGGTTTTTTCTTTGCTCATCCTTTCTATCGCTATTCTTGGTACCAGTCATGTGCACATCCTGGCCATTGTTTTGAGTTTATCAGAAAGGATAGTGTGAGATGGGGCAGGGCAGGGGCATTTTCAAAGTCTGGAGATGCTGATACCTGTATATGCTCGGAAGTTCTCTTTTCATGGGGATTTCCTAAATTACCCTATCTAAAATTGCTCCTCCACTTTATTTCTTATTCTTCTCCCCTGCTTTAGTCTTTCTCCTTAGCATTTATTGATATCTACCTTCTCATTTATTTTACATATCTTGCTTGTTTTCTATATCCCTCATAGAATGTAAGCTCATGTAAGCTCCCTGAGAACTGGAATATTTATCTTTTGTTTTTCCTTGTATCCTTAGATTCTTGAATAGTGCTTGATGAATTGTAAGGTCTTGATAAATATTTTTGAATGAATGCATAATATACATGCATACATACTTTAAGTAAAATAAGCTATACAAATCTCCAAGCTAAAAATTTGAGTTTGTGTTAACATATGAGGCTGATTGAACTCCCCTCCTTCAAGTCCTAGTATACAGTCTGCAAGTGAATCAAGACTGCCAAGCCCTTCTCTCTGGGGCCACAGAGAGATGATCTTGGTGAGGTCTGAAAGAAGGAGGAAAACATTCACTTGACATTTAACAGTTCATTGAAATAGCAAACCTGATGTAGAGAACCAATGCATTTTCAGCAGCTGCCTGCTTCCTTTCCAGTAAATGTCTTGGTTCTGTGTCTGACATAACTCTGCAACAGAATCTGGCAGACTTAGAGGGAAAAACATTTGTTATCTAGAGCTAAGTGCCACCCACACTTCTATCAAGACGTCTGAGAGACAGCTGTGAGACTACAACTGGCTAGCAAAGGGTAACTCGTACTTGTTAAGCCGCTACCATATTCCGGGTGCTCTAGTAGGAGCTTTATTTAGAAGATCTCACTTAATCCTGGGTACCATTTTGTATCCATAAAAATGATAACTCTGGGATGTTAAGTTACTTGTCCAATGCCCCACAACAGGTTAGTTAGAGCCAGGATTTTCTTCAAGCCCCAGCTTCCACATCATGTCAGTTTACTGCACCATCTGAAGAGTATGAGATACAAACAGGCTGCCAGTTTTGTCTCATGGGGCCAAGGATAATAAAGGATCAGTTTCTCAGTATCCTTGCCCCAGCTTCATCACTTCCACTTACAGCTCACTGGTCTGAATAAGCCATCAAGCCCCACCCAAGCACAATGGACTCAGGGAAGTGAAGTCATGCCATGGTCCAGAAAGAGAAAAGGGAGCAGAATAGTTGACAATCAGCATTGACAACTACCTCAGTGAGTAAAGCACCAGCAGATCAGCCAACTCTGGAGTGTGGGGATATCTCCTGTCCTGGCCGAGACTGAATTTCCCCACTGACCTGGTGGGAAGAGAGCTCAGAGTTCAAAGCAAATAAAGGATGACGTAATTTCTGCTTTCAGGCTTCTGTGGACTGAGGTTTACCCCTGCTAAATGTCTTTGAATTGTAGAAAATGCATTTGAATTTCATACCAGGGATTCAGGCTTAGTCAACATTCCACAAATGAATAATTATAATAAAGTGCAGCCTGTGTTATAAGCTAACAAAAGGTCATTCTTCATAGCGAAAGAATGGGTCCTGTTCTATTCATTGTTCTTCCCAAGTGTCTCTATTTACTGGTAACACCAACGTCCAAAAATGAACAGGCAAGAGGCTTGGGACACTTGTCTGCTTTTGAGCTGATTAAAACCATACTGTTTAGGGTGAAGAGAGTCCCTGCTTCAGTTCTAAAGGCAATAATTGACTGCCTAAAATGAATGAAAGTGATCTGGCATGGGGCCACAGAATGGAGACTATGTGTAGATGCAAGCGTCATGTATCAAATTTCTTCTGTAATAATTCAGCAAAGAATCATTGCAAATATGCTTTGTGTATTAATACTAGAAACACACAGCTCATGAGGACAAGAGACAGAGACAGAATGACAGGGAGAGACAGAGAGAGAGGCACTGGGGTCAGCCTCACAAGGCAGTATTCAACATTTATTGAGCACTCTGTCAGGTGCTGCCACATATGATCTCATTTAGTCCTCATCACAATTCTGTGGAATGAGCATATAATTATCTCTACATTAGAAGTGAGGAAACTGAGGGTCAGAGAGGCAAAGTGACTTTCCTAGGGTGTCATCGTTAATAACAAGACAAAACTGGGACTGGAATCCAAGTTCTTTTTTACTTCAAAGCATTCCCACCCACGCCCCCCACCCCAAATTTTTTTTTTTTTTGAGACAAGGTCTTGCTGTGTCACCCAGGCTGGAGTGCAGTGGCATGATCATAGCTTACTGCAGCCTGGAGCTCCTGGGCTCAAGCAACCCTCCCACCTCAGCCTCCTGAGTAACTGAGAATACAGGTGCGTGCTACCATGCCCAGCTAACTAAAAAAATATAGAGAGAGAGACAGGGTCTTGCTACATAGTCAAGGCTGGTCTCCAACTCCTGGCCTCAAGTGATCCTTCCACTTCAGCTTCCTGAGTGGCTGGGAACCATGCTCAGCCAAAGTATGTAGGTTTAGGCACAACTGTGGCAGCCTGCCTCTTGGCAGATAAATCTGCTCATATTACTAGTGCCAAAAGTTGGAGACAGGCTGGCCAATTAAATAAAGGGAAGAGCCAACAAGATTAAAACAGGGTCTGGACCCTGGCCTAACCCAGGACAGATCTGGCCACATCTTTGGGCTCCCAGTTAGGGTGACACTCCTTCCCAATTTTGCATGTTACATCAGCATAATATAATGTCCCTTTGCATTCTGAAAGCTGCTTTTGTTTGTACTCTGAATTCTATGGTCATCCTAACTTGGGCCCAGTTTGGGATAGGACTCTTTATTGGAGCTAACCCCTGCTTCTTGGTTTTCATTTGTGACTTAGCAGCTTGCTTTGGAGAAACAACTTTGAAGCAGAAGGTTGTGACTAAGAAGCAGGGCTGGGGTCAGTATCACTCCCCAGGATATTGTGGGTGAGCAACTGTTTGTCCAGAGAGACTGGGTAGTTGAAAGGATTGCTGAGCAGCCCAGCCAGGAGAACCTGGTTGCTGGCTCACGGAAAGAAGGGCTAGGAGACCCCTTGCTTTCCTCATCCTAAGCTCCAGTTGGGCAGGAGTGGGGGCTGTTCTCACATTCTTTCTGATATTTTGAGCATGAGCTCTGTTCCACACTGCTAGCCTGTGGCAACCAGGCAGCAAGATGAAACTCTGCTGCGTCCCCCAGCCCATAAAGCCTGTCTCTGCTGCACAGTGAAAATTACAGGCTGATATTACAGGTTGTATGATAGGGAAGTAGCCGGAGGTTCCTAATACAATCAGAGTTCAGGTAGCTTTATTGAGAATTGTGAAATGAAACTGCATTACCCATGTGCCCAAATTTGAACAAGAAAACTCCCCATCCCACAAAAAAACAAAAACAATAACTGAAAGTATGTTTTTCTTCTTCTTCTTCTTCTTTGTAGAATTATTGTAGCAAGCTATATCTAGGAGCCCAGAATCTTTTTCCCACTTAAAGAGAAAGCAGCTGGGTGCGGTAGCTCATGCCTGTAATCCCAGCACTTTGGGAAAGCAAGGAGGGTGGATCATGAGTTCAGGAGATCGAGACCATCCTGGCTAAAACGGTGAAACCCCATCTCTACTAAAAATACAAAATGAAATTAGCTGGGTGTGGTGGCATGCACCTGTAGTCCCAGCTACGCAGGAGGCTGAGGCAGGAGAATCGCTTGAACCCGGGAGGCTGAGGTTGCAGTGAGTGGAGATCCCACCACTGCACTCCAGTCTGGGGGAAAGAGTGAGACTCTGTCTCAAAAAAAAAAAAAAAAAAAAGAGAGAGAGAGAGAAAGCAAGTTTCCCAAGAATAAAGCAACACTCTAAGGACCAAATAATATAAGACCATCTTTGCTGCAGTAGCCCCCAGGGCCACAGTTTCACATGGAGTTCCTTGGAGCACTAGGGGATAAAACAGACACCTCGAGGGATTTGGGGAACAACATGGAGACCCAGAGCCCGGGACTCTGAATTCACACACAGCCGTAACTGCAGCATCTCCACATTAGTCATTGGAGATACTGATAATCTGGATATGAGTTTGCTAGAAAACCATTTTTCGTTTTACTGCTTTTTAAAGGTTGTTTTTATTAGGGCAAAACTCAACTATGGTAGAAAACAGGAGAAAATTGGATTTGAGGGGTAGAGGCAGAGATAGTCTGGGAAGGGGTATGAGAGAACCTTCTGGAGTGAGTAAATGCTCTGTAGCTTAAGAGGGTTTGGGTATATGCATTTGTCAAAATTAGTTCAACAGTACACTTAAAATTGGTGCATTTTACTCTATATAAATTTAATCTCAGAAGAAAAATAACTGTAAACCCAAAGACTGAACTCTAGTTAATAAAATGCATGCTGCAGTATTTAGGGGAAAGTGTACTGATGCCTGTAATTTACACTAAAATGTCCCAAAACAAAGACATCCTGGTGGATCTGTACAGAGAGAAATGGATAGATGGATAGATATGTAATAAACAAGTACCTTCAAATGTCAGTGGTAGAATCTAGGCTGTGGAAATACTCATGTTCACTTTAAATGTTTTGCATTTTTCTGTATGTTTGAAATTTTTTGTATTAAAATATCGAGAGAAAATGTTACATTTATTAGATCAGTACTTCCCAAGCTTTGCCGATTAGAATCTCCTGCAATATTTGTTTTAAAAATACAAATTCCTAGCACCTCTTCTTGCAGATTCAGGTTCAGTAGAGCTGGGGCAGGCTATCTGCATTTTTATCGAGCCTTCCCCAGGGAATATGAGGATGAGGAAGGTCTGGAAACACTGGGTTATGTTAACCTGCCCCCAGAGAAACTGATGTTGGATGGAAGGAAGAAATACAATTCAGTGAACGCTGAGAGTGGGAACAGCTTCACATACAGATCAGACTCAGGCATGGCACCAGGAACCTCAGGTTGAACAAACTCCTTGCATGACTATGAAGTTCAAGAAGTTGTGAGAATCATCAATTTTGGAAACATCTGCCACAAGAGAGAAAATCTCAGCCCAACTCTGGCTGGTCACGTTCCTAAAATTCCCCGAAATGTTGAGTAAGCCGTAAGTTAGGGGAGAGAATGCACCAGCAAGTCCACAGTCCTCTTTGTGCAGGTTTGGTGCTGGCTGTTGCAAGGCGGTGTCTTTTGCTTCCTCTTGGGCCCTCCTAAGGCCTAGAACTTACAGTACAAATTACCCAAGACTGGGTGAGGGAGACAATTTACCCCTCATGCTTTCACTGCCCACAACCTACTGAATGAGATCACTTAGTAACTCCCACTCAAATCCGGTATTGTGCTGTGAGATGGGGCAGGAGAGAGGACTTGCAAAGACAGATGAGTCTCAGTGGCTGCCTTCAGAGACAAATGAGCCCAGTGGTGGGCAGGGCAGGACAGCCAGTACCAAGTGGGTCCAGACAAGAGGGGAGTTGGTAAGAGCTAGGGCACCCATGGGACCTCCTGAAAGACTGCAGACTCCAAATGGGCTCAGAGAGTCGGGACAGATTTCTTTACAGCAGAGCAAAGAAAAGTAGCAATAATGCCAGCCACAAAGGGGCATGTGATGCCTGGTATCATTATACAAACCCAAGCATACATAAAACGGTAATCTATGTCAGCATTAATGAGTGAAGTATAAAAATATGCAAGGGAGAAACATTAATGAGTGAAATATAAAAATATGCAAGGGAGAACAACGTCAACAAAAAGTGCCTCTGGGGAGGAAGGGGGCACTGGGAGGAAGGCCGCAAAGGAAAGGGCCCTTGGCTGTATCTGTGCCAATTTATTTCCCAGGAGGTGGAAGACAAAGAGTAAAAGGGTCAGAGAGGTGATGTGACCCTGGTCTTTGCATTTTATTCTCCCCTTGAGACACTTGATGAGTAATTTCCACATCCCTGATTTTGGTAAACCCTGACAAAATAGAAAACTGAAGCACAACTCTGTAATCCCACAGCCAACCTTGTGGCCTGGTAAACGAATTCTCGGCTCCCAGTGCCCTAATGGAAACTCTCTCCCTCCTTTCTGACTCAAGCATGTCTTTGCTATCACAAGGGATGCAAGAGGCAGGGGTGCTACAGGTATGTTTGCATCAGCTCTAAATAATAATAATAATAAAAGAAGTCTAAACTTACCTTCTATTGAGCTTAGACAGGGTTGGGTTCTCTCACCAGATGTTGGGTTCTCTCACCAGATGTTGGGTTCTAGAGACTAAGGTAAAAATCAAGTGAAGTCCAAATAACTCTTGAATATAGCTTAAATCACCCACTAAATCCAAGGTTCCACGTCATGTGGGAATAGGCACAAAATAGAGGGTGGCACTTCTCAGCTGGTGTTTCAGACAATGTGTAGTTTGGAGGTGGAATCCCACTCCTAGTGGCAAGAGGCATTTTGAAATTCTGGCGACTGAGGAGCACCCCAGGCATGCCCCTCGTTTCATGCTCATTCACTCCTGAGCAGAATCACAGAAACCATTCAAATTGCTCTTTTCTTTTTTTTTTTTATTTTATTATTATTATACTTTCAGTTTTAGGGTACCTGTGCACAATGTGCAGGTTAGTTACATATGTATACATGTGCCATGCTGGTGTGCTGCACCCATTAATTCGTCATTTAGCATTATGTATATCTCCTAAAACTATCCTTCCTCCCTCCCCCCAACCCACAACAGTCCCCAGAGTGTGATGTTCCCCTTCCTGTGTCCATGTGTTCTCATTGTTCAATTCCCATCTATGAGTGTGAATATGCGGTGCTTGGCTTTTTGTTCTTGTGATAGTTTACTGAGAATGATTATTTCCAATTTCATCCATGTCTCTACAAAGGACATGAACTCATCCTTTTTTACGGCTGCATGGTATTCCATGGTGTATATGTGCCACATTTTCTTAATCCAGTCTATCATTGTTGGACATTTGGGTTGGTTCCAAGTCTTTGCTATTGTGAATAGTGCCTCAATAAACACATGTGTGC
This sequence comes from Homo sapiens, assembly GCF_000001405.40. NCBI lineage: Eukaryota > Metazoa > Chordata > Mammalia > Primates > Hominidae > Homo > Homo sapiens. Next base: position 49,134,566 of record NC_000016.10, read on the forward strand.
ATTTGTCTTTATAGCAGCATGATTTATAGTCCTTTGGGTATATACCCAGTAATGGGATGGCTGAGTCAAACGGTATTTCTAGTTATAGATCCCTGAGGAATCACCACACTGACTTCCACAAGGGTTGAACTAGTTTACTGTCCCACCAACAGTGTAGAAGTGTTCCTATTTCTCCACATCCTCTCCAGCACCTGTTGTTTCCTGACTTTTTAATGATTGCCATTCTAACTGGTGTGAGATGGTATCTCATTGTGGTTTTGATTTGCATTTCTCTGACGGCCAGTGATGGTGAGCATTTTTTCATGTGTTTTTTGGCTGCATAAATGTCTTCTTTTGAGAAGTGTCTGTTCATGTCCTTTGCCCACTTTTTGATGGGGTTGTTTGTTTTTTTCTTTTAAATTTGTTTGAGTTCATTGGGGATTCTGGATATTAGCCCTTTGTCAGATGAGTAGGTTGCAAAAATTTTCTCCCATTTTGTAGGTTGCCTGTTCACTCTGATGGCAGTTTCTTTTGCTGTGCAGAAGCTCTTTAGTTTAATTAGATCCCATTTGTCGATTTTGGCTTTTGTTGCCATTTCTTTTGGTGTTTTAGACATGAAGTCCTTGCCCATGCCTATGTCCTGAATGGTAATGCCTAGGTTTTCTTCTAGGGTTTTTATGGTTTTAGGTATAAGTTTAAGTCTTTAATCCATCTTGAATTAATTTTTGTATAATGTGTAAGGAAAGGATCCAGTTTCAGCTTTCTACATATGGCTAGCCAGTTTTCCCAGCACCATTTATTAAATAGGGAATCCTTTCCCCATTGCTTGTTTTTCTCAGATTGGTCAACGATCAGATAGTTGTAGATATGCGGCGTTATTTCTGAGGGCTCTGTTCTGTTCCATTGGTCTATATCTCTGTTTTGGTACCAGTACCATGCTATTTTGGTTACTGTAGCCTTGTAGTATAGTTTGAAGTCAGGTAGCATGATGCATCCAGCTTTATTCTTTGGGCTTAGGATTGACTTGGCGATGCGGGCTCTTTTTTGGTTCCATATGAACTTTAAAGTAGTTTTTTCCAATTCTGTGAAGAAAGTCATTGGTAGCTTGATGGGGATGGAATTGAATCTATAAATTACTTTGGGCAGTATGGCCATTTTCACGACATTTATTCTTCCTGCCCGTGAGCATGGAATGTTCTTCCATTTGTTTGTATCCTCTTTTATTTCATTGAGCAGTGGTTTGTAGTTCTCCTTGAAGAGGTCCTTCACGTCCCTTGTAAGTTGGATTCCTAGGTATTTTATTCTCTTTGAAGCAATTGTGAATGGGAGTTCACTCATGATTTGGCTCTCTGTCTGTTATTGGTGTATAAGAATGCTTGTGATTTTTGTACATTGATTTTGTATCCTGAGACTTTGCTGAAGTTGCTTATCAGCTTAAGGAGATTTTGGGCTGAGACAATGGGGTTTTCTAGATATACAATCATGTCATCTGCAAACAGGGACAATTTGACTTCCTCTTTTCCTAATTGAATACCCTTTATTTCCTTCTCCTGCCTAATTGCCCTGGCCAGAACTTCCAACACTATGTTGAATAGGAGTGGTGAGAGAGGGCATCCCTGTCTTGTGCCAGTTTTCAAAGGGAATGCTTCCAGTTTTTGCCCATTCAGTATGATATTGGCTGTGGGTTTGTCATAGATAGCTCTTATTATTTTGAGATACGTCCCATCAATACCTAATTTATTGAGAGTTTTTAGCATGAAGGGTTGTTGAATTTTGTCAAAGGCCTTTTCTGCATCTATGGAGATAATCATGTGGTTTTTGTCTTTGGTTCTGTTTATATGCTGGATTACATTTATTGATTTGCGTATATTGAACCAGCCTTGCATCCCAGGGATGAAGCCCACTTGATCATGGTGGATAAGCTTTTTGATGTGCTGCTGGATTCGGTTTGCCAGTATTTTATTGAGGATTTTTGCATCAATGTTCATCAAGGATATTGGTCTAAAATTCTCTTTTTTGGTTGTGTCTCTGCCCAGCTTTGGTATCAGGATGATGCTGGCCTCATAAAATGAGTTAGGGAGGATTCCCTCTTTTTCTATTGATTGGAATAGTTTCAGAAGGAATGGTACCAGTTCCTCCTTTTACCTCTGGTAGAATTCAGCTGTGAATCCATATGGTCCTGGACTCTTTTTGGTTGGTAAGCTCTTTTCCTTCTTTTGTAATTTTTTTCTATATAAAGTGTAGATAGTTTCCTTACCATAGAGGGGAGGCAAGTGGAATGCAGCTCCACTGAACTCGGTATAAATGGCTGGGAAGCTGCTGAAAATTATGGCAATACCCCCTCCCCCAACCACCAGCATGATTTATAATGTGAGTTTCTGTGTTGCATTTAACATTCATGGTGGGAGCTGTGACTGTATCCAGTGCCAGTGTAGGGGGCAACTGCTAGGCACAGATATTCTAGTTAAGGGTCCTGCTATAAGAAGGAGTGTGAGTAGTTTCTGCTGCAATCAGAGAGACAGCCCGGGGAAGTAGGGAGAGCACTCTGATTTAGAGAAAATCCCACCCATCCAGATAGACTTGTTTTCTTTATCAGCCTGTCTCGGATGGCCAGGTGAAAGGGACACTACCACCAACCTTGATGGCAAAAAGTTAGTGAGCATGTGGGAAAAAAAAAGTGGTTCTGGATATATCCACTTTGAAGTCTGCCCCCAGTAAAATACAGGGCCGTTTCCTGAAGAGGACACCAGTGTTCTTGGTTATGAAGTTTTCTTCTAATGAAATTTGAGCAGAAATCTCACTTCCAGCTGGCCAAGAAGTGATGCCCCCCGCTTGGCAGAGAAAACTGACAAGAGCCCACTCTTATCACAACTAGGCAAAGGAGGCAGGTGGCTCCCACCACCCATCTCTTGCCTTCCCTTCTAGTCCATCTTCCTGTGAGTGGGTTTTTTGTGGCGAGTGGAGTTTAGGACCTGAGGCAGAGGGAGGTGAAGATTAGTAAAAGGTAATTGTTGAACAGGAGCATTTGTGAATAATTTAGCAACTACGTAGTTCTCCTTTCTTCCATATCTACCTATTATTTTTAACTTTCACAGTAATTAGTAAGTGAGAATTGCTCTGCAAACAGCACAGCTCCAGATTCATTTTTGTTGAGACAGACAATGAAGAAACAGAGATTTGAAAAAGCACTTGCTTATCTAGTTTCCATCATGGCCCCCTCCTCACTCGTAGAGCACTCTGCACCTTCCAAATCACTTTCACATCTGCTTTGTTTATTTCTCAGACAGGTGATGAGGATGGGGAGCTTTTACAGAGCTGGGGAAACTGAGGCCCAGATAAGCTCAGTGCAGCCCAAAGGGCACACTGATGGTAAGCATCCCAGCTGAGACCTGGATTCAGAAAACTCTTTGTGGATGTCCTTTTTCTTTGAGGATTTCATGGCAAAAAAATTAACGAGGCTTGGTTGCCATGAGCCCTGGCGATGCCTTACTCACCTAGTGCCTGCACAGTGACAGGCTTTACCTGTGGCTGCAAACAGCCCCAGACAGGAATGAGTTCCAGCCCATAGGGGATGCCTAGACAGTGCCTGAATGAGCTGTCACCACCCTCCTCCCTTGCTTGCTGACAGGGGCTCCTAGCCCCTCCCTGCTGTGACATTTCTCAGCATCAGAACTCAAGCAGACAAGCTCCGCTGGGCCAAGACAGTTTGGGCTATCAAAGTCTGCAGCTGTGATGGAGGCCTGGCATTTGAGTCTATTGATCAATGACAGAAGGAAAACACAAGGCGAAATATGCACCAGGAGATCTTGTTGTCAGAACCAAATAGAGGCTTCTCCTCTCTGTTTTGAAGGCAGCTGAAAAAGCGAGAGAGAGGGAGGAGGAAAAGACAACCACAAAGCCAGGAGAATGTGGCACCTGAAGGTTTTTGTTGGTGTTTAAAAGTTTAAGGTAGGGGCTGCTGAGAGCAAAGGGGCACTCGATGAGGCTCACACGGGGACATGGCGGAAGGCAAGTTGGGTGAAGTTCTCAATTTTCAGATGGAGGCGAAGTCTGTTTGTGTTCCGCAGCCCAAATGCAAATGTTGTGGCTGTATGCTCGCAAGTTGAGAAATTTTTACCCTAGGTGCAAGACAGGCCTCGTGCCTTCTTGAACTCTACTGATGTGATCCAGTTGTGGGCATTCTTTTCTGTCTCTGTAAATGCCAGCCCCAAAGAAAAGCTTAGGCTCAGTCCATCTTGCTTGAATGAGAAAAGATGCATCTGTCTGAAAAGGAGGGAAAAGAAGGGCCAGAGGAAGTGAAGGGACCCTCAGCATAGGGGAGAGCACATTGGATGGAGAAGCAAAGTACTTGGGCTGTTCTGTGATCTAGATCAAGTAGGTCATCTTCCCCGAGCCTCAGTTTTCTCATCTAAAATATAAGCGGATGAAGGTGATGTTTTTGAAAATTCCTTTGGCTCCCATGAAATGACTTCAGTAATTCATCAGCTTGCAGAGCTGGACTGGAGTGGAGCAGAGAGCCAGGCTAACCTTTTCAAGTGCAAGAAGATGCTGTCTGGGCAGAAGTAGTACCTTGGAGAAAGGAAGCCCAGGAGGCTGCGAGTCCTCAAACTTTAGTGAGCATCAAGGAATGCCCAGTGAATCTTCAGAGATTCTGGCCCAGGGTGGAGGCTAAAAATCTGCATTTTTATAGTTTGGCTACTCCAGATAATTCAGATGCTGGGAACCTGTGGCCCACACACTCTGAGTGAAACCGACATTACTGTTAAAGACATGAGCTTTGGACTCAGAAAGCTGGGTCTACCTGTCACCTTGAAGCTATGTGTCCTAGCCTGGTTGCTGAATCTTTCTGAGCCTCAGTTTCTTCATATTGTAGGATGGGGATGACTATACCTGCCTTACAGTGTTGAGGGAATTAAATGAGCTAATGTGTGTAAAGTACTTAGTCAAATCTAGCATGTTATAAATGGTCAGTAAATAGTAGTTGATGCTATTATCATTATTGTCATAATTATGATATTGGAGGGGCTTCTGTAGTGAACAGTTCAGCTAGGAGAATTGGTATGAAGATTTACTCCAAGAACAATAATTCCACAGCAGCCCATATTCATTTTTATCAACAAAAAAGAGTGCTTGCTGATGCTTAAATTTCATATGTAATATTTTAAGATCATTCACTTTTATCTTTGTAACCTCATTACTAGCTTGTTCCTGAAAGTGGCCACACATTCTGGTTTAAGGTAAGGAATTCCACCAGCCAGAGGTAAAAACTCTTCACCACTTTCATCAGCAATTGTGCGTACTCACCCCCTGCATTAGTCCATTTGTGTGATCATAACAGGGATTTATAAATACATGAGTCTGGGTATTTATTAAGAACAGAAGATTGTTTTCTCACAGAGTCTGGGAATTCCAAGATCAAGGTGTCAGCAGATTTGGTGTCTGGTGTGGGCTGCACTCTGCTTCCAAGATGATGCCTTCTTGCTGCACCCTCTTCACATAGGGGAAAAGTGGAAAGGCAAAAAGGATGAACATCATGTTCTCACATGGCAGAAAAGATGGGAGGGCCAGGCTAGCCTCTCTTGTAAGATCATGAATCCCATTCACAAGGGCCAAGTCCTTATGCCTTAGTCACCTCCCAATGGCCCTAGTTCTTAATACCATCACCTTGGGGTTAAAGTTCCAACATATGAATTTTAAAAGGACACAAACCATACACCTCCAGATGCCCTGGTCAAACGTTGTCCTTCAGCCTTGAGCCATAATTAACTCTCTTTCCTGGCATGAAACTGAGGGGTGTGGAGGAGAGAATATAAAGGAAACCCTAAGAACCACCATAGGTTTTAGAGGAACTCAAACTCTAAAACCTACAGGGGCCAGGTAGGAATTGCCAATGTATGAAGCAGCCCCAGTAGGTAGATACTGAATGGCAAACTGGAAAGTGGGTACCCCATTTAAAGGGAGGCACCCCTGCTGAGTGTAACCACTTCTCATTCTGCAGAGGGGGGTTCTGGGTTCCCAGATGTGATTTAAAAAAGAAAGACTGCTATGATCAGAATGTCTCAAATTTTATGTTAAAATTCTAAGTGACGGTATTAGGAGGTGGTCCTTTGAGAGATGCTCAGGCCACAGAGGAAGATCCCTCATGAATGAGATTAGTGCCTTATAAAAGAGATCCCAGAGAGCCGCCTTGTAACTTTCCACTGTGTGAGGACACAGCTAGAAAAACAGTGTCAGGAAGCAAACGCCCACTAGGCAGCACCAGTGGCTTGGTCTTGGACTTCCCAGCCCCCAGAGCTGTGCAAAATAAACCTCTGTTGCTTATAAGTTACCCAGTGTAAAGGATTTTGTTATAGCCACCTGAATGGACTAAGACAAAGACATGAATCCATTTTTCTTGGTGAAACCTTTTCGTAAATGTCGATTGAATTATTTCTTTTTCAACACACACACACAAAAGATCCAGAAATCCTCTACCTCCTCCAGAAAGTCATCTCTTTTTCTCCTACCCCACCCTGTCTTTCTCTCTTCCTTATCCTCCCCGTCCTCCCTCCCACCCCAGTGTTCTGTGTCTGACCCACCCTAATTACCCACAACATCCTTCTTGTTCAGGTTGTTCATTTGCTTACTAAGAAGCATGGAGTTTGCTTTCAGACAGTCCTGGGTTTGAGCTCTATTCATCTATTAGTCCCAGCTCCATTAGTCAGTAGTCACATGGATGTCTCTAAGCCTCAGTTACCTCACAATAAAATGGGGATCATTGTAGTGTCTAGCCACAGTGCTGGCATAAAAGTTGAAGCACCAGGACTGACTATAGTAAATGCTGCACAAATGGTTGCTCTTTGAGTCCAAAAACTGCATCTCCTTCATCTCCCCCACATTGCAGAGGACTGGGCATAAGGTAACATCAATTTCTTTATTCATTTTTAAGCACAGATATTTTTAACTGAGAAATGTTGATTTTAAAGATTTTATACATGTTACCATGCAGGTCATGCACAAAAAAGGAAGAAGCACTGCTTTCTAACCAGGAATACTACGAGTACAGGGATTTTGGGTTCCTATGATATTGACAACCTACAGCCACCAGCCCATCATGTGAGCTCAAGTTGATTTAGCATCTTTTGGAAAAAGTGAGAAGTCAAAAATGACCTCAAGATTATATATTTGCATATTGTCTGTGTTTTGCTCATAAAACAGGAGAAGTTGGAAATCGCAGTCCAACCAAGCTGAAAATGGATGCCCAGGACATTTCCTTCAAGGACAAATGTTGCTTCTACTTATGATTAGCTTATTCTGTGGCCTTTGATTCCAAAAGTATCAGAGACTCAGCTTCTTAAAGAAGTGTGTATATGTCAAACATACAGAGAAAGTTTGTTCGTTAGAGAGTGAGAACAAATATTTGGGTAAAACAGACCAGAGAAGGCAAACATATTTGGGATTTTGAATTTTCCAAGACTCCTTCTTTTAATGACCTAATCAATGATGGGAAAAATAAGTGCCACTGGAAGAAAATAACCAGTGACTATTTTGGTCTAAGTGAAGTAGAGAATTACACCAAATAGAGTATATAGATAATTCATATCTGCTATCACAGGGCTGGATTGGCAGATGAGAGTGGGAAAGAAACATAGCTTTAGGGACAAAGACACCAAAGTTCTGAAATCTAATACTGGAAAATCATGTCTTTTATCTAACAAGTGTTTACGCACTAGAGTCCCACAGGCTAGAGCTACTATTAGATAAACAGCATATAAATGTGCTTTCCACTGGAAACTATGGCTCAAACTAGAGTGTCTAGTCTGCTTTAATCCAAGTCTCGATTGTCACTCAAAATGCAGAGTTCAATTCAACAGTCATTTAATACACATCTATTTGTTATTGCAAACTCTGCCAAATACTGTTGAGAATAGATAGATGAACAAAGCAGATGTTGTTCCCAAGTAGCCCTTAATAAAGGGGTGGAGATAAGCGAGGTTTACATATGAATGCCATACAATGTAGAATACATAAATACCTATAAACAAAGCATGAGCAGAGTGGTGTGAGTGTGTGAGAAAAATACTATTTCAAACTGAGAAGTAAGAGGAAACTTTATGAAATGATTAGTCCTGAAACAGAAATGGAGGATAGATAGAAATTTGATGAAAGGTGATTTAGAAGCACACTAAATAGAAAACCCCATGGGGAAGACTCAGAAGAGAAAAGGGAATTTTGGGGGAACCCAATAAGTTCTAAAAAAAGGTTGTTAAGGGACGTAATTATCTATCAAACCATAATATTAGATTAAGTAGTTTTTAATTCTCCAGGATTAATTATGTAGTTTTTTATTATATGGTCCTAAGAAGATTATAAACATCTTGATTTCATGGAATTCTCCTCTTTTCAATTTAATAGTGCACCCTTAATAGGAGTTTAGTAGTACACATTTGACAATGAGTTAATCGTACCCAACAGAGTGTAAGTTCCTCCACTGGTTTTCAAATGTATTGAAAAAGGGATTGTAAATTCAATAAAAAGTTTATTTACATCATTATATCCAGTTTTTAGCTAAGTTCTTTGTAATAGTTAGCCTGGAATAAATGTAGTTTTATTGTCTTAAGATTATGCGGGGTTTGCGATCAACTGCCCTTCTTTAGATCTCATCAATATCTGGCTTCTGATGTTACTTGCTCACACCTGGTTCCCAGTAAGAAGTTTGCTTCTACAAAACATAACATGCTTCCTGGTCAGCAGAGCTTTTCTCTCTGTGTCCATTGTCCTTGGAAAAGGTGTTGGTCCAGTCCGCTAGACCCATCCTTTTCTCTGAGAACTGCCCACCCTACTCCTGCCAGAGTATGCCTCTGGCAGGTATGTTCCCAATTATATGACCCCGCCCCCCTTAGGTACAGCTATTTGGATCAAGGGGATGCCAAATGTGCCAAATTCTCTCTCCTGGAAGATTCTGATTGTGAGATATAGAATAAGGGTGGTAAGCTGACTCAAGTCAGTGGCAACTTTCTAGAGGGGTGGCCTATGTATTGATCAGGGTTCCTTTGTTGCCAGCAGAAGAGACTGACTTGGTCGTTTATTGGAATGGGCATTTATGGTAATATAGGTACCTCATAGAATTGTTGGAAAAGCTAAAAAACTTGATAAGGCACAGAACCCAGGTGACCCTTTAATAAGTGGTAACTTTGGGAATAGTTTTATGGTAAGAACAAGCTGTTCCAGGCACTACAGCCCAAATAGATAAATCTCAACTGTTTTGAGTCTCTTAAATTTCTGATTAGTGTTCAAATTTCAGGATTAAACAGCCAATTGGACTATCTTGTGTGATATGGCTTCTTCTTAACTAGGGCCTCTGTTTATAATTCCACCAGACTGTGTTCAAAAGGGAAATAATACTTTTTCAAAAGGAAGGTTGGAATGGTGTTAGAAAGAGGAATGAATGTTGGGTAGCCTAAAATAACAATACTCAGGGTCACCAAAGAGGTCCTGCTCCAGCCTTTTCTAGAGATGTGACTTTTCTTTCTTTCTAGGGTTCCATGAGAGGCCTCACTCTCCTTCCAGAAAATTCCTTTTTCTGTTTAAGCTGGCTTGAGTTGGTTTATGTTACTTTCAATCAAACATTTATTAACCAAGACACCATTCATAAATTTCTACAAGAAATTAACCTCAACCTTGGCCCTCCCTTGAAACAGACCCAAGTATCGATTGGGTAGCCCACAAGAAATTAGTAACCTGTAAGATTAGAGTTGGTGTGCCCCAAGTGAGCTGTGTGCATTGGCCTTGGATCAGTGTCTCTAGTCTGTTCATTTCCATTCACAGAGACTCTTTATGTCCATCCATGCCCTCTTCTCCAGCTCCTGAGTGGATAATAGAATAATTTTTAAATACAATAAGGGGTCTAAGGTTGGAAATGCTCTCATAGCAAGCCAAACAAGCCCCTGGAGCCATGGTAACCATGCAGATGTGTGCTCCATTACCTTGAATCCTAGAGGAGAGAGATATGCTCACTGAATCCCAGGGCTGCAGGGCCAGTCAAAGATAACTTTAGAGCAAGGATATTCTGCAGTCCATTTTCCTTGGATTAAGAAACAAAAGGAAATTCTCTGTTTAAGTGAGGGAATGGGCTGGGGCAGCAGCCTGAACGACATAAATTGGGTAGGGTGTGTGTAAAGGCTTGGGAGTCTTTTTCCTTAGAAATGTTCCTACTTGAAATTGTAATATTATTATAACAGTAGCAACATGAGTAATAACAAGAGCTCAACTGCTTCAAGTAGTTGCTACATTTCTAGCTCTGTATTAAGTGCTTAAGATTAAGTGATTAAGATTAGTCATTTCTGTTAATGGATTGGTCTTTTATGCCCTTAAGAAGAACAATAGTCATGTAATATAACTAGGTTCTCCCATGCATACACTTTTAAAGGCCCTTGTTTGCACCTCTTTTTGGACATGTAGCATTTTCTGTGTGTTTTGTGGTTTTCTAGCTCAATCAATCATCTCTTTACTAGCCGTGGTGTTGTGTGGATTTTGGGAAGTTGAAATTGGGGAATGGAACAGAAGAGTAATTAGACATGTGCCTGCCCTCAGGGAGCTCACAGCTGAATGGAAAAGACCAAAAACAAAAAAAGCAAAGAAAACACTAATAGCCAAATAATAATATCCTGTGGGTTCCCACTGATGTATTTTCCATTCCTATGGCAATGGAGAACAGACCAAAATGAGAGAATGTTTCCTTCTGGAGTAGGAAAGGGCACAGAAGAATAGAACACCAAATCCATCCCTGAAGGCTGAAAAGGTCTACAAGGTGAGTGAGATGCTTCTTATTTCCCCTGATATGTCATGAGGATTTGAAACATTGAATTCAACTTTGAACTCTCATGCTCACCAATCTCAGGTCCTGGGAGAGGACATTGCACCTAGTAGGTGCAATGATAAATGTTTCTCGAACTGGCTCAAAGGACATGAAGTCTCGAAGTCAGACTTGCTTGTTTTAAAAATAAAATTCAACAAGTTGTGTTTTGCTGTGAAAGGTATAGACTGGCATGTTTAAGTTGAAGTGTAAATAATTCTAAGTTTGGACTGTGTTAAAGACTTGAGATTCCTTCTTTTTTCAGAAGAGGAAGAAGGGGAGGATATATATATATAGACAGATGCAATTAATGACAGAATTTTCCAAAGTGAGGGTAAACTTCATATATTGCAGACAGCCTCCCCTGCTCATACTCTAGGTGTGTGGTCTTCCAAAGGGAAAATCCTACATTTGTTAGACATTCCAACTTGATATCAGCTCCTACCACTCTTTTTCTGCTCTCCATACATCCACAGAGGCCTTGCAGATGCTCCTCACACAGGATACGCCTTCCCCATCTGTATTTGCTACCATCAACATGCAATGTCTCTGAAAAGTGAAGGACACTAGGAATCCTGATGCTTCCCATTACTGATTGAGTGATCTCGGACAGTGACATCCTTGGACTAAGGCTCATTCTCCTCACTGGAAAAATAAAGAGGATGGGTCATGCCCACATCCTTTACAGAGCTGTCAAAAGGATTAACTGAGATACTATGGATGAGGGTGTTTTGAAATCATTTCCAAGAGCTCTACATTTTAATGAATTTTTGTTCTAACATTGTCTCATGTGAATTAATTGATAAGGTTACAAGTCCCTTAGGAGGTAAGGTGGAGGACTGGGAAGTTTCAACAGGGAAGCATGAGAAGAGAGATTCAAGAGATGTTGGAAAGAGACTATGAGTTCTGTACCTAGAACACTTAACCTGGGCAAAGGAGTTCACAACTGGATCCCAGAGTCTTAAAACTGTACACAAAGCATACATAAATGTAGAGTTGTGCATTTTTCCTGAGGGACAAAGTCTTTGCTTTCGTCAGTTTCCCAAGGAGTTCCATTGTTTAGGATGCTGATGAGGCATTGACCTGTGGTGGTGGGAGACATGCAAGAGCATAACTCCCTGCATGGGATCAGGAAGCCAGGAGCAACTTTGGGGTTAGTTTGGAGGGAGGGGTACAGAAGAGCTGGAAAGGTGATCAAATCAAACTGACTCTGCCATCATTTTGCCTGGTGCCCAACTACTCAACCAACCACCTAGCACAACCAGCTTTGTATTTTATCCCTGGATTAATTTGCTCCTGCTGCATAAAAACACATCCCAGAACCTAGTGGTTTAAACAATAGCGTTTATTTACTGTATGATTCTATGGGTCAGCAATTTGGACTAGACTAAGCTGAGTGATTCTTTGGTCCCAGTTGGGCTCACTAGTGAATCTACAGTTACCTATCAAGTTGTCTGTGGGCTGGCTGATCTGGGCTGGCCTCAAGTGGGGCAGCTCATTGCTTGTTCATAGGACAGCTGGGCAGGAATCTAAGATAGCAAGAGAAAGCTTCTGGGGGCCTAGGCTCAGAATTGGCACACCATCACTTCTATGGCACTGTCACGGGCTATTCCATATTCAAGGGAAAGAGGAACAGATTCCACCTCTTGGGCTGGGTGTGGTGGTTCACTCCTGCAATCCCAGCAATTTGGGAGGCCATGGCAGGAGGATCACTTAAGGTCAGTAGTTCAAAACCAGCCTGGGCAACAAAATAATACTCTGTCTATACAAAAATAAAAATAGATTAGCTGGGTGTGGTAGCACCTGCCTGTAGTCCCAGCTCCTCAGGAAGCTGAGGTGGAAGGATTGTTTGAGCCAAAAAATGTGAGGCTGCAGTGAGCTATGACTATGCCTCTATACTGTAGCCTGGGTGACAGAAGGACACTCTATCTAAAAAAAAAAATACACCTCTTGATGGAATGAGCTAGATAAAGTCATATTGCAAAGGACATGGGTACAGGGAGTAATGAGGGATGGAGGCTATTTTTGCAATCAACCACATCTCCCAACCCCACACCTAATTCATCAGCCTATTTGGGATTCCCTTCCATTTAACAGGAATTCTGTTCCCTTGATCTTATACTGACATCTTTGGCAAAAAGAGAAACCCTCACGTGGAGATCACGAATGGGCCTAGAGAGGAGAGTGGCTTTCCCAAGGTCACACAGCAAGGAAGCAGCATGGCCAGGACCAGCACTCCCTTCTGTCATTTCTTTTCCTTTATCAGCTACATCACAACACACATCACTCTATTCCCAATGTTTGGGGACTTCTGAAAGCAGGAATCTACATCAGTGTTTCTCAAAGTATTTGTAAAGGAGAACAAGTTTTTGCTGTTGTTGTTTTGTTGGTTTTATTTCTTATCCATCCTGGACCACTGGCATGCAGCTCAGGCCAGGTATGACATATCTTGTGAATTTGGCAGCACCCAAGCTGCCTCATGATCTATTGAATGAAGCATGTCCCTGGATCACAAACTTGGATGTCACCACAATATTAAATTGCTATAAAAGTTTCTAAACACTTACTCTTACTTTCTGCAATCATCCTCCTGCAGACTGGTAACGCACACTTGGCAGGGTGCTATCACACCCTGAGTAGCTTTTGCTCTACATCCATTGTCTCATTCTATTTTCATCATATCCTGAGGAGGTAGGAAAACTGGGGCTTGGTGGCCCTTCTGAATCAGGTAAGGAAAGTGGAAGCCTGGAAAAGTAAAGGGCTTATCTAAGATCACAAAGGGGTAGGCCAGGAGTAGGATGCAGGGCTCCAGACACCCCGTTCAGTGCTCTTCTTAGCCTGCACCATGTCACTCTGCCTCCCTCAACTGCAATTCAAAAAAAATAACCAAATGTGTTTAGTCAAAGAAATCAGCTTTCTCTTCACATCTCAAGCCTAAAGCTCAACCTGAGTTACTGAGGCTGATGAAAGTTTACCTTGCACGTTTGGGATTTATGCATTATTTACATAATCAGATTGATCCCCCTATGCTCAGAGAAACCAATTCAAAATGTAGTTACACGATATTTCACGTTTAAGCATTTAATGGGCTCTTCATCACTCCCCTAGGAGCATGTGGGCTCCAGGGCAGTAATGAGAAGGTTTCTCCAGGGTGCTTCACAAAGCCAAGTTGCTGAGGCAGCAGAACCAGTCCCCACTTCCCTGCAACCTGTGGCTGCATTCTCCTTGGCTGACACCAGCAAAGTCAGAGAACAGGAAGTGATGGTGGTGAGAGGGCGGCAGGCCCACAGCTTGAAGAGGTCCCAGCCCTGCTTCCACTGTAGAAGGGATAAAGAATATTCACCTGCCATGTGCACCCTCCACACGGCCCAGGGAAGGGCACATTCTTGCATGACACTGTCATATTCCATGACTTAATCCAGGAGCAAATGGCTCTGGGCTGAGGTTCTGCCCATCTGTGATGCTGGGCTGTGGAGATCATATGACTCTGGTCTTAGAAGAGGCAACACCCCCCTGCCCCCAACCAAGTTCTCTTCTGGGCCTGTGCTCTGTGATGCTTCAGAGTTGAGAGGAGCCCTTTTGTCTTGACTTAGCAGACCTTACACTCCCCAGACACTATACCAGCATATAGGCAAGACAGCCAGAACCTCCATGGGACAAGCTTTAGGGGTCATAGTTTGACATGAAGACATTGAAGAAACCAGCAGGGACAATCTTGAATCTCAGAGTTCAGCAAAGAGGCCTGGATCTTTGGAATTCTGAAATTCCAGGCTGATGGAGGGAGGGTCTTTAAGCATTTCATCCAGGATTTAACCATGCTCCATATCCTTGCTGTTTTATATATTAACTATCAGATGAAATTTCCCTTGGGGCCAGGTACGGCTGCTCACACCTATAATCCCAGCACTTTGGAAGGCAGAGGTGCGTGGATCACTTGAGGTCAGGAGTTCCAGACCAGCCTGGCCAACATGACAAAACCCCATCTCTACTAATACATTTTTGTATTTTGTAAAAAATAAAAAAATTAGCTGGGCGTGATGGCACATGCTTGTAATCCCAGTTACTCGGGAGGCTGAGGCACGAGAATTGCTTAAACCCAGGAGGCAGAGGTTGCAGTAAGCCAAGATTGTGCCACTGCACTCCAGCCTGGGTGACAGAGGGAGACTGTGTCTTAAAAACAAAGGAAAAGAAAAAAATTTTTCTTTGAATAAAAGGCTCAATAGCTGGAAATGCAAAAGGAAACCACTGAAGTATTTCAACACCCTCATTTCTACTTGGGGATTGAGGAAACTGAGGTCTAGGTGGGGAAAGTGATGCCCAACAAGAGGGACATGCTCAAGGCCACCCAGCTAACAGAGACCAGACAAACCACAAGGATCTAGTAGTTTTTCCCACTGGCCCAAGGATCTTTCCTCCACATTCACCTAACATTCCAGTTCCTCCCTATTCCAATGCCTTACCTGGCCTCAGGTGCAGGGGCATCAGTTTAAAGGGGCAGAGGCCTCCAACACTTTGGGGGGCCTCACTGCTGCCTTGAGGTCTTACACATTCCCTCTAGCTGAAAGGCTCTTCCTGCAGATGTTCATTTGGCTGGCTTCCTTGTGGCACTGACATCTTGATCCAATGTCATCTCAGAGAGGTTTGTCCTGCCTTTCCTTTAAAAGTGACTTCTCTATCATCCTTACAAACACATGCCAGGCACCTTCTTCCACATTTTATTTTCTTTATAGCCCTTATTAATAACTGAACTTGTCTTGTTTGTTTGTTAGACTAATTAACATCTGTCTTTCCCAAAAGAATGTAAATTCATGATCAGGGACCTTGTCTGTCTCGTCTACTATTTTATCAGCTCCTAGCACGCTGCCTATCACATAGTAGGCACTTCATATGTCTTGAATGAATGAGTGTTCACTTCATTTTGTATATGAAACATAAGACTTTCAGAGTCATCACAATTTGCTCCAGTGTTCAGTGGGTTTGTCACCACAAATTGCTCCAATCACACTCACCACACATATTTGTGAAGGAATCTGCATGAATCCTTCATCTTCAAGATGCTCACAGCTGGGCTGCTCTGGCAATATCTCAGCTGCTAAATACAAAGGCCATAGAAAAAGCATCCAGATCCACTTGGCCTTGGTTTCCTGGGTAACCAAGGTTGTGTGCTTAGATGCACATGACCAAACAGGACTCTCCCAGGGGACATGGGTATTGAAAACTCCGGCACCAGCTGCATGTTTTTTACTTGCTCAAGTAGCCGTGGCCTGAGACTCTGACAACTAGCTCAGTGGCTTGATCTCCAGGGCCAGACCCAAAATATCAGTGGACAAGATGCCCAGCCCCAATACCAAATGTTTACATCCAAGCCCAGGGAATGCGTGGGCTCCAGGCTGTCGAAGACGTAATTGTATATTAATTCACATTTTGTTGTATGTGTACTATTATAATCAGACAAAAATTGAATACCCCATTCTTCTATGCATGGAACCAAGTCACACCTAATATGCTAATCTAAAAGTATTCCCTTTCATGTCAATTCATCAAGAAGATAGGGCAATTGTAAATATTTATGTACTCAGCATTGGAGCACCCAAATATATAAAACAACTACTAACAGAACTGAAAAAAAAACAGCAATACGATAATGGTAGGGGACTTCAATATTGATCCTCAACAATGAGAGATTATCCAGACAGAATAATCTATCAAGGAAGAAATGACAAATTTGAACATTACTCCAGATCAAACAGACCTAGCAGACATATACAGAATGTTTCATTCAACAGCATTAGAATACACATTCTTCTCAAATATGCATGGACATCCTCCAGGACAGATCATATGTTAGGCCACAAAACAAGTCTTAACAGATTCAGAAAGATCGAAATTGCATCAAGCATCTTGTCCATTACAAGGATATCAAACTAAAAATCAATAAGAATAAAAGTTGAAGACTTTACAAATAAGTAGAAATTAAACAACACCCTCCTGAAAAACCAATGGATCAAAGAAAACACCAAAAGGGAAAGTGGAAAGATATCTTGAAATAAATGAAACTGGAAATGCAACATGTCAACACCTATGGGTTGCAGCAAAAGTAGTTCTAAGAAGAAAGAGTATAGCTATATATGACCTCATCAAAAAAATGAAAGATCTCAAAAAAACGCCCTAACTTTACACTTGAAAGTTCAAAAAACTAAGTCCAAAGGTAGCAGAAGAAGGGAAGTTACAAAGATTAGAGCAGGAATAATGAAAGACTAGAAAAGATCAACACCACCAAAAGATTTGGTTTTTTGAAAAGGTAAGCAAAATTGACAAACCTTTAGCTAGATTAACCAAGAAAAAAAGAGAGACAACTCAAATAAATGAAATTACAAATGAAAAAAGGATATATTAACCCCTACCACAGAAATGTAAAGGATCAAAACAGACTTGAACAATTACATGTCAATGAATTACATAACATAGCAGAAATGGATAAATTCCTCAAAATATACAACCTACAAAGCCTAAATCATGAAGACATAGAAAATATGAATAGACTAATAATGAGTAAAGAGATTGAATCAGGAATAAAAAATCTCCCAACAGAGAAAAGTCCAGGACCTAAGGGCTTCATATAAAACATTAAAGAGAAACTAATACCAATCTTTCTCAAACGCTTTCAAAAAATTGAATAGAGGGGACCATTTCCAAACTCATTTTATAAGGCCAGCATTACCTTAATACTGAATCCAGATAAGGACACCACCAGAAAACAATACTGCAGGCCAATATCCCTAATAAACTGTATTAGTTTGTTCTCATACTGCTATAAAGAAATGCCTGAAACTGGGTAATTTATAAAGAAACGAGGTTTAATTGGCTCACAGTTCTTCAGGTTGTACAGGAAGCATGGCTGGGGTGGCCTCAGGAAACTTTTGATCATGGAGGAAAGGGAAACAAGCACATCTTGCATGGCCGGAGCAGCAGGAAGACAGTAAGGGGGGAGTTGCTACACACCTTTAAACAACCAGTTCTCATGAGAACTCACGTGCTATCATGAGAACAGCTAGGTGAAAATCCATCCCCATGATCCAGTAACCTCTTGTCAGGCCTCTCCTCCAACAGTGGGGATTACAATTTGACATGAGATTTGGGTTGGGGCACAAATCCAAACCATATTATAAATATATATGTAAAATTCTCACAAAATGCTAACAAACCAAATTCAACAGCACATCAAACTATCATTTGCCATGATCAAGTGGGATTTATCCCTGGGATGCAAGGATGATTCAACATAAACAAATCAATAAATGTGATACACCACATTAACAGAAGGAAGGATAAAATCATATAGTCCAAATAGATGCAGAAAAATCATTGGACAAAATTCAGTATTCCTTCATGAGAAAAACTCTCAGCACATTGAATATAGAAGAAATAAACTTCAATATTGCATGGCCATATATTACAAGCCCAACAAACAGCATACTCAATGGTGAAAAGCTGAGAGCTTTTCCTCTAAGATCAGGAAGAAGACAAGGGTGCCCACTCTTACTGCTTCTATTCAATGTAGCACTGGAAGTTCTAGTCAGAGCAAGTAGGCAAGAGAAAGAAATAAAATACATCCAAATTGGAAGGAATAAGTAAAATTGTTTCTGCAGATGGCATGACCTTATATATAGAAAATCCCAAGGACTCCACCCAAAACCTGTTGGAACAAATAAAGGAATTCAGTAAAGATGCAGGATACAAAAGCAACATATAAAAATTAGTTACATTTCTAATAAAAACCACAATGAGATACCATCTCACACCAGTTAGAATGGCGATCATTAAAAGGTCAGGAAACAACAGGTGCTGGAGAGGATGTGGAGACTGTAAACTACTTCATTCATTGTGGAAGACAGTGTGGTGATTCCTCAAGGATCTAGAACTAGAAATACCATTTGACTGAGCCATCCCATTACTGGGTATATACCCAAAGAATTATAAATCTTGCTGCTATAAAGACACATGCACACGTATGTTTATTGTGGCACTATTCACAATAGCAAAGACTTGGAACCAACCCAAATGTCCAACAATGATAGGCTGGATTAAGAAAATGTGGCACATATACATCATGGAATACTATGCAGCCATAAAAAAGGATGAGTTCATGTCCTTTGTAGGGACATGGATGAAGCTGGAAACCATCATTCTGAGCAAACTATCACAAGGACAAAAAACCAAACACTGCATGTTCTCACTCATAGGTGGGAATTGAACAATGAGAACACCTGGACACAGAATGGGGAACATCACACACCGGGGCCTGTCGTGGGGTGGGGGAAGTGGGGAGGGATAGCATTAGGAGATATACCTAATGTAAATGATGAGTTAATGGGTGCAGCACACCAATATAGCACATGTATACATATGTAACAAACCTGCACGTTGTGCACATGTACCCTAGAACTTAAAGTATAATAATAATAACTAAAAACAAAACAAAAAAAATTAGTTGCAATTCTAACAATGAACTATCTGAAAAATAAATAAAGAAAACTATATTTACAGCAGCATCAAAAACAATCAAATACTTAGGAATGAATTTAACCAAGGAAGTGAAAGATCTGTACACTGAAAACTATAAACCACTGATAAAAGAAATTGAAGAACATAAAAATAAATGAAAGGATTTCCTTTGTCAGTGGATTAGAATAATTAATATTGTTAAAATGTCCATACTATCCAAGTGATACACAGATTCAGTGTAATTTCTATTTAAATTCCAATGGCATTTTTCACAGAAATAGAAAACAATCCTAAAATTTACATGGAACCACAAAAAAAAAATAGCCTTAACAGTCTTGAGAAAGAAGAACAAAGGTGGAGGAATCATGTCCTGATTTCAAAATATATTACAAAGTTACAGTAATCAAAATAGTATGGCATTGGCATGAAAGCAGACATGTAGACAAATGGAACTATGTTGGTACCCCAGAAATAAATCCATACATAAGTACAACTAGTATTTGACAAGAGCCTCAAAGATAGTCTCTTCAATAAATAGTGTGAGGAAAACCGGATATTCAGATGCAAAAGAATAAATTGCACCTATCTGATACCACTCACAAAAATTAAGCTGAAATAAATTGAAGACTTAAACATAAGGCCCAAACTAAAATTCTTAGAAGAAAAAATAGGAAAAAGACTCTTTGACAATGAGTTTTTGGATATGAAACCAAAAGCACAGTAACAAAAGCAACAATAAATAAGTGGGACTACATCAAACTAAAAAGCTTCTGCACAGCAAAGGAAACAATCAACAAAATGAAAAGGCAATCTATAGAAGGGGGAAAATATTTGTAAATCATAGATCTGATAAGGGGTTAATATCCAAAATATATAAGGAACTCATACAACGCAAGAGCAAACAATTAATTAATTAATTAATTAATTTAAAAATGGACAGAGGACCTGAAAATGGCAGCTTAAAAAATAAAAGACATGCAAACGGCCAACAGGTACATGAAAAGATGCACGACATCACTAATCATTGGGAAAATGCATAAAAAAATCACAAGATATCACTTCACACCTGTTGGAATAGCTGTTATCAAAAAGACAAGAGATAAAAGTGTTGGCTAGAATGCGGAGAAAAGGGACCTCCTGTGTACTGTTGGTAGAAATGTAGATTGGTACAGACATTATAAAAAACAGTGTGAAGTTTTCTCTTAAAAATTAAAAATAGAACTGCCATAAGATCCAGCAATCTTGCTTCTGAGTATATAGCCAAAGGAAACAAAATCATTATCTCAACGAGATACTCCCATGTTCATTGCATCATTATTCACCATAGGCAAGATGTGTAAACAACCCAGGTGTCCATTGATGAGTGAATTATTGTATAAATACATATATGTATCTATATACACACACATAATAGAATACTATCCAGCCATGAAAAAGGAAATCCTGCCATTGTGAAAATATGGATGAACCGAAGAACATTATGCTAAGTAAAATAAGCCAGGTACAGAAAGACAAATACTGCACAATATCACTTGTATGCAGACTCCAGAAAAGTCAAACTCATAGAAGTAGAGAGTAGAATGGTGGTTGCACGAGCCAGTGGATGGCAAGGTGATGAGGAGCTCTCTGTCAGAGGGTACACATTTTCAGTAATAAGATAAATTCTGGGCATCTTATGTACTGTATTGTATACTTGAAGTTTGTTAATAAAATAGATCTTAAATGTTTTAATAAAAAAAGAGATAACTGTGTGAGGTTATGGATAGGTTAATTAGCTGGTTTGTGGTAACCATTTCACTATGTGTGTATATATATATATATATATGTGTGTATATATATAAGCTATATATATATATATGTGGGCAAGTTATCCCACTTGAAACTAAGAATTTTAGTTTGGGCCTTATGTTTAAGTCTTTAATCTATTTCAAGTCTCTCTCTCTCTCTCTCTCTCTCTCTCTCTCTCTCTCTCTCTCTCTCTACATATATATATATATAGCTTAATAGGACGAGCTCCTGGTATTTTTACCAGGCTGCTAAATTCTAGATTACAAGAGTGTGCTTTCATGTCAGTAAACCCACCCTTACACATCTTTGTGTTCTGTCTTACCTGATTCACCTCCATCAGCGTCTTCTCTTCTGCACATTTTTTGGGTTTCTGCTGGCACCAATACCTAGGTCACACACTCTTTTAGTGAATAAGTTTTTTTCTCTGTAATGGGATTATATTTACTCACTTTACCTATGCTTAAGACTGTTATTGGTCTAGTTATTAGTATGAAAGCAATGAGGGGAGGCAGAGGTGGATATTTTGGAAGGAAGCATCATTTGGAGAAACACCCACCCCAGGAAAGGACTTTTGGAGAGAGGAGGCTATTCTCCTCTACTAAGAGAAAGAGGCTGCATCTACTACCTAAGAGGGCCCAGGAAAATCTGGGGGTTCAAGTTTTATAGACATCTACCCAAATGTCTTGAGTCCATGTCTCAGGGACCCACTCCCTCCCTAACATGGTCCTGACTTTAGCACAGGGCATCAGTTGAGGTTGTGCATTCCATCTGTAGCCATAAAAAACAAGAGTCCTTTTAAAATTGTCATGGAGACTTTCTACATTTCACAATAGAAGGGTGAATTATCAAATTTCTGCTAAAGGCAATGAGGGCTCAGTTCTACTCTAACCTCTAGAACGCATAAGGAGTGACTTCTAGAATTAACTCCCAGAAAGATAAGAGGTCAGAGCATTTGTTCATGAGCTCCCATCCTGGTTGGCTGGGAGTGGCCCCCCAGGGTGCTAACTTGCCCACATTTCTAGATTTCACTTGTATGCAAATCAGTACGTTCCACAACTTTCGGGAAGACTTTGAGGCAGAAAGATGGGATGTTGTCATCACAAGATGACTTAGAGCTCACGTGGATCTCTCCTCCAGAAATGAACTAAGAACTAGGCCAAGAGGACTCAACATGCCATCCTCATTTACCTCCAAATATTTTCTAATGTCTAGAGCTTCACGTGGCAATGGTTACCTGGAGACAAGGAGTAGGTGACCACCTTAAGTGGCACATAACTCTTCAAATTTCCACAGCCTCTTCCTGGCCAACTTTGCTAACTTAGAAAAATTTACTTTGCCTCTGTAGGTGTTAGACTTCTAAATTTGGAGTTAGAATAGCCAGGTAACATAAAATTTGGAATGAACAAAAAGATAACCTGAACCAATATTTTCATTCTGTGACTGAGAAAACAAGTCTATCTGTCAAGATATAATTTACTTGATATTTAGATATCCTAGTTTTGTGATTCTTTCTCATTTGCCTCTCTCCACACCTCAAGCCCCAGCTAGCTGTCTTATGAGAGGAAGTAAATGACTCCATGGAGCCCATAACTCCAGAATGTTTCTAGAAAAATATCTCTCCACAGATATGTTGCTAGAAACATATCTATGTTCACCAACCACACTTCTGGATGGCCACCAGGACAATTGTCCCCTGCTTACCATCACTGTAATACTTCACAGCCACTTCAAACACAAAGCTATCCCAGAGAGAACCCTCTTTTCCACAAATCTACATCTCTTCCTAAATTCCTGTTAATTCTATATTTTTCCTTTTCACATACACTGTTGCTCACATCTATTTTGGGTTTGAAATTTTTCATTTTTCACTTCAACCACTGCAATCATCTTTTAACTGGTCTTCCTGTCATTAGTTTCCTTCCCCTCTAATCTGTCTTCCAAAGCACTGCCACAATGATGCTTATAAAATGCAAAAAGGAACAAGCTACTACACTTTCCAAAATCCAGTGGTTCACTATCACACATATCATATAATTATCTCTTCTTTTAACAAATAAGTACTGAGTACCTGCCTATTTTCTTGCTAGGTGCTATGTTTACAGTGGCAAACAACACAAACATGTACCCCTAGTCATGGAGCTTTAATTGCCATGGACTTTTAAAAAACTTTATTCCTTTAAATGTGTTCTACTAGTACAGTCATGTTGTATTTCCTGCTCACGTCCTAAAATTATTTCTTGAAACACTTCCACCTCTGCAAAATTATTTCAGTCATATTGACTTGGAGATCCTTTAAGAAACAAATCCCCGTGAAAGAAAAGTTTTATTAGCTGGCCAACATGTTTGCTGAATGGACAAATGAACAATAAACCACTGCAGGGTAAAACTAGGATGAGCCAAACAAGGCACCCAGGGCACAAAATGTAAGGAGGCACTCACTCTCAGGGTGTGCCCTCCGTGCTCTGCTGCTCTACTCTAGTTTGGGTCCTGGACAGCCATTAGAAGCCAAGGATGACTGGGGGTGAAGAAGAGAAAGGTGTTTGTGTGAGCTGTCCATGGTGCTGATTAGGCAACTGCTGTTGTGCACTGTCCAGGGTTCTGTTTAGAAGCGGCACATATATGGTTTCCTTTGCCTATGTGCAGCCTTGGCTTTCCATAGATCTTTGTTTGAGGATCAAAGTGGCTAAGGTATGTGGCACACCACAGGTTCCAGGCTTCATTCCAAAATGCACCAAGAAAACCAGACAGAATATGTCTCTGCTATTTGGTTTCTGGAAAAAACAGGTGCTGTGCATTCTCTGGTGCCTAGGGAAGCCAAAATACCCACCCCTTAACTCTGCAGGGCCATTATAAAAACATGTTCTCCAAATTGTCTCTATAAATAATATCCAGGAATTTTCAAATGTCTCTGGGATGTCTTTCAATCCTGAGAACTAGAGGTGCTTTAAACAGTTATTCTGAGTCTACTCAAAAGTACTGGCCTCATTAACAAATCAAAACCCCCCATAAACAACCTGAATAGTCTCTACTCACATTGGGAAAAATCTAGGTAGATTAAGATTTTTTTTTCACTAAATTTTACCCTACACGACACAAAGTTTATCCAGAATGAAGATAAAAATAGAGTTAAAGGAAGAAGAAGAATGGATTCCTCTATGGCAGCCTGCATTAAGCAGAAATTTGGCTTGCTTTTATCTATTTGTGTAGTTTTGTGATTCTTTGAGTGAAAAAAATCCGTTAAATTGTGCATTGGTTTTGGTTGGTCTTGTCTTCTGCAATATATACAGAGACTCAATTTTGTGGGAAATTTCATATAGTAGGTGAATAGAATCCTAAAATGACAGGCCTTGAAGATAACTAGTCTAACTTCTACATTAAACAAATGAAGAAACTGAGGTTAAATGGGGATCTTTTCTCTATCAAGGTCATAAAAATGAGCTGGTGGCAGAGCTAGAATCAGAGTTTAGATTTTCCAACTGCAAATCAAACATTCTCTTCTCACATGAAAATTCATCTTTCCCATAAGTTCTGGTCACCTGACATTGGAACTATGAAGAATATATAAGGGAAATAAGATTGCAATAAATCATAATAGTACTATGTCCTAGACACTGTGCTTTAATTGATGACTCTATAAAGTAGATATGATGACTACTGTTGTGTTGTTATTTGTTGTTGTTTCTTATTGCTGTTATTCTTATTATCATCATCATCACACTTCCTTTACAATGAAGAAATTAAGGTTTAGAGAGGTTTAGTAACTTACCTAAGGTCACAGAGATAGCAAGAAGCTGAACAGGGATTTGGACTTAGATTTGTCTCCAAAATGTGTGGCTCCTTCACTAACACACTGTTCTACCTTACTATTTTCTTCTTTGCTTGCTTTGAAAACATTTGGTTTTATGTTCACCTACATGAAATGCACTAAATCTCTGGTGATGGCAGTGTTTTACATTTCTAACCAGATGCAGCTGAGCAGATCAATGCATGAAGTAAATCACAAAATAGAGATTGAACTTAACAGGTAAGTTGCCCTATTGTCTATAATTATATAAGCTCAGTATAATTCAAATAAATGGTGCTTATATCATGATGTTTGGCCACACATGGCTAGATAATGCCTATTATTTTTTATATTACTAACAAAAATAATAAGTATCAAATTTCTATCATATGCCAGTTAATTTATAGATCAGACTTCACATAATCTGTAAAACAACCTTGCATTATAGGTACAATTAACCCTGTTTTATGGATGCAGAAACTGAGGTCCAGAGAATTTAGATCACTTCTCCATCTTTTAATGTCATTTTGGCTGATTTTGATGTTTTCAGGACTTGGCCTGCTTCAAATGACAAACCATTCTCCAGTGGGGCTGTGTCCCACATTTTGCTAATTTTGCCAGGGCAGCAAGTGCTTGGCTTATTTCGTTTTATTTTTGTTCCAATGTATTTCGGTGTATATTGTGATAGTTGCTCAGCAGAACTGGACAGCTTACACATGGCCAAGCACATCTCTCATTATCTCACTGTCGAGTGTGTGCTCATGTTCCCTTGTCCTGGAAAACCCTTCCTTTCAACTCTAGATACTCAAATCTCAACTGTTGAGGCTCAAATGGCAATTCCTCCATGTCATTCTTCTTGATGTCTTCCCCAGAAAAATAATTTCTACTTCCTTTTAATTCCCACAGAAGCTCATTTAAGTGACTCGTTACATATTCACTTATTAATTTATTAATTGAGCAAGAGAGGATTTATTGCTTAGCAGACATTATGCTTAAAAGTTAAGTTGGTTTTAAAAAGCCACTTATTAAAACACCTTATGGGCCAGGCGCGGTAGCTCACGCCTGTAATCCCAGCACTTTGGGAGGTGAATCACCTGAGGTCAAGAGTTCGAGACCAGCTTGGTCAACATGGTGAAACCCTGTCTCTACTAAAAATACAAATGTATTTTTGTATTGTACAAATGCTGGGTGTGGTGGTGCATGCCTGTAATCCCAGCTATTCGGGAGGCTGAAGCAGAATTGCTTGAACCCAGGAGGTGGAGGTTGCAGTGAGCTGAGAGCACACCACTGCACTCCAGCCTGGGTGACAGAGTGAGACTTCATCTCAAAAAAAAAAAAAAAATTATGGCATTTATTGCATTCTACTTTTTGAGCTGCTTATTCACTTTAATTTTACCTCCATACTAATACACACCAAACTCTTTCAGGACAAAAATCAAATCTCATTTATATTCATATTAGGACACATGATACCAAACAAATTTCCAATAAATAGTTATTAGGAAAAATGTATTATTTGGAAAAATGAAGATATTGGTTAATTTTACAATTTACATGAATTACTAAATCATTATTTCTAATAATAATTGGTCTAATCACATACAAAGTAACCCAGGAAGGATGTCATAAAAAAAAAAAAAAGACCTAGAAATGAAGGGAGAGCAACACTCCTCGTTTCATTTGGTTTTGGTTTTGTTTTTCCAAAAATGTTTTATGTTTATCTATATGACCTGCCCCAAATCTCTGGAGAAAGCTTATGTTATGCAAATTGGTGCCAGAGGTAAATTACAAAACAGAAGTGAGCCTTAAGAACAATTGAGGTCCATCATATTGCTGGGGCCCATTAAAATTCTTCTTCCTCTCTGAGGCCTTGCTCTGCGAGGAAGTCAACAGTTGAACCTATTCCTAACTTGACTTTCGTTCTTAGTACCTGGGACACCTGGCTTGGTGTGAGTCTTTGTTTTTGTTTCTTTTAATATGACTGTGTGGTTCTCTGGCACCAGGCAGGCTCTTCTCCTCAGCTAGTGACTTTACTTTCTGCCATCTGTGAGCTCACCACCTGCAACTAGAATCTATAAAACTCAGTGAGATAAAGTTCTGGTTTTTGTAATTGTTGCTGAAGCATATTTTTTCCCTCTTTAAAAAAATTCCCTTTGTAATTTTAAAAGAGTCTTTAGCCATATGCAAGGTAAATAGCATCTGTGGAAACAACTTCAAAACCTCCAGGTCGCCATAATGCTGCCTTAGGGAAATGTTAGGTTGACTCTTGATGGACATTGAGTCTAGATCTTTTTCCTATCTTTTCCTATCTGAATCCTATTTTCTGTTGCTATCCTAGGAGCACACTGGAATCTACAATCTCAAGGTATTAGGGAAAAATTTTTCTGACCATACAACCTACCCAAAGGATGAAAATCTAGCTCAGTTTCAGCCTTTTTAGTTGTTATTTCCATACCTGCTTTACAAAATTCTACACTTTTTCTCCTGCAATTGGCAACAGTCATGCATGTGTGTATGGAGATGGCATCCTCTTTAGGGAACATATTAAATTGATTATGCACATCTGAATATCCTCTGTGATCACTAAATGAAAACCTCCAAAGAAAAGGGATAAAAGAAAGAGCTCAGAGAAGGGGGCAGAACATTACTGAGGCACCAAGGAAGTCTTCCAAAGAGTTCCATTTCAGTGAAGTATGTCTTGTTTTGATGGTACAAGTCTCTCTATATGTTTTTTAAATTACTGGCAAAAGAGTTTGAGAATTAACTGGTGAAAAGATTTCCAAAGGCTTATCAGTTTGTTGAATTCATCTTCCATCAATGACCTAGGAAAATACACCTGATAGAAGCCTTCCCCATTCCTGGACACTGAAAAATCTGCATATAAATAAAACATCTGTTAATCTCCTGGCTGATTTCCTGCCCCACTGGAGGCATAAAGCTGTGTTGTTATGGAAATGCAGCGAGATGGGGGTCACAATACACTTTCTGTCTTTATTATCATCTTCTCTGCTATAGAAAGTGTTCCGATGCAAGGCCACTAAATTTAGTCTCATTTTATAGACATTACAGAAACACATTTATTCCACCTGAAGGACTCAAAGGCCATGGTGAATGGGTTCCTATCTAGGAAGAAAGTCAGCCTCATTGAATGGAATCTTGTGAAATTCTAGATGTGATTATCTCCTCCATTCTGATGACAGCAACCACAAGGTTCAGGTTTACAGCAATGCTATCTGTACTTGTGGAAGCAGGAGACAACTGTAAGGAGAAGAAACCTCATTGGCTCTTTAATTTGCTCTTGCAGGGAAAATATAGAGAACGCAGGAAAACACCCAGATTGAGATTTGGCTGCCCAAGCTGCAAATACTTAGGAAACCAAACAACTGGTATGTTGTAATTGATGAAATAAGAAGAAGGGGGAAATGCACTTTTAAAGAGATGGAAGAACACACTGTGTGAGTTAATAAGCAGTGCTGCAGAAACCTAAAACATGAGCCATATTTCACCATTTTAATAAAATAATTCCACTGGTTTGAGGCACATTTTTTTCCTTTAAAAAATCCTCATTTTACAATAAATATTTGTTGATCCCTTTTTGCATGTCTAGCCATATAAATTTTCCATGAAGTAGTTAGCTTTTGATGCTGTGGTTTGAAACCTGACTTGCCATGTTGCCTCAATGAGCCCTTTTCTTTCTTTATAATAAGGAACTAATAATAATGCTGAAGTTGAACATTATTATGAGGAGTTCATCCCTAGGATGAGCAAAGTATCTATAGACCTGAGTTAGAATCCTTGCACGTCTGTTATGACCTTGAATGTTATTTTTTTTTTCAAACTTGCTTCTTGGTCTATAAAATGAAAGTAATGAGGTCTACCTCTTAAAAGTGCTCTGGAGATGAAATTATATAATGCAGTAAAGGTCATATCCTGGTGTGCCACACATAGTTTAGGAAATGTGAGGACTACTGAAAAGGTGACACAAAGCCACTTCTTTCCAGATGCTAACATTTAATTAGAACAGACAAGAAGTGGAAGCAGAAAGGTTGCAGTTCTGTTCACCAAACGCAACTGAAAACCTGGATAGAATGCATGGAACTAAGTGAGGACTCCAAAAAGTAAACAGTAGCTAGCACATTGGAGAAGGAAAAAGAACTTGAACTATATGTTTTCCAGTGTAACACTTCCTGAATTTTCTTCCTTCTGATTCTCCAGGCCTGACCTCAAGCACAACCCAAATTCTCGAACCTCATATAAAGTGTGAACCTAAGATACTTAAGAGAAGCCACTAATTTCTGGTTCAGAGTGAAAATAAGGGCACCTACAAAACAGGGAGAGTGAGGTAAATTCCCGAATTTTTTGTTTATGGTTTTCTCTTCCTGTCCCATTCCAGTTCCCAGGCAATCCCCAGTCCCAAAGCTGTAATCCCATAGCCATTGAGAGGCAGGAGGACAGGGGCAAGGCAGAAATGTTGGTGGTTGCCAGCAAATACCTAAAGTTCTGAGGGAGGGTAAGTACCACCTGAACAAGATAGAGGGGCTCACTGTTGCATTCAGCCTTTCTCTGTCTTCCTTCCATTTGACCACAGAGACAGACCCCTTTGTTGGAACTGTGCAACAGAGCAGGGAGACTAAAATCTCAGCTTTTTAGCTGGAGGACCAAGATGCAAAAATCTGGGGAGCCAGACAGTGTCAGAAAGATTGAAGACAGGAGGCAGCTTGAGAAATGAATCCATAGTCATATGTGAATTTTGGGCTCACTCACAAGCTGTGCATGCATGGATATGACTCTGAACAGCATATCTGAGGCTTTCAGAATTGAACCACAGAGCAAATGTTCCCCAGAGTTATGCACATTGGAAGAAATCTAGGCAGCACTGGAAAAGCTTTGAAACCAAACTGACATGGGAAACACAGCCCATTAAAGATTAGCTATAGCCTGAATGCAACTGAGTTGATTGTCTTGCTTTAAAAAAGAAAAAAATCCATAATATTAAAACAAGAGCAATAGTTATAACACAATACTCAAAATTCTTAGGCTATAATCCAAAATTATTTCCCATAGGAAAAAAAATCTCAACAACTTGCAAAGGAAAAGAAAATCAACAGACAGCATACAAGATAACAAAGATGTTGAAATTATCAGACAAAGACTTTAAAGCAGTTGTTATAATCATACTCAGGAAGTAAGGGCAAATGCTCTTGAAACAAGGGAAATATAGAAAGTCTCAGTAGAAAAATAAAAGCTATAAAAATAATGGAGAGGAATATTATAAATAAAAACAATAATAACCAAAACAAAAATTTCACTTGATGCGTACAAAGTAATTTCCAGAGGAAAGAGTCAGTAAACTTGAAGATAGATCAGTACAGAGTATCTAACCTGAAAAATGGAGAAGAAAAATGAAGAAAAAAACAGAATAGAGCCTAAGGAAACTATGAGAAAAGACCCCAAAATTTAACTTCTGCATTGCTGGAGTATCAGATGGAGAGGAGAAGGAGTGTGGTACAGAAAAAATATTTGAATAAATAATATCTAAAAATTTTCTAATTTGGCAAATGATATAAATTTGCATATTCAAAAAACCCCAGTCCAGTGAACTCAAAACAGAAAAAAACAAAGAAATGCATGCAAAGACACATTATAATCAAACTGATGAGAACAAAAGACAATAGAAAAAAATATCGAAAGCTGCCAAAAATAAATAAATAAATAAAATAAAGATGAATGTTACCTATAGGATAACAACAATTCAAATTACTGCTGACTTGTCATAATGAACCATGGAGGCTTTAAAGTAGTGGAACATTTTTTAAATGCTGAAAGCAAAACAGATTCTGCCAACAACAACAACATACCCTGCCAACTCAAAGTTCTGTATACAGCAACTATCTTTCAGGAATGAAGTTGAAATGAAAATATTCTCAGATAAAAGAAAACAAATAGAATCTATGACCAGCATTAGGAGTGAAAGAAGACTAACAGAAATGGTAAACATCTGGGTAAATTTAACAGTTTATTTTTCTCATCTTAAGTTCTTTAAAATACGTATGGTGTAAAGGTATCTATATCTTCTTGGGTATGTTTTGCTTGTTTGTGGCTTTAGAGGAATCAGTTCATTTTATTTAAGATATTAAATTTACATGCATAAATATCCATTTAATGTTTGTGGGGCCTATCGTGACATCTTCTTTCTCATTCTTCTTACTGGTAATTTGTGTCTTCTTGGGTTTTCATTTGCTAGTCTTGTTAGATGTTTTTCAACAAAAAGTGATGAAATACTTGCATATTTCTATGTCCCCAAAAGTGAGCCTCAATCCATACCTCATGCCTTATACAAAAATTAAGTCATATCTAAATGCAAAACTATAAAACTTCTAGAAAAATAGAGGAAATGTGTATAATATTATGTTAGGTAAAAATATTCTTAATGATTCCAAGTACATGATTCTTAGAAGAAAATACTGATAAATTGGACCTCTTCAAAAATCTTTTAAAAGATTACTTTCCAAAAGACACTGTTAAGAGAATAAAAACTCAAGCTACAGATTGAGAGAAAATATTTGCAAGTAATATATTCAACAAAGGACTTATATCCAGAATTTAAGAATATAAAGAATTCTTAAAACTCAACATTAAGAAAAATAACTCAATTAAAAATATAAATGGGCAAGAAATTTGAAAAAAAAAGCCTCACGGAAGAAGACATTGAGGACAAAAAAGCACATGAAAAGATATACATCATCAAGCTTACATCACGAAGTAAGCTGACTATCAAGTGCTACCTACAATACAGAGCAATTGGAATTCTTGCACATTGTTGGTGGGAATGCAGAATGGTACAGGTTCAGTCACTCTGTAAATAGACAATTTCTTATAAAGTTTGACATACGCTTACCTTGAACCAAACATTCCACTTTGGCCAGGCGCACTGGCTCACACCTGTAATCCCAGCACTTTGGGAGGCCGAGGCAAGTGGATCTTGAGTCCAGGAGTTTGAGACAAGCCTGGCCAACATGGTGAAACCCTATCTCTACTAAAAATGCAAAAATTAGCCAGGCGTCGTGGCGTGTGCCCCTAATTCCAGCTGCTCAGGAGGCTGAGGTAGGAGAATCGCTTGAACCTGGGAGGAGGAGTTTGCAGTGAGCCGAGATCGCACCACTGCACTCCAGCCTAGGGGACAGAGCAAGACTCCGTCTCAAAAATAAATAAATAAATACACAAACATTCCACTTTTAGGTAATTACTCAAGAGAAATGAAAACATATGTATGCAAAAGACTTGCACACAAATGTTTATGGCAGGCTTATTTATAATAGCTAAAAACTAGATATATCCCAAATGTCCATTTGCAGGTGAATAGATACATTATGGTACATTCATACAATGAATTACTCCTTGCAATAAAAAGGAATAAACTACTGATATGCACAACATGAATGAATCTCAAAGGCAGTTTGCTGAATGAAAAAAGGCCAGTCTCAAAGACGACATGTTGTGTGATTCCGTTCATATGACATTCTATGAAAGAAAAATTATAGGGACAGAGAATTCCAGTGGTTTCCAGGGATTTGGGGTAAGAGGGGCTTTGGCTACAAAGCCGCAGTACAAGAGAATTTGGGGGCTCGTTAGTACTATTCTGTGTCATGATTGTAGTGGGAGTTACATGAATCTGCACATATGTTAAAACTCCTAGAGCCATACACCAAAAAGAATTAATTTTGTTATTTGTATATGTTTAAAAATGTAAACAATTGTTTAAAGTAGAGGTTAATATCATTTAGGTTGGGGGACTAGTGATTGGCTTTATGTCAGAGATGACGTTTGCCTAGAAATTAAACAAGGATGCCCAGGATTGGAGTGTTTGAGGAGAACAAAGAGTTTCTGGTTGACTGACTAACACAAAAGGTGTTAAGACAAGGCATAATATATTTGGATAAGGGGAAATAAAATTGCTTCCATTATCATAGGAAATAGTAGCAAGGAAAAGAAAAGTAGTGGATCATAATTTTGAAGAAAGTTAGAAGCCAGATTAAAGCACAGAACAGAAGGTACCACAGTAGGTCCTGGTTCCCAAGAATGTTTCCCCCATAGCCCCCCAAATGGATAAAAATACATGACCTTCTCCAGTTTACATCACCATATTGGATTGAATGCGCCGTCCCCCTCCCCACTCAAATCACTAAAATAATTATAATTTCCACAAACATAAAATGTAACTCAGTAAGGGAGACTCACTGCAGGCTGTCACGTGGTTTAAAGGCTCCTGTGCTGTTCATAATGCCCCCCATACACTTTTAGTCTCATTCAGAAAAGCATCTTGGAATTTTAGTGACAGTGATGCTATAAGGATAACCTTCAGTCTATCATAGGTTATTAAAAATTAATAATTTACCAAAAATTGCAAACTTTAGCACTTTAGTTAATTTGACTATTTTTTCTTAATAAATTACTTGCAACACTATATTAGGTTATTGAAACCTTAGAATAAATTTTTACTGTCATTTCAGTAGGCCCTGAAGAAACATGGCATCATCTCCTGTGTTACTGTGGAGCTTATTTCATCACTCAACTCTGTTGGTATTAAGTGGTGAATAAAGTAGACAAGATACTAATCCTTATGGAGCTCTGTGTCTAGTGAACATGAAAAAGATATATGAATGAAACATGGTTAAGGAAAGACACGGTTAGAGAATTGAAGGAAAGATAGAAACCCATGCTGCCAGGAGGTAATTTGTATGTGGATGGAAAAATTGGTCAAGACTCTTTTTGGTTGCAAATTATAGAAACAGAACTCAAACTGGCTTATGCATGAGAGGGCTATCATTGGGTCATGTGACTGAAAATCCAGGGCTGCTAAGCAGGGCTAAGTATGTCTTATCAGCAATCCAGCTCCACCTGTGCACTTTGCTTTCTCCAAGTGACTATTCTCAGACTGCCTTATTCCACACAGTGTCAGGATGGCCACTAGCAGTCTTATACTTACCCCATAATCCCAGAAGAAAGAGAGCTTACCTTTTTCACCTTTTCCAGAAATCACAGGGCACATCTTTATTGTCTCAGATTGGCCCATAAATCATGTAACCATCTCTGGATCAATTTCAGAAACACAGAAATGATGATGGGTTGAGTGGCCAAAGCCAGGCCATATATTCAACAATGGAGCCAGAATCTAGGGTCATTCAAATTTGAACTGATAGTTGGGAGTGCGAGATTGTTCAGCCTAAATGTAGCTACTGTATTTGGATGGAGAGGGAATAGCTGATGGCAGGAAAAGCAATGAAAATAGAGTTTTCCTGAATGGGATTAATATGGGAAGTAAGCTCAGCCCACTCTAGATCCATTAATAAGATTCCAGAAAAACTCTAAGATGGGAGAGCTCTAATTCAAAAGTCTGCCCTCCACAGGTACTCACGTTATGAAATCTGTTCCTTCTTCTGACGCTTATTTCACTTAGGAGTTGGGATCTTTTCTGTTGTGTCTCAGAACTTCAGGGTTAAGACCCTTCCTGGGTGATGGATAAAGGAAGTCATTGTCCAGATGAAAGACTCATGAACTTGGAGACAGGTGATTGCACATGAATCCTAAATATCCCTACTTTCCTGGCTCTCAGCCCCTCATCATGACAATGCAACTGGTGTGGGAATCAAATGAGCCCGTGTTTCATGTCAGATTCTAGAGGAAGACATTATTATTGTTGGCTTCTCATATGTTAGTCTTGCATTATCAGCTTTACTGCATACTCCTTAAGGGAGGAGAATGATTTCTCACCCTGTTTGGTATCCCAAAAAGCCTATCACAAGCCTTTGTAGGTTCTTTGTATTCACACAGTAAGTTCTTCCTAATTGCTTATGAAGTGAGTAAATCAGTGAGTTAGTGAAGGAAAGAGGGAATGACTTTGGGCTTAGAAGCCAATACAAATTTCTCAAATGATTTATTTTATCATGATCACATTTTTAACATCAATGAGCAAAGATAAAAGCCTAATTCTCTGACCTCTGGAAATATTATGTGTAGTTCTGGGCATACCTTTAAAAGACATAAAGAAGCTAGGGGAAGTGAGGGGGAGGACATCGAAAATGATCAAGGAGGTGGAGACAGAGATGCCATTCAAGGATAGATCAAAATGAGCCACTTTGTTCTGGAAATATAAAGGCTAAGAAAGAAATGATCAAAGTCTCTGAGCTCCTGGAGGGGATAGATGGGGTGGAGATTTCCTCTGCCTCTCCCTCCACCCAGTGTCCCTTAATGCTCACATCACAGGCAGAATTTGGGGATTAACTCAATGGGGTCTTTCTCATGACTTTCTCATGCAAATTGAGAGCCATTTTTGAATGATCCATTTTCAAATTCACCTTAGGAATGAAGCCATTGAAGCAACTTGGACGTCGGGAATTCACTGAAGACCAGACTAAAGAGGGGCTTGTTCTAATAGAAATTCATCTAAAAAGTTGGAGATTCTGTAGAAGATCTGATGAAGAGGGCCAATCACTGAGGAAAAATGGATAGCATCCTAAAACAGTGGGTAGTAAGGGAACCGGTATGTCTGATCTTTTAAAGGAAAGAGCAATTAAAGAAATCCTTACAGATTCCTCCTGGCTGAATTGTAGGCTCAATTTCTTTAGAGTATCTTCTGCTCCCATCAAGCTTGCTGACACCTGTCTCTCTGAATCATACTATTGTACTAAGAACAGAGATTCAACATCAGATTAGAGTTTAAACACTGGTTTCTGCAATAGTTAGGAGTCATTGTGTCACAAGTGATAGATAATCTAATTCAAATTGGCTTAAGCATAAAAAGAATTTTTGATTCAAGTTCATGCAATTGTAAAGATGAAACAGGACTCTAACAAATATCATCAAATCAAAATATCTCTTTATTCTTTCTCTCTCTGTGACTGTCTGTCTCTAACTTCCACCCTAAGATAAACTCTGATTCCTTCTTTGTTTAGCCCACAGAAGCTCACGGATTACTCCTGTGTTGCCTAACAACTCCAAGGAAATTAGAACTCCTTTCCAGGAACTCTCATGCAAGTCCTGGGATTCAGTATCATGGGATCAACTAGGTCACATGTCCCTCACTGTGGTTAGCAGGAAGAAAAAACCCAGCTGGCTAAACCGGAGCCACAAGCTCATTCTTGAAGCTGAGGGAGTGCGTCCACCCCCATTTGAATCATATGGACTGATGGGGAGATCCCCAAAGAAAACTTAAAGAACTATTAGCAGAAGAAGAGAAAAACGAAAGTACGTCAGCTAAAATAGCAAAGGTACATTTCAGTTGATGAACACGCCCAGCATTTCTGAAAAGCATTTTGCCAAGTACCTATACAACTCCTATGCATCTCTGTAAGCCTCGCTCAAGAGGCCCTCCCCCAAAAAGCACCCCTATCATCACCCTTCAACTTTCTCCTTGCTCTGAATTCCAATGGCACACAATTTGGCAGCCTGTCTTCTCTCTCCCAGAGAGGTCTTCAGAGATGAGGACCATATATCACCCTCCTCTTATACTGTCTGTCCAAAGCAATGTCAGCTGGAACAAATCAGAACACATAATGTGCACCTGGAAAACAAGCCTCTTTCTAAACAGGGAGGTGAATTTCAACTCAAACTGAGGACAGGCTTTCCAATATGCAGAGCTTCCTAGCAAATGTGAGACAAGGACTGGACCTCTCTGATTAGGGAGGCACCAGAGGAGACTTATGCTCCATCAGGAGAGTACCTGAGCCAGATGAATTTAAAGTTTTGTCTTAAACCTTGTCCTACTGAAACAGAGGCAGATTTGGAGAGTGCTCTTGGGAGATACACCTGTAGAGACATAAGGAAGATTAGATTAAACAGAAGGAAAAGCTGACCCACAAGGAAGCTTCAGCTGAGGATGCAGCCAATCCTAAAGGCAGTTCTGGAACCAGGATGGCTCTTCAGAGTTGTTACAAATTGAGACAAGGTGCTGGTATTTTGCATCAGCCAGTAATTGGCTGTGAGCTCTCCTATGGGCGGGTAAGGCAGTTCCCCACTCCCAAGGGCAACTTCCAGGGAGGGATGCAGCTGTGAGCCCATGCACCTGACATTCCCAGCAATGGGGAATGGATATGTTGCTCTTGAGGAGTGGATGTGGATGGAGCATCCAGCAGCCATTACCTGTTCCATCTAACCTAAGATATTTTGAGATGCCCACTTGTTTTTGAGACTTAATGAGAATTATTTGGCATTCTCTATCTCTGAACTGCTCATGCCAAATCTTAGTACCCGATATAAGTGGAGTCTGGTTGCATGATCAGTTGCTCAGATCAAAGTGGGAAAAATAAGAAAATAAATAGAAATTTGGATTTGATCACTTTCCCTAGAAGTTATTTCCATTAACAATAAATCCTTCCTATATGGCTTAACTTCGTGCTAACGGCTCTCCCAGCCTCCCTAGCAACCCCACCTCCCATTTAACTAGCAAGACATAACCATGAGAGCAACTTTTTAGATATTGAGAGGCTTTGGTACAGACATCTTGATCATTACTAGAGGCCCTGCCCAGCCAGAGAACCCACACTGTCCTCTGAGACCGAGTGGTGTGACATGCAAGTAAATGTTCCACAGCAGGCTCTGGCCAGGGGAGGGCATTATTTGTAGCATTCACCTATTTCTGTGGTGTAAATACTCCCACTGTGGCCAATTTCAAGCTACCAAAGTGTCATTACTGAATACAGAGTTGGAAAAATGTGCACACAATCATTTCTTGCAGGTCTAGGCTTGGATTGGATTAACTCCAAGATAAGTTTTCCCAGAAAAAATGGTTAAAATGCTATGGTATGATTTTTGAAATTTGCCCAAATCTATGGCTGAGAAAAGCATTAGAAAAGATTTGCATTGGGTGAAGATAAAACTGAGAGCTAACTTCACCCAGCCCTAGCCAAATCTTCAAGTATTACAGTGATAGTTATATATGCAGGTTAACTTCCTGAAAATGCCTGTCGAAGCTAATTTATTTTCTCTAGGGCTTCAGCCCCATCCTTGGGTGAAGTCACATAGGCTTATAGAAAGCT
This sequence comes from Homo sapiens, assembly GCF_000001405.40. NCBI lineage: Eukaryota > Metazoa > Chordata > Mammalia > Primates > Hominidae > Homo > Homo sapiens. The sequence continues at coordinate 49,172,490 of NC_000016.10, forward strand.
CTTATGACTCTGTCAGCTCTCTGCCTCCCACTCTCCTTCCTGAACTTGAGTTCTTTTTTTAATCTCTCTTTTTTTTTTTTTTTTTTTAGTAGTGACGGGGTTTCACTATGTTGGCCAGGCTGGTCTCGAACTCCTGACCTCAGGCGATCCGCCCACCTCGGCATCCCAAAGTGCTGGGATTGCATACGTGAGCCACTGCACCCAGACTTCTAACCTCTTATCTCCCTCATTTCCATCCTATTTTCTCATATCTCTTTTAGCATGTCTTTGCATTAATGATCAAACTTGACTATCTGCTAGATTCTCAATCACATTATTTTCTCCTGGGTCTTTCAGGTCTTTCGTGGTTCTACACCCTGCCATTCTTAGAACAAGCTGGTGACTTGGTCCTTCATTTATTCATTTAAAGGACCACTGAAAAATACCAGGAGAAGGCCTGATTCAGCCCTCTCTGCTGGGGCATGTTTGAGGAGCTTTGGAAAGGAGCAGTATGGATGTCTTCTGTGAAGTCATTTCCAGAAGGCTGAGATGTGCCACGAAGACATTCCTTTCACTCTCTCTCCCCTGATTTATTTTAATACCCTCTGATGGGAAATCCCTCCACACTTCCCAGGTCAGGTTGGTCTCACCTTCCTCAAGACCCTGGGCACAGACCAGAAGAGGCATGTCGCTGCCTACATGTCTCTTCTACCCTTTGAGAAGGAAGGACGGCTGTACTTCCTCCTCACTTCACATGTCCAGCAGCCCTCACCACAAGGCTGGGAATGTGTCCTGGAGTGGAGCTCTTCCTCCCAGATGCAGGACCCTTGTGATCAGAAATAATGTAGGCTCCTGGGAGAAAGTCCACTTTCACTCATCCTCAAACCTGGCTCGACACTCAACAACAGCCAGACAGTGACCACCATGCTGGGACATGAGAACATCTAGGATTGCTCACTGCCATCTTCCCCTGCAGCACAGCCAGACTTCTCTGCCTCTGGGTATTGGCTGAGTTCTTCCTGAGGACCAGGAGAATAGCCGGAGACCCCAAAGGCTTTTTTCCTTTATTCTATGATTACCATAAAACAGAACCATTCTTATCTTTTGTGGGTTGGTGCAGATGGTGGTGAATTTATGTTTCTTCTTTTCACCTTTGTTCATTATGACCTGAAAATGACTTGAACGTGGAGCACCCAGGAAACTTGTCATCCCAGTCACAAGCAGTTACTGGCACAAGCACAGCCATGCTGGAGACATGGAGAGAGTATCCAGAGGAGGGGCTTGGGTCCCACATGGCAGGGCTGCAAGGGAGTCATTCAGGAGGGATTGGAGAGAGGACACCAGGGTTTCAAATTTGCAGGACTTCATAGGTGAGAGACTGCAAACCAGTGGCCTATAGGCTAGATCCAGCCCTTACATACATTCAGTCGATTCATCCCGTGTTTCTCTTTTGATTGAAATTCTTGCCAAATTTTAAAAATCAAAGGATTGCCTATAAATATCCAATTTCCTCTTTCTCTTGAAAAGTCACATCTGGTAATGCTGCAGGTATATTCTCTCACAGCAACAATGGTTAAAACTAGGAAACTGCTGCCTGCTTTATACAGAGCAAGAGCTCTTGGCTTCACCATGCCCCATCAGGCCCACCTTAACCATTTGTAAGTGCTGTGTTTTATGTTTGCCACCCTCACACTGGGCCTTAAAGTCAGTTTTTTTGTTTTGTTTTGTCTTTGTTGTTGTTGTTGTTGTTGTTTTGATTTTTCTTCCATAGCTTCTGTCTCCTCTTCACTCCATACCTCTACATTTTTCCCCTTGGTCCTTTCTGAGATCTCTTCCTGCCTATCTCACTGCTATCCAAGGTCAAAGCATCCAAGTTCTGGGCTGGGCACAGTCAAGCAGACCTTCTCTCCCTGGTGGCTGATGGCTGCAAGTGGCAATCAGAAATAATACAATCTATGGAACCGAACTGGGTTTTAAATTCCAGCTCCCCCCCGTCAACTTCTCAGTCCCGATCTATAAAATGGAAGTACAAATCTCTAAGTCTATGGACCTTCACTTTATCTCTTCCTCTTAGAATCCTACCCATCTTCAAAACCCAGATCAGAGCCCATATTGTGTTGAAAGGTTTTCCCTTTGGGCCTTATTCTTCATATCCAGTCTTTTGTTGTAACAAAATATGTCTCTTTAGAGCAGAGGTCATCAAACTCTTTCTGTAAAGTATTTTAGGAGTTGTGAGCCATTTGGTCTCCATCCCAGCTGCTCAGTTTTACTGTTGAAACACAAAAGCAGCCATAGACAGTATGTAAACAAATCACAGGGGCTGTGTGCCAATAAAACTTTATGGACCCTGAAATTTGAATTTCATATCATTTTCACTTATCACAAGATAACATTCTCTTTTTATTATTTTTCAACCATTTAAAAATATGAAAACCATTCTTAGTTCATAGGCTATACAAAAACAGGAAGGCAGTAGGCCAGATTTGGTTCATGGGCCTTAATTAGCCAACCCCTGTCCCAGAGAGTAATTGCTTGTAATTGTTCCTTCTCTTCTCCCTGCTCCCCATCCATCCCTCTCTCTCTTCCTTCCTCTTTCTCTCCTTTTTTCTTCTCTCATGTACTCTGCCTTGCTCTCTCCCCTACCTCCATCTCCCCATCCCAACTCTCTCTTTCCCTCCCTCTCTTCCTTCCTCTTTCTCTCCTTTTTTCTTCTCTCATGTACTCTGCCTTGCTCTCTCCCCTACCTCCATCTCCCCATCCCAACTTTCTCTCTTTCCCTCCCTCTCCCTCTTCTACTAGGTTTTGAGCTCCTCAAGGACAGGCACATTTTCACTTCTCCACCACCCAGGCTCAGCGCAAGAAATGCTTTCCCCAGAATAATTCACATAATTATCTCTCTGCTTTAGGATACTGCTACCAACTTCAGGCTAGTGTTCGGATCTTGCCATTGCCTTTATGTCTTGAGTGGATTCATGGGAAGCACAAATTCTAATAGAGAAAACATGTTTTTTATGAAATGTCATTTTCTCATTAACACTAGAAGTAGAAGAAAACATTGCCAACTGCTTTGAGAGTTGGGGGGAAGTTTGCTCTGAACCCTTCAGATGACTAAACCTATGAAGACTCCAAAGTCATGATGCCACATTTCTAAAATGCTGTCTAGCCCACAACCTGGAAAGCCTTTGTTATAGATCTGTTCCCTCCAGCTCTCCCCGCAGCCCTGAATGGGCAAAGATTGTCATCCTATTTTTACAGCTGAGGAATCACTGCTGAGAGAGGTTAAATAACTTTCTCAGAGGCTCAGCATGCCAAGGAGAGAAAGCAGGTTGTCTATGCAATTTTTCCTCTCCTAGGGCTAAAGAGTTAGAAGTTCATCCAAGACTGCAAGCAATTAAGTTGGGCTTTGTTTGCTGAGTCTGGGGCAGACAGCCTGCTCTGCCAGGGTGATATTTTATCATACATAAATTCTTCTCCACCCTAGGGTTGTGTTTGGCATTTCCCTGGGTCTTCAGAACACAGTTGCACATACTTTCTGTATCAGCACAGAGTTTTAAAAAATTATCAAATCATCTACTGCATTCTGATTGCACTATCACTGCCATGACAGAAATATGTTGTTTTTCCTTTCCTATCATTGATCTTCCCTTTTCTGATGACACCACCTCAGATTTCTTCTGAAGAAACAACCCCTTCTTCAGGCTTAGTCCATTGGTTCATGTGAGGTCTCATCTTTCAGTTTCAAAAGAGATGCATAGCTCAGTCCTGATCAATCAGAATATTTCATCTCCCTAGGCCTGGAAATTAGTTCAGGAATGGAGATGTGACTCAATCAGGTAAATGAGATAAGAGTCCCTTGGTTTTGTGGGAACTATTGACAAGGAGAACCCATCTGTACTATGGCTGCTTAGCTAGGAGGGCATAAGGCTGGTGTCACCTGGAGAAAAGGCCTGCAGGAGAGTAAGTCTAACACAGAAGAGAGCAAAGCTGTGGCACGGGGAGCAGAGAAGTCGAACACATCACTTGAGCTTCAGGACCCATTTGTGCCTGATGCCAAACTCTCAGCTTCTTGGGCTAATAAATCTCCTCTGGGTTCTTTGTTCAGTCTGTGTGAGATTTGAAAGCCTCATACCCCTTATTTTCTCCTAAGCCTGTTGCCATCTTTTCCCACTCCCTGTTCATTGGACTTCTATGCCTTGGATTCTCCCTAAGAGTACTTCCAAATTCAGTCTAGACTTCAAGACTCAGGTCAGATCCCAGGAACCACTCTCACACCATGGATCCAAAAAAGGATCTGTCTCTCTCTGAATTTTCAATTATGACTAGGGTGGGTGATCACATGGAGATGAACATAGGTTGGTGGACTCAGGGAATCTTTGGGAAATTGTGCAAACGGGACTTGCAGATGGTTTGGATGATGGATTATACACATAGGAGACTGTCCTTGGTGACCAGCGTGTTTTGAGCTGGTCATGTTCAGTTTACTATCTTCTCCCACCACTTTCCTCTGTTCAAATTACTACAAAATCAGACACATGATATGTATTAAGGAAACCTCAATTCTCTTCTCATTAGCCTATGAAAATTTCACACACTGGGTTTTCTCATGGATATAATACCATGATAATAATGCAAATACTAATGCCTTAGCTTCCCTTCTGAAATAATGAAAATACTAAAATTGTTCATTAAAAGTGACTATTGAGTTAAGACATATGCTTAGAACAGTGCCTAGCACACAGTAAGTGTCTAATAAATGCTACCTATCTATTATTACCATTCATGTTACTATTAGCAGTACTGCTACTACTACTTCTTCATACTGATGTGGTCATAAACATAAATCCAAACACAGGCACCATATGGCAGGAATCCACATAAAGAGCTTATCTTCATGATCCAGAATATGATCATGTTAATTTTGTTTAGATTCTCTTCAAAATGGGACCACAAAACTTAAAAGAAATCAAGATCCCAAGACTACAGAAATAGCAGCCAAATTTGCCAAAATTTGAAAGTCTGTGCAAGTCACGTGCTGACCCAGGGGGATCTTTGAAGAAGAAGTGGTTAGAAGGCTGTAGATAGGGGACACACAGTCGGAAGATTTAGCTGGGAGAAGGTTTGGGGGTTGCGGAGACGTGAGACAGTAAGAAATCGTATCTTTTCTTGATATCAGACTGACCTGATAGCTGACTATGGCCCCAGAAAATGTTATTAGAAATGCAGCACCAGTGGAGTTCAAATGCATTTTTAATATCTTCTAAATGCTTAATTTGGTTTTGCTGGAGATGTGTTTCATCATTCCCTCCTGCCCCTTAATTAAGCTAATGACTTTATTTCTTTTCTCCTTTCTGATCAGCTCATAACACATTTCCCAGGCTGGTCTCCCTCCTCAAGCCTGTTGTTTTTGATCTGGTTATTAGCTTTCAAGCTCACATTGTTTTCCATGTGTCAGAATGTTACTGACTGACACTGATCCATTCTGGAGACTCTGGGGCTGGGGGGACTTCAGCTGGCACCATCCCTCCCACTCCTACAAAGAACAAAATCCCTTCCATGTGCATGCCACCTAGGAATTCACCGGGCACTCACACACACATTATCTTGATTGATCCTCCTGAGCAACCACCAAGGTAGGCATGATTAGCCCCTCCACTTCACAAACCATGAGCCTGGAAGCCAGAGCAGTTAATAACCAACACAGGCTAAACAGCATGGAGATAACAGAACTGAGACTCCACTCACCTGCCTACGCTCTTGACTCTTCATTCTGCACCACTGTGCCTACTGCAGTTCTTTTCATTTGAGCCCATGGTGCTTCTCTGGGCACTGCATGTGTACACACAGTCATGGCATTTCAGCCAGGCAGGCACAGACCACTAAGGACACCTCACCAGGATCAGAGAAGAGCCGTACTCTGAGTGGGTGTCCTCACTCCATTTGTGCTCCATGGAGAAGTTAGCCCTTGGATAAACCCAAAAATGACAGCTCTATCTTTGATGGGTCAATTATAGGAAGTTCTGAAGATGCCTTTCCTCTGGAGAATGACTTCATGAGGGTTATCTGAAAACTCCCCTGGCATGACTCAGAAACTCTTTTGGGGACCAATGAATGGGGTAAAGGGGGTGACTAACACCCCCTTTCCCAAAGAGTCAGCCTCCCACCATTAAAAACTCCAGGGAATAAGAACTTACTTCCTTGGGAATGTGTGATGATGACTCCATTTCCAGATCAATGAGAAAATTCAACAATGAGTTGAAGGACCATGAGAAACTTCTAAGGTCCCTTTAACATCTAATCTATGGACTTCACTAATTTAATCAACTTACTTTACAGAGGAAACATCTGCTCTGATGGGGCAAGTGACTTGTCCAAGATCACCCATCTAGTTAGAGATGGTTATCTAGAAAGGGAACACAATCAGAAGGAGTAAGCAGGTCCTTACACTGGGAGATGGATGGTGCAAGGGTGAGAAAGTAGAAGGATTAGATCACTCTCAGACAACTTATATTCCCCCCTTATTGTAAGAAATGCCAGTGGAATGATGTCACCTTACAGGAGGAACAGAACTACTCTGTTTGCTTGGGGGTCTTTGTGCTTGGTAAAAACAGAATCATTTACAAAACCAAAGTTTTCTTTACTACAGAGATGAATCTGCAGAAGTCCCAGGGATACCTTGGTCATAAGAAGTCTCAGGTACAAGTTATCCAAGATGGAACAGGAGTTCAAGAGCACATCTATTTACTGGACAAAATAAAGCTCCATGGTAAGACAGTTTGCATCTGACAGTCCACTTGTGGCCATTCCCCCACATCCCACTCTCTCGATGAGAACTGAGACCTTCAATTCAGTGGTACCTGGGCTCAGGAACAGCCTGAAGGTAAGAGCTCTGCCCCACCACCTTGGACAATGAGGACATTTAAAGAGACTTAGTGGACCAAGCATGATGCAGAGGAAGAAATATGGGCTCAGACTTCTGTGCTGAGAAGCTGAGAAGCAGAACAAAAGGAAGGAAATTTCCCCCAGGTTCTGAAATAGTCAAGCTGTCACTCAATAAGATGAGAGATTGGGCAGTCACAGAGAAAACAGAGATTTGGCCAGGGATTTTGCCCGTGGAATCACAATCTGGAAATGTTTCTTTCTGGCTGCCCTGGAAGTTCACCATTTCCAAGCTGCATGAGAAGCTGAATGGGCTCTTTCTCCAATGGATTGATCATTGTGCCCAAGCTAATTACTGCCTTAATACCCTACCTCCTGCAGATGGCAAATTGGGCACAGATAAGACAAGTGGCTGGTCCAAAACCACAGGCTGAGTCAGTGGCAGGGATGGGAGTAAGGTTGAGTAACCAGTGGCCCTTCCTTTTGTTACCCTGGCCAAGAAGCAAGCCCTGCCAGAGCAGCTGCCCTTCCCTGGTGCACTGAGATGGGCTGGGATGACATAGTTGAGCCCTGCTCCACCCTCTGCTCCCTAGCTTCCCAGGTGAGCTGTGGCCTGCAGATCTGCTGTGCTGGGAGAATCTGCTTGCTGCAGGATAATATTAGCTCACTTTTATTGCCATGGGCTGGGCGCCCTCCGGCAGCTTGGCTGTAAACCTTTGATCCACTGGGCTCCAGGAGCTGCAGATTTTGACTGTGTGCTCAGCCCTAGACTCCCCACACACTGCATGGGGCAGGCAGAGAAAGGAGGGGCCCACAGGCAGAAATTCAACTCCTCTGCAGCCACCTCAAAAAACAGCAGCACTCTGAGGCAGTCAGGTTAGAAGGGGAGAGGGACACTGTTTCACCATCGTGTTCTCCAAGACCCACCAGTGAGTGTTCCCCAGACCCAGATGCTTGTATACCACGCTCATGATTTGCCCCATAATAACTGCATTATTTATTTTGTATTTTTATTTAAATTAATTCACCATGGATGGTAAAACTCAAATTTATTTTGAAAGAAGTTTCAGAATACTTCCACAAATAGAAAACTAATACCACTTGCTTTTTTGTGGGAATTGAACAATGAGAACACATGGACACAGGAAGGGGAACATCACACTCTGGGGACTGTTGTGGGGCGGGGAGAGGGGGAAGGGATAGCTTTAGGAGATATACCTAATGCTAAATGACGAGTTAATGGGTGCAGCACACCACCATGGCACATGTATTCATATGTAACTAACCTGCACATTGTGCACATGTACCCTAAAACTTAAAGTATAATAATAATAAAAAAATAAAAAAATAAAAATAAAAATAAAAATCTGTTGCTTTACTGTGGAAAAAAAAATCAATGTAAGATCACACCTACAATCTCAGTGCTTTGGGAAGCAAAGATGGGAGGATTGTTTGAGTACAGGAGTTCAAGACTAACCTGGGCAACATAGCAAGACCTCATCTTTACAAATAAAAAATAAAATATTGGCCAGGCATGGTGGCTAATCACTTGAGCCCAGGAGTTTGAGGCTGCAGTGAGCTATGATCCCACCACTGTACTCCAGCCTGGGCAACAGAGTGAGATCTTGTCTCAAAAACAAACAAAAAAACCAATGTAAGAAAAACAAAAGTACTTCCTAAATTTCAGCTAGATACTGTTTCTTGCCTTGGACTCTGAGTTTGAAGTCTGGAATGTTAAGACAGGCTAGCGCCAAACTCATACTTTCTTCTTGGCATAATGAGAATTTTTAAAAGAACTGTAGAGACAATGAGGCCATACACCACCTAAAACCAACCACTGTGTCTCCTGAGTTACATAGACCACCCCTCAGGAAATACTGTATACTTTTGGTTTCCCCCACCCACTAGCTCCTGGATCTATCAGCACTTTTTACCTAACATTACATGTGTTTGTAGACATATGTGCTCTTTCTCATGAGATTGAAAACATCTTAACTTCTAGTCACCCTTTGATATCTATTTAAGACTAGGAGTTTGTATCAAAACTTCTAAACAAGGCCTGCCACAAAGTAGACAAAAAATAAGCATTTGGCATTTCTCTTGGATTTGGTTTGGTTCATCTCAAATTTCTATCATCCTCCCACCCACCAAAAAAGAAAGCACAGGAACTTGCAGTAGAAACCAATCTCTCGGCTGGTGTTCACATACACACGGTGTCAGGAAGAACTGCTAACATCCGTTTGATTGATCCAGGCCTGGAATTCTGCCACCATAAAGGAGACTGAGCTCCCTGGCATTGAAAGCATTCAATTAGAGGCTGGGAGGCCCCTTGCAGTGGATAGGGATTTGGGTGAGATTACTCAGAAGTGCATTCTAACCCTCAAAAGCCGAGACTCCAAGACTCTGGGCTCAAGTTTAACTAAACTTCCCAAAGTTAGTAAGAGCAATGCATGGCCAGGTTTGGTGTATGTGTGAGCACAGGTGTGTGCATGTATGTGGTTGCGAATGTGCACAGGGTCACTTGTTCCCTTAGGTCCAGCATTTCCTCGTCTCATCTGGCAAGGCAAGTTTAACCCCTTAGTGCCAGGCACTGGGATCGCATGCTGTCTCTCTGCTGACAAGCTTCCTTGCAAAGGCCCCAAGGGGTTAATTAAGTTTTATTGAGCCAGAGTTTATTGCAGCTGTCTCTTGTCTCTCCCCTTAAACACCTCTGCTTCCTGGGAAGCTGGAGTCCTCTGGGACAATATTTTTAACTCTGTTTATTTTGCCTGTAACCTATATTTTATTTTATTTGTTTTTCGAGATACTCTAAGGGGAGGGTGGGTGAGGTCATTTCCCCCTGCCCTGCTCTTTATCTGTTGGTGACTCCATTAGATCAGATTGTTTAAATGGAGCGCAGATGTTGCTGATTTTTCGTATAAAGGAATGCATATTCATTTACATAAATTTCAGTGAATGATGGCAGTTTGGGTTTTACACTGCATGTGTGCTTGTGTGTTACACAGACTTGCCGGGCTCCCTCCAGGAAAGAACTGTCAAAGGCCTAAATAGGAAACCTTTCATATTCATGATGTGTTCATTTCCTTGCTTTATTTTATTTTATTTTTGAGACTACCAATCCTTTTCCAGTTATCTCTAATAGCTTAATACGATTAGAGATTTCCTCTAATCACTGCTCAATGTGTTTCTGCTCTATCAAAGATTTATATGACAGCTTTATGGAGCACACCTTTTTAGAATTCAGAAGGATTTTACAGGTTATTATTCATAACATCTGCCACTTACTGCAAAGAGCCTTAAAACACCCCTTTAATGTGTATTTAATGCTTCTGATACAATATAATATCAAATAAGATGTGTTTTATTATGGCAGCCGTGTTTGTGTAACCACACTAAAGATCTGCCACTGTTGTATGCTGCGGTGGACGGTTTATAATGACCATAAAAACCTGCATAGAGCTAAACTTGGCATTTAAGGACACACCGAGAGAAATGGTGCTTTAGGGTTTTTTTCTTTCTTTCTTTTACTTGTCTTGGTGCAATGTGGAAAGAAGCAATTTCACAATTTAAAGAGCCACTGAACATAATCTGGGAATAAAACAGTGGTCCTTGGAGAAGTATTAAGGTCAACTATTATTTGAAAATAGACCTCACCTGCCTGTGCTCACAGATCTAAGCTGCAGCCAGTCTGGGCCAACCAAGATTATGGGGTTCAACTGATTCGTCCAGATGTTTCTCTGACCAAAAGAATGTAGCACACCTTTTATTATTCTCTCCCATTAACCTGACATTTTTACCAAACAGCATCTTTTAACAACTCATTTTCACATTTTAATGTATGAAAGACGTACACAGTATGTATGTCTTTAACTAAAAAGGGGTGATACATATTTATCAAGATGCTAACGACAGTTGTGTTAGGGTGGTGGAGTGGATTCTGCAGTGTTGGAGAGACTGGAGCGGAGCAGAAAGAATGCAGACGTGGGTTCAGCTCCTAACCAGCTTGCATGGCTTTGGATAAGGTATCAATCCATTCACCCTCTGTTTGCTCCCCTGTGAAATGGAAATAATGCCTATGAACAAAGTTTACCTAATTAAATGAAATAATGTATTTAAGGTGCTTGGCAAAGTGTCTGGCACTTTGAAGGCGATCAGTGCTGTGTCGCATTTTTATAAGGTGATAACAGTATGTTTGGGGTGAAAGAAATACATATTTACTTCTTTGTTATAGGGTATCTATAACTGCCAATCAGAACTTTGGGTCAGCAACACTAGCACACTGAGTAGACAATTCCAGGCACAAGCAATGACTGTCACGTCTGTATGAACCTGTGCTGCTATGGTGCCTAAATGCATGCTGTGTCTTAGGTTTTAGGGAATACTGCAAATAGACTACAGAGTCTTAGAAGGGAAACTTCTGAATGAATCTGGACACCCTCATTTTGCAGAAGGAGGGTCTGGGGTCCAGAGAGAGAAAGGGACTTGCCCCAATCACACAGGAAGAAAGGTGTAAACCGGGGCCCCTACTTCTCTCTCACCCCTGACCCCAGCCAGGGGCAGATGTGGGCCTTCATTGTTGAGGCTGGGGCCACTGCTATTTAATGAAAACATACTGAAGCAGCCCCTTGGAATTGCTAGCTCAGCTTTTCCTTACGTTTGCTTATCCCTGTATTCCACCCTGGTCCCACGCATTCCTTTTTGGTGGGCTTAACCCAAGAAGCCCTGTGGTCCTGGTAACCATCTCCAGGATCTGCAAGCTCCAGAGGAGGAAGCAGACAGTATCTACCCAGGCCTTGGGTGTGCCCAGGTGGTTGCTGCTGGGGGTAGCGAGAGTGAGCAGCAGCGGCCCCTTTTGGTGTATACATTTACTACACCTGGTGATTCTGAGGTTGGAACTCCCTAAGTGGCCACTGGCCAAATTTGCTGAACACTTGACTCTCAAACAGCCCTCATTAACGATACACAGCCATCTCCTTTCTGATGGGTTTGGAGTAAATATGTAATCGGGGAGTTTTTAAGACATGTTCTGTAAAGTGCCGTCTGCGTCTGCTATTTGGTTGTTTTATGCGATCATCAAAACTATTCTAGGGACGAAGGGGAGGAATGATACAGGCAGGGTGGGGACGGGGTAGGCATTGATACAGGTTGTTTGCTGCCTGATCTGCAGGGTTCAATTACCAACATGGGTAAAAACCCTGAGGACCTGCAAAACACTCATGCGTATACAGAAGGTTACGTATCCTTTCAGCACTCCTGGGAGACTCAGAAATGACAAGGTCACCCGGACGTAAATGACAGCTCTGAAATTTTTTCTTTCTCAAAAAATATTTTAGAGTTCTTTTATTACCAATGTTTTATTATGAAAATATTGAAGCATATAGTAAAGTTAAAGGAATATTACAGTGAATCACAGTATCTAGATTCCACTACGAACAGTTTACTATCCATGCTTTATCACGTTATTTACCCATCTATCCATTCTTTTAGCCATCCATTAATCCATTTTATTTGGGGTATAAGTCAAAGTAAATTGAAGACTTTATATATTTTCCCCTAAGTAGCCCAGCATGGATTTTATTAAAAGAGTTCAAATTTTGTTTGCAGTTTCTTTGTGCTGATATAAAATTTACATATAATAAAATGTAAAAATCCTAAATGCATTCCATGAGTTTTAATGAGTGTTCACACCTGTGTGACTCAAAACTCCTACCAAGTTCTAGAACATTACTATCACTGCCAGGGAATACCCTCTTGCATCTTGACTATAAATTCTTACCTCCATTCCCCAGAGGCGACTGCTATTCTGATTTCTTCCCACTGTAGACTAGTTTTGTCCTGTAGAATTTCATATAAATGATTACATAGTAGATACACTTATTTAAGACTTATTGGATTCAAAATAATGATTTTGAGATTCATCCATGTTATTGCATATGTTGGTAGTTTATTCCTATTACTGAGTAATATAGTATTGAACAAATATACTACTTTATTCATTCTCTTGTCAATGGACATGGGTTATAACTATTACAAATAAAGCTTCTATGAACATTCCTGTACAAACCTTTTTGTAGACATATATTTTCTTTTTCTGTGGGTCAATACTTAGAAGTGAAATCACTGGGTCATAGGATAGCATGTTCAGTAAAGTAAGAAATCACCAAATCTTCTTCAAAAATGATTATAGCATTTTACATTCCCATCAACAATATATGAGGGTTCAAGTTGTTTCACAATCTTACAATATTTGGGGTTGTCAGTTTTTTCAGTTTAGCTATTCCAATAGATGTGGAATAATATCTCAGTATGGTTCTGATTTGCATTTCCCTAATGACTAATGATGTTGTCCATTTTTATGTGTTTATTAGACAAGCATATATCTCCTTTTGTGAAGTATCTATTTAAATCTTTTGTCCACTTTTGATTAGGTTGTTTGTCTTTTTATTGTTGAGTAATAGGAGCTATTGATATATCCTAAATACCAGTCCTTTTCCACACACATGTTTTGACAATATTTTCTTATCTGTGACTTGCCTATTTATTATCTTACATTTACCTTTTAGTGAATAGTTTTAATTTTGATGAACTCTAATGATTTTTTATTGACATTGCTGTCTGTGGGCTGTGCCTACTTCTCTAAAAGCTGTATGATTTTAGCTCTTGCATTTACATCTAAATATATCTTGAATTGATTTTTATGTATTGTATGAGGTAGGAACTGTGCTGTGATTACTTTTTGAATAATATGGGTTTAGAGTTCTTTCAGTACAATTAATGGAAAAGATTTTCATTTTGCCATTTGATTGCTTTGTTGCATTTGTTGAAAATCAAATCATAAATGCATAAGTGGGCATTCTCTATTTCATTTTATGGACCTATTTGTCAGTCCCTATGCCAATATCATATTGTCTTCATTACTGTAGCTTTATATTAAGCCTTGAAATCAGGCTAAAGAAACCCTCCAGCTTTGTTCTTATTTTTCAAGATTAGATAGTTGGTATATTTTAGATCTTTGGATTTTCATGTAAGTTTTATAATCAGCTTGTCAGTTGCTACGAAAAAATTAAAAATCCTGTTGGAATTTTGTTTGGGATTGCATTGAATCTTTAAGACGACTTGAGGATAATTGAACAGTGTTGAGTCTTCCTATTCCTGAGCATGGTATATCTCACTATTTCTTTAGGTCTCCTTTAATTTCTCTCAGCAATGTTTTCTAGTTTCTAGTGTGGAGATTTTACATAGCTTCCTTAAATTTATTCCTAAGTATCTTAGGTTTTTGACACTATTTTAAATGAATTTTGCTTTTTAAATTTTATTTTCTAATTGTCAATAGTTTATAAATATACCTTTTATTTTTGTGTATTAAGTTAATGCACTGCAACCTGATTAAATGCATTTGTTAGTTTTAACAGTGTATCTATAGATTCCTTAAGATTTTCTACATAAATAATTATGTCAGTTTATAATAATTAAATTTTGCTTCTTTTTTATCTTTATGATTTTTATTTGTTTTTCTTGCCTTGTTGCAATAGCTAGGGCCCCCCAGTACTATATTAAATAGCAGCAATGAGAGTAGGCAAATCTTGCCTTGTTACTAATCTCAGGAAACATGCATTCTTTCATTATTAAGTAGGATATTAGCTGTAGGGTTTTTTGTGTGTGTGTTTCTTTTTAAATTTAAGCCAGAATAGCATTTTATTTACTTAGAAAAATAATTATAAATGTGGCACAGACTGAACTGTCATGTACTCTGATTTTCTCCCATAAAGAATTCTATATAAAAAGCCAGATCACAATCAGAAAAAAAATAACAATATTAAGATTTGACCAAGAAAAATCTAGCCTATGTAGTCCGGTTTACAGTAGAACCCCAAAATAAACTATGCATGTGTATTTTTATTGTTGTTTGGTACTATATTTTTAATTTATATAATCTATCAAAGTGAGTTTTTCCAGCTTTATTGAGGTATGATTGACAAATAAAAATGCATATATTTAGGGTGTGCATTATAATGTTTAGATATATGTATACATTGTGAAATGACTATCATAATCAAGCTACTGAACACATCTATCACCTCACATAATTACCATTTTTGTGTGTGGGGAAGGAACACTTGAGATTTACTCTCTTAGCAAATTTCAAGTAAATGACACAGGGTTATTAACTATAGTCGCTGTGCTGCACATCAGGTCTCCAGTACTTATTCCTCTCATAACTGTAGGCTTGCACCCTGTGGCCAACATCTCCCTTTTTCCCAAACTTCCAGCTTCTGGTAACCACCATCCTACTCTCTAAACAAATGCTATATGATGTCTCTTATATGTGGAAGCTAAAAAAGTCAAACTCATAGCTGTAGGTATTTTTGTAGATATCCTTTATCAGATTGAGAAAGTTATTTTCTATTTGTAGTTGGATGAAAATTTTTTATCAGAAACTGATTTTGAATTCTCAAATGCTTATTCAGCATCCATTGAAATGACCATATGTTTCTGTTTTGTTTTGTTTTCTGTTAAACCATCCTTGCATTCCTGGGATAAACACTGCAATGTTATGTTGTCACCTATAATTTTTATTTCATAATTGTTAAAAGTATCATTTTATACATATTTAGACATGAAAATAAAATATCACTCTAGTACATACATAAAAAAAATATAAGCTACACAAATAGGTAGCTTATCTTTTAAGTGATCTTTAAGAATAAGTGAACTTTAAGAATAAGTTTAAGTGATCTATTATACAAGTATTCACAAAATTTCTTTACATTTAGAGTCCAAATCTTGTTGATTACTTTTATCTCTGAATCATCAGTGCTGCTGTTTTTCTATACAGTGTTGTATTCTTTGCAAATCAAAAGGATTGTAATGTAGAATTTACTAAAATTATATTCCATTTTTATCTTCAGGATTTTCTTCCAGGCTACTGTCACCACTGCTATAAGCTCTGATGTCATGCACAAACACTGACAACCACGTAATAACTCTCATCTTTCTAACACAATTGTAGGTTCAAAAGTAAACAAAATGTACATTATACCACTGCCAAATATAGTAATAACTTTAATTTTTCTTGTATTACTAGACAGATTTGTAATGGGAAATTTTATTTACCACATGACGGATGTTTGGTCAAGTTTGAAATTTTACAGGGAGAAAATACTCAGACAAAAAAAGTTATTTTATTTTTTAAAAATAAAGAACATGATTTTTTCAAATAAAAATTGCATATATTTATTATATACAACATGATGTTTTGAACTATGTATATATTTATGATAGCTAAATTGAGCTGATTAACATATGCATACCTCACATACTTATTATTTTGGAGTTGAGATATTGGTCAAAGAACACACAATTTCCATTAGGTAGGAGGAATGAGTTTAAGTGCTCTACTGTACAACATGGTGACTATAGCTAATAAGAATGTACTGTATTCCTGAAAATTGCTAAGAGTAGCTCCTAGGAAAAAATCTTAATAGATACTTAAGAAAATTAATTAAAAGCCTTCAGGAATAGTTTATGCCCACTTTTAACTCTAGACAGTTTACAAATAAAGGGGGCTTTGGAAGATCATGTAGTCCAATGAGATCACTGAAAGTTGGGGATATGGACACTTGACTAGTCAATTAGACCATAAGCTTCTTGAGAGCAGAAACCAAGTGTGTTTTGGTCATCACAATAACACCTGTGCCTTCATATCTTTTGATATGTAGTCAGTACACAATAAATACTTTCTGAAAGGATGGATAAATGTCTGAGGCATAGAGAAGGTATCAATTTGTCCAAGGTCACATGGAGGAGATTTACTGTCTGATGGGACTAGAATTTGGGTCACTTGACTCTATTGGCCTATATTCAGTCAACCACCACATCCAACTAAGAGTTGGAACAGTTTTCTGACCTTGCATAGGCTCTCTGTGTGTGAGTTTATGTATGTGTGCCTATATGTGTGTGTGTGCCTATGTGTGTGTAATTTTGGGATCCTTTGTGTGCACCATGGATCTTTCCTCATATAGCATCAAGTACAAAAGTCTAGACCTTGTTGTCATAGCATAATGGGAATTTCTGTCTTTCCTGTCCCCGTGCCATCACTGAAAGTGAGTCACAGCTGCAGTATGCAGCTATTAATCACTCCTGTTAGCCAGACTGCATCTCAGTGGCATGTTGTGCATTATTAAATTATGCCATCACTCACTCTTGGGCTGCTGTGTTTAACTGCATGGAAAGAATTACTGATCAAATCTCCCCAAATACTTTCTTCCCTAGCACAAATCAAGCCCTGTTTGTGCAAAGGTCACATGGCTAAATGCCATGGATAATGAAAACCACTTCAGGCTCTGGCACAACCATCTCCAGATACACACCAACTGAGCCAACCCCCTTCTTAGCTTCCCTTCTGAACACAGGCATCTCTATTTTTCCCTTGTTCCAATCCTTTATTCTTATCAAGGCCCATGGCAGTCTGAAAGCTGCACTCATGATCCCTCTGCTGTCAATCACACTTGTCCTGAGTCCTCTTCACCTCTTCCCCATCTCAGTAAATGGAACCACCATCTACCAAGATACTGGAGCCAGAACCCGGGATAGAACTTTGCCCTTTTCCTCAATCCCTAATTCATAAGTAAATTATATTTATTCTACTTCCAAAGAGATCTCAAATCTGTGCATTTCTCTCTATTCACCTGCTCTTGCTCCCTGTAGCCTGTTCTCCCCACAACAGCCACAATGATCAAAACCCACAAAGAGAACATGTCCCTTCTCTGCTCATCACCTTTCAGTGCCTTCCCATTTCTCATGGCGTGGAATCCAAACTGTTTACCACAGTCAACAAGACTGCATATCTTGCTCCTGCCTAACTCTTCATCCACAGCATGTAGGACTCTCCCTCAATGACCACATAGCAGTCCCAGCCTTTTGTTTCCTTGAACACACTAAGTTCATCCCTGCTCTAGGATCTTAGCATATGCTATTTCCTCGGCCTGGATCACTCTTAAATTGGCTCTTCACACGGCCAAACCCTTGTGGTAATTTACATGTTGGCTTAAAAACCACTTCCTCCAAGAAGTCTACCTAAGCTCCTTATGCAAAATAGGACCTTCCCATGATTCATTTCTCTCCGAGCACTTATTACCACCAGGCGATTATTGTATCTGTCCAGTTATTTGCTTTTGATATGTCTCCCCTCATTAAGCTATTAGGTCCTCCAAGTCAGAGCTTTGTATTTTGTATATGCTGGCACATTTACCTGTGGGTGCACATATACATACACACACATATTGGAATAAAATCCTACTTCCTCCATGAAGTTCCCCCAGCCTGCTCACCCACACTCATCCCTCCTCCCTCTTATTTGTCCTCACTGGGTCCAACAGAGGTTCCCATAACTGTATACTTCACAATCTCTACTTCTTTTCTGGGTGCCTCTCATCTAGCCAATGTGATTGTAATTTCCCTCATGAAGGGGATTTCTAACTACTTTGCATGTAAATGCTTTTTTCATATAAATATTTGAAGAAATTTGTACATTCTACTCTGTGTTTTAGTGATTTCTATATTTTTTATGTTTCTTGCTTGTCGGAGATAGAAGTTCACCTCAAGTTTTAAGCAGAAGGAAATAATTTATTTTAACTGATTAATGCAATGAAAAGCCCAGGGCAGTGCTGCCTTCAGATACAAATGGATTCAGGTGCTCTCGTGATATTATGAGGACCCAGTCTCTCCCATTTCCTGCCTCTCCTCTTCTGTAAGTTGGCTCCCCTCTCAGGCTTTACCGGGGAACAGGATGGCAGTCAGAGGCTCTATCCATCTATCCTCATTTCTGGACAATGTCAGAGAAGCTCTGAAGTTTATTTCAGTTGGGTGGAATCTAATCATCTGCTCTCTTTTAAGCTATCACTGAGGCCAGGGGAAGAGAATTCCCAGGTTATTTTTGACCTGGTTTCTGTTTCCACAGTATAGGGTATGGGTGGGTCCCCAAGTCAAAGCCAAGGACTGAACTAGAGAAAAGGAGAATGAATGCTCAGGAGACCATTGGTTCACTCAGTAAACATTTATGAGACCCTCCTGTGAACCAGATGCTGGAGACACAGAGATAAGTAAGCTGTCAGGTCTCAGCCCTGGAGGAACAAAGGAAGAAAAGAGATATGTGATCAAACACTGTATCACACGAGACCAATCCCAGGGTGGTCTGGAAGCTTACATGAGGGAGGAGGAGGGTTTCAGGAAAACAGTGGCATTTGAACTGGGTCTCCAGGGAAAGGGGGCAATTGCACCTGAAAAATAGGAGAAAGGACTTCTCAGGGGAATGGAATGCAAGTCCCAGAGATGTGAAAAAGAAGGTCCTGGTGCTTGTGCTGGGATTGGAGGAAGCATGAGCATGGGAACCTAAGAGATAGAGGGGAAATTCTAGAACAAACGTTTGGTGCAAAGTTTACAAACTGGCAACCTGCCCCCAAATCCAGCTTACACCTATGTTTTGTTTGACCAGTGTAGTGTTTTAATTTTTAAAATAGCTTTCAAATTTAAAAATTAGCAGATTTTACATCAAATTCAGATATTCAGCTTCTCTGAAAATATTAGATGGGACATCATAGGTCCATATTCCCTCATGTCCATAATTAACTGGAAATGCATTATCCCTATCCCACGTAGATGGGATAAGTGAGTTTCATTTCCTCACAGACCCCACCAAGCTCTCTGCATGCATCCCTATTGCCTTCCTGGCCTTGGAAGTCATTTGAGTTTCAGATCTCTGGCCTGATGAAAGAACCTGAATCTAGAATGGTGAATGTTTTGTTTGCCAAGCAGAGATATTCAGATTTTATCCTCAGGCAATGAGTATCACTGACAGTTTTAAAATAAGTGAATGTCATGACTTGTTTTTATTCATCTTTATATTTTCTCCAACAATTAGCACAATGGCTCACACAAAGCAGGTGTTAAGTCATTATTGAATGAATTAATTAAAGAAGGAATAAATCTTAAAAATTAATGAGTAACAACCACTTCAGAAAGTTTTTTGGAAGTATGTACCAAAGATAAATACACACTAACCCACGACCCAGCAATTCCACTCCTAGGAATATCTTCAACAGAAATGCATGTGTGTTTACTATAACACATGAATGAGAATGTTCATAGCAGGCAAAAACTGCTTGGGGAAAAACACATAAATGTTCATCAACAGAAGAATAGATAAATAAATGGTGGTGTATTTACACAGCAGAATGCCACTAAATGGCAGTGAGAATGATGATCTACAGCCAGAAACAAAAATATGGATGAATCTTGAATCTTTCTTTTTTTTTTTTTTTTTTTTTTTTGAGACAGAGTCTTGCTCTGTCACCCAGGCTGGAATGCAGTGGTGCTATCTCTGCTCACTGCAAGCTCCGCCTCCCCAGTTCACTCCATTCTCCTACCTCAGCCTCCCAAGTAGCTGGGATTACAGGCGCCTGCCACCACACCTGGCTAATTTTTTGTATTTTTAGTAGAGATGGGGTTTCACCATGTTAGCCAGGATTGTCTCGATCTCCTGACCTCGTGATCTGCCTGCCTCGGCCTCCCAAAGTGCTGGGATTACAGGCATGAGCCACCGTGCCTGGCCTGGATGAATCTTACAAACATAATATTGAGTGAAAGAAACAAAAGAGTACATACTCTATGATTCCATGTCTATAAAGTATAAAAACAAGGGCAATTATTCTATCCCATTACAAGTTAATAATATGGTTAGTCTCAGAGGAGGGCTTAGTGACTGGAAAGGAGCCTGTGGGGATTCTGGGCTACTGTCTTGCCTGATTCTTGATCTGCTTGCTGATAAACAGGTGTATTTCGTCTGTGAAAATTTGGAGGCTATACCCTCTAAATAGGCACACTTTTCTGTATACAAAACAAACCTACGAGTCCCTTTCTGAAATCTCACAACATCCAGCATAGCGATTGCTCAATACATTCTGAGTGATCGATTCAAGCCAAATCTGTTCTCCTCTCATAAACTATCCTAATAACCTAGTAAGTGCATCTTTTATTAGACTGATTAATTTGGGAAGATAGAAGACAACTCAGCAGTGTGGAGACTTTGGGATTAGCCAGTCTGGAAGCAAGGGGCCAGGTTACAGCAAGAAGTGAGTGAGAGAGACCTCAAGCCTCTGATGGTTGGCAGGCCCTGGCCAGGACCACCAGTCCTAATTAAATCACTTGGTGAGAATTAATGCTCTTCCAGAACATTAGCAAAGTCTGAGAACTCGCACTGCATGAGGAAAAAGAAATTAGTCTGATGCCAAGTGAATCCATTCAATAAAGTTCTATTGAGCACTTGCTATGAGCAGAGCTGGCCGAATCCTACAAGGGGAGCAGCAATGGGAAGAGGAGAGCCTGTCCTTTAGATGCTCAGGATATGGTAGGAAGCATGCAGATGGAGGCCGGGGATAACTGAGATGTCAAGAACAGGGATGAGCAGGTTGCTCCTGAGAGCCATTCTAATTTCAGGACCAGAATGGAAACTGGGAGATGGCCCTGCAGGATGGAATCAGAGTTCATTGGGAAGTGACAAAGGGTAAACATTCTCCAGCTGGAGGGATTG
Organism: Homo sapiens; assembly: GCF_000001405.40. Classification (NCBI taxonomy): domain Eukaryota; kingdom Metazoa; phylum Chordata; class Mammalia; order Primates; family Hominidae; genus Homo; species Homo sapiens. The sequence goes on from NC_000016.10 coordinate 49,193,932, forward strand.
TAGCAGCAAAGCCCTGAGGAGTGAGGGTGCCTGGTGTGTCTCCAAGGGAGATGCAGTCCAGGGTAGCTAGAGATCCAAGTGCATGGGACACTGGAAGGGATAAGGGACAGGCAAGATTGTCCAGGTCACAAATGGCTTTGAATGAGTGCTCGGCTTTTTTCCTGCAGGTGATTGGTGATGGTGCTGGTGGCAGTGGTGTTCGATGGGGGAAGACTCTCAGGATTTTGAGGAAATGTAGAATACACTTCAACCTGTATTTTAACTAACATCAGTCTGGTGATCTTATGAAGAAGGGTGAACCTGAATAGGGGTTACAGACTCAGATGCCCAAAGAATTAGGCATCCAGTACAGGAAGAGGGCTAGGCAATATTATAAGTGCCATAATAAATGGGAACTGCTATTCTATCATTACTTTTGGGGAAGAAGAGGGAGTGGTGGAGACTGCTATAAACCGCTGGTGCACCCACTGAGGCAGTAGATATGCACCTCCAACTGACAATTGTCATACAGAGACATGGGCCCAGTGTTATTCCACAGTCCAATTTTCTAGAAAAGCTAGAGATCTGGATGTTAACATCCATGCAATCTATTGTGAAGCATCATGCAGTCTAAACAAATTGTATCTGAAGGCAGATTAGGCCAGCAGCTTGTGACCTCTGAAAAATAAAAATCCACGTCACTGAGATATTCTACTCCACTGTCCTGTCTTAGGAAGTTTGGTAAAAACACTGGATGAAAAAAAATGTATGAGGACATCCAAATACTGTTTTGCAACAGCTAAAGAGAACTGGAACAGCTGCTAACTGTTCTGCTTTGCAGACGTCTGGGGTATACTCGGGACAACATTGATCATCACCACAGTGCTTTGTGTTTCTAAGTCTTATTCATTTGTTATCTGCACTGCTGGGTTTTTTGCCGTCAATATTTTGGGTGAAGAGAGACATCTCCCTCTAATGACGCCCTAATCGTTACTAATTTCCTCTGCATGGATTGTGCGCCATCAGGTATAATGAGCACATTTGCTTTTAATGCTCCTGCTACAAAGAGTTCCTGGGAAATGGTTTGCAGGCACGTGCCCTAGCCGACAGCAGACAGCAGGGAGTTCAGAGGCATCGCCCATGTGGGAGTGAGCAGGAGGTCAGCCCATGGCGAGAGGGCCGTCCAGCCAGGGGTAGGCGGGACACAAGCCAGCCGGGCCTGAGCCCTTCTCTTACCCCCAGAAGCCTCCACTCACATTAATAATCTTAACTCCCTGATTTGCAATTAACCCAAAAGCTCTGTAATGATAATGGGATACGTGCGTAATTTGGTGCCAGAAGATGATAGATCGACAGGACTGGAATATTTATTCATCTCTCTGTGTTGTCGCTCTGAGTGAGGTGAGAGCCATCTGATCCCAGGCTCCCTGCAGAGGCAACCGTGAGTGAGGCCTCCAGGTAGCCCAGCCTGAGAGGCCTTCCAGCAAGGAGGGGTGGCCTCTGAGTTTGCCCTGGGAATGATGAAGTGGGGTCCTGACCTGCCCCTCCCCTGCAGCTGAGTGTACCCGGTGGTCGTCTTTTGTTTGGCCTACATGATGATCTTGGGAAAATTTGAAATCATTATTAACATCTCCAAAGCAGGAGATTTCTTATAAACATCCAGATTGCTGGCTTCTTTAGGAAAATAGGAGTATCTGGCAATAGGGGACTCAAATTCCCACAGGGCAAGTTTCAGCTGGAGCTTAAGCACTGTGGGGTGTGTGCTTGCTGTTTGCCCTGTTCTCCACCCAGCCCATTTCACCTGCCTTCCTGCCTGGACATACAGGCAGACATGTTTGTAACCACCTAGAATAAAGAGTCCCATTTCAACCTCAAACATGGGAAGGCCTCCCCTTGCCCCATCCCTAGGCTGAACCTGGCTTTTATTGGTTTTATTTGCTTGGATCTTGCTTGGGAAAAGAACATAGAAATGATTTCTCCTCCAGAAATCCACTGGAGCCTGTGCATGTTCATTTGGCAAACCTGTTCTGATGTCTGTCCAGATACAAGGGCTCAGAGTAGAAGGGGTCAGATATAAGGTGACAGGGTCAGACACATGGAAAACCACTGGACAAGGATGGGGAGCAGGAACTGACTTATTCTATGGACCTCCCAAGGATGCAACAGCATCGTCTAGTGACAGGATGGCAAATGGACTGCAAATGGAAAGCCAGCCCTGATGAGGTAGCTGTGGCTTCCTGCAAAGAGTCTTGTGGCTGAGACAGGGCTCAGGAGGAAAGAACTCCATGATTAATTAATGCAGTTGCCCATAGGGCTTGGAAGCACATAGCTTATGTGTCTGGAAATCCTGGTCCAGTGAAAGAACAGCAAAGTGAGGCTCAGGAAACCTGGGTCATAGTCCAATCTCTGGAACTTCTTTGGCATGTGACCCGGGGATAGGGTTTGATAGGGTTTGACTGTGTCCCCACCCAAATCTCATCTTGAATTCCTATGTGTTGTGGGAGGGGCCTGGTGGGAGGTAATTGGATCACAGGGGTGGGTCTTTCTCGTGCTGTTCTTGCAGTAGTGAAAAAGTCTCATGAGATCTGATGGTTTTAAAAAGAGGAGTTCCTGTGCACAAACTCTCTCTTTTTTTGCCTGCTGCCATCCAAGTAAGATGTGACTTGCCCCTCCTCGCCTTCCAGCATGATGGTGAGGCCTCCCCAGCGGTGTGGAACTATAAGTCCATTAAACTTCTTTCTTTTGTAAATTACCTAGTCTTGGGTATGTGTTTATCAGCAGCATGAAAATGGACTAATACAGGGTTACCCGAGACAATACAGAATCTGAATTGCAGGTAAACAAGCATGTACCATGCAACACTGGGGATATATATACTAAGGGATGATTTGTTCATCTGACGTTTGAATTGAATCAGGCATCCTGTACGCTTGTGGCTAAATCTGGCAGTCTTACCTAGGGCACATAACTCCCTTTCCCTCTCTGCTCCTCAGTTTCCTCATCTGTCAAATGGAGTTGAATAAGATCAGTGACTGTCAAAGGGCTTTAGCTACAGAACCTTCCTTCAAAATTAAACTATCAATAGAAGCCAAAGGTATAACACAGATAAAACTGAGGCCACTCTGATGGAAGATGGGGTGAGGCTTACATTAGTCACTGATAACATTCACAGCTGATGTTCTGTGGTATCAGGCATCACACAGTGAGATAGAGCTCACCTTAAGGATAATATTTATAACAACTGCATATAGCATTCCCTGGGTGCTTCCCATGGCTGAGTTCTTTACATATATTACCTTATTGAGTACTCACAACAACTGGAGAAGTAAATACCACAACTACTCCCTTGTAGCAGATGAGAAAACAAAAGCACGGAGAGATTCAGGAAGAAGCCCAAGCTAGTGGTAGATCCAGGAGTTGGATTCAGAAAGTCTGACTCCAGAGCCCGCACTTTCAACACCAAACAGTGATCTAGATATACTGGATTAGTCCACCAGTAGGGCATGAACCTATCTGGGGTGAAGGCGGGCAAGCTGAGGCCAGGTAACTGTATTTAAGTCTTGTGTAGAGTGGTTTATTGATCTATCCTTTGGGCAGGAGTTGGACTTAGCAAAGCTTCAGAGTCCCTTTCTGCTCCAAGACTGTAAATCTGTGGTTCTCAGGGATTTTACTGATGGACATGAGACCTTGATCTTCATTCTCAAAGATATAAAAATAATAATAAAATCCTTCCCTAATGACCAGTCCCATTCATTTCCCATAATAGTTATTTGGTAATTACTGTCAACCCATCAGGAATCTCAATACAGCTTTGTTGTGATTTTGACTTCTCACACTAAATTATTATTGTGCATATAGGGACCATTACTTGAGGTGACATTGCAACTGTCCTGGCTGGCAGCTGTTGCTATAGCTACTTTCCTCTGACCACTCTCCATTTGGAGTTGGACTGGACAGTCTTGAAACTTGCCAGGAGGTGGAAATGGCACTTAGGCTGATCTCAGAGGCAGTTTCCACAGCAAGAGAGTGTGTTCCTGCCAAAGTCCAAGATGGAGAAAGAGGGACGATGAAGAAATGGCCCAGAAAGATCAAGCATGAAGACCTACAGGAGTGAGGAAGTGGAAGGGCTCCCAAGGTTAGCTAGCCCAACCTTGCCATCTGATGGAAATGGAATCAAAAAGACCAAGACCCTAATCCCATTTCTGTTGCCTACTGCCATTTGGTGATGCAAGCCCAGAGTTCCCAGACTTTGTCATTTTTTTTTCAAGAGAATCTAGAAATAGGAGTTGTTTTTTGAAGATGGAATTTCCTGATCCTTCAAAATTGGCAGCTTATCTTTAATTTTTAAACATTCTTTGGGACACATGAGACATGCCTATAAGCTCAGTTTCACTAGTGGACCCTCCCTTAGGACTCTCACTGGTCTATATAATTAAAAGAGCCTGTGAAGTGCTCCTTCTTGAAAAGACACAATAGCTGTAATGTAAAAGCCCTGGTGGCATGTGGAAATGTTGACCCAGGGCTAAATTATACCAGCCTCCCTTTACTGCTTACCAAGAGCATGGAGCAGATCTGGCCCTGAGCCTCAGACCCAGCACAGCCACCATCAAAAAGAAAAATACAAAGAGTCAAAGTCTTGTAAAGTGTACATAACACCACCACCTCTGCCTTAACTCCGGCCTTGCCACAAGTCCACAACCTAGAGGTCAGAGCCCATCTGAACACCATGGTCTTCTGCACCCTTCTCATAGATGCACACATGCACACACACACACACACGCACACACACACACCCCTTGCCTAGAGAGCCCAGGAAAGGTGTGGGCAGGATGGAGAAGTCACTATCCTGGGTTCCCACTGAAATGAAATCATTGGCTTTGGAGAGGGGTACCTGTATCTTTCATCCATAAGCAACAGTCATTCAACCCAAACAGGCTTATGCAGTACAGGGGATAATTTTACTAAAATAGCAATGCCTAGAACAGAAATGGCTGAATCCAGCAATCTTGTCAGGAATCTGTCCCTCCCCATGTCTTTCTTCTCTGTTGGCTTGATTCTCAGCTAGTGTGGCCACCAGCTCTTTCAAGCTCACATCCTACCAGCTTAGGGCCCCCAGCAGAAAAAGAATACTTCTTTCTCCCTGGTTCCACAAAAGTCTCCTATCCATAACCCTCAGTGGCCGCACCTGGGCTATGTGCCCACCCTTGAGCTAGGGGCAGAGTCAGCCTCATTCAAACCTAATGGACAGGAGTGGGAAGGAGTCAGGTCCCTACAAGGAAAACGAAGGAGCCTGGGCAGGCAGAAACAATTGATGCCCCAAGCAGCTCCCCACCCCGGAAGGGAGCCTTGCCCTGGCCTGACGGGAGGTGAGGAGAAGTGGAGACACCTGTCTCAGCTGGATGGAGCTGTGGCTCCTGTCTGTCTGCTTTGTGTTGTTCTCTGATAGAATCCTCCTCCCGCTGCCTCCTGGCTCTGGCATTCCTAGGTCATCTCTACTTCAATCCTCCCCTACTAATCTATACCAATTCAGCTGCACAATGTCCCCACATAGCACCCCAAAGGGCCCAGTGCAACCCCTCCCCTGCCTATGCTAAGGCCACCATATGCTTGTGATGAAACCTGTGAGCCCTGCAGCCAGCCAGACCACCCAAGTTCTTTTTTCTTTTCTTTTCTTTTTCTTCTTTTTTTGAGACAGAGTCTCACTCTGTCGTCCGGGATGGAATGCAGTGGTGTGATCTATCTCAGCTTACTGCAACCTCCACCTCCTGGATTCAAGCAATTCTCATGCCTCAGCTTCCTAAATAGCTAGGACTACAAGCATGCACCAGCACACCCAGATAAATTTTGTAATTTTAGTAGAGATAGAGTTTCTCTCTGTTGGCCAGGTCTTGAACTCCTGACCTCAAGTTATCTGCCCGCCTCAGCCTCCCAAAGCGGTGGGATTACAGGTGTGAGCCACCGTGCCCCGCCCAGACTGCCCAAGTTCTGACACTGGCTTGCAACTGACTAGATGTGTGCCCCTGGACTCTCTTTTCCCACATCTGTAAAATGGGAATAACAACAGTATGTATCTTATAGGCTGTTGTGAAAATGAAATGAGGTGTATGAAGTGCTTAGGATGGTTTCTAGCACATAGTAAGTACTGAATACTCGTTGCAATAGTAGTAGTAATAATAATGATGATGATAATGATACTAGAAACATTTATATTCTGATACTTTTCCTCCACCACTGCCTGGACTTACTGGTGGGTTGAAGCCATATTACAGAAGAGCAGGTAGCAGACATCTCTCCATCACCTACTGCCCAACTCAACTCTTCTTTCATTTCTCATAGCTGGGAAATGACCAAGCTATTGCAGGGAGACTAAAGGGAGTGCTTTGCCAGCTGGCTCAGCACGCCGATGACAACACCTCTCTTGGCGGTGAGAACCCATGTTCATGGTGGAGTCTGTGGTGACCACGAAAGCCTTTCTCCCTCTGTCTGAAGGAAGCATTTTCTTTCTAACCCAGCCCGTCAGCTGCAGCTAGAGAGACTCCAGCTGGCCTTTCACTAACTTCCTAAGGAACATCTAGTACCAGTAGCCTCCCTCGGAGGCTCCTCTCCACTGTGCCAGGCCTTCCCTATCCCCCAGCCCCTTGCTACACCCCTGCCATGCCACTGACCACCTGCCACTGACTAGTGCCCTAGTTCATGACCACAAGGAGGGCTGCCCTGCATGGACTCAGCACAGCCCTGGAGAGTAGAAGGGACCAAAGTGAATTTCCAGTGCCCAATGTACATTCACCTGAGTGACCTCCCTGGGCGACTGCAGCAGCACACCGCCAACCCCTGTTCCCTGCCATCTTTCTACTTCCACTCTTGCCTGCCTACAGTCCATTCTTCTCATAGCTGCAGCCTCTGTCATCTCTTAAAAGCACCAGGTAGAGCTTATATTACATCCTTTCATCTCCCATCCAATATCTCCTCCTACATGTGTCCCTCCCTCCTCTTCTCCCACCATCCTCCTCACTCCATGCACTTGGCTCAGTCCCTGCCTGGAACACTTCAGCATCCCTCCCCAGAGAAGCTTCCTCTGACCACAGAAAGCTAGGACTTTGTGGGTTCAAGCCTCAGCCCTACCACTTACTTAGCTGGCTGGTCTTAGACAAGTTACTTAACCTCTCTGCATCTCAGGCTCATGATATGTAACATGCACATAAAGAGAATAACTACCTCCTTAGGATTTCTACCAGGTGCACCTGACTTAATATGTATGAAACATTTCAAATAACATCTAGCACATAGTAGGCCCTCAATATATGTTAGCCCTGGGCCTGGCCCTAAGACAGGAGTCATATCAACTGCATGAGAGGGACCTTGAAAAAGGAAACTTTGCAAACACCCTAGAGTTAGTGCGAAGCTAGTGCTGTCCCTGAACAGAATTGAGAAGCAAGAAATGTCTAAGGATGGCCCCTCTTGACCCCCCTTTTGGGGTCTGGAACCTCATACTCAAGTCCAGTTTTACTTCTGGCTCAGTCTGTCTCTCAGACAAATATTGTAATCCCATTGCAGGGAATCTCTCTTCCAGATGCTATAAAATGGGCCACATCCCAAGAATTGCAGAGGCTCACACTCCCATCCCTGCTGGTTGACATCCTTCATACACACTGCCCAGCTTAGACCACCTGGTCCGAGAAGGCTCCCCTGACTCTCACCCATTGCCCGCTAAAATTAATCTCTCCTCAATTTCCCCTCCCTGTGAAGCTCTCACTCCATCCTGCCTGTGCACTGGTTAGTGACTGCGCTCCTGGAGGGAGTCAGTGGTCAGGAAGTGTATGATCCTGCTGGGGACATCCTGTCATCCCCATCATCAGGTCGGGCCTCCAGGAGCTGCCCCATTTCCAGCCTTCTCTGCAATGTCCTCACTTTTTAACTCCCCCTCCAGGGAACCCAAGCCTCACACTTGTCAGTCTGCCCCCACCTCTTTGACTATCTCTCTGCTGGCAAGGTTCTGCCCCAAATGCCTACTCCTCCTTCAGGATGCAGCTCTCTATCAACCCTCCTACCACCTGCCCACCTGAAGGCCAGGCTAGCTGACCTCCTGTCCCTGCACCCCCTCTTCCCCATGTTCCCCAAGACAGTGGCATGATCCAACCCTAAGCTCATCTTCCCTATCAGACTGTGAGGTCCCCTAGTATGGATGCTGTGCCCTGGGGCCTTCGCCCCTGCTGTTCCTGTTCTCTGGTTCCCCTTTTTCCACTCTTTGTTTAGCCAACTCCTACTCATCCTGCAACGTCCCATTCATAGCTTACTATCCCAAGCCTCCCATTAAGGTGCAGTTCCTGAGTTACACTCTGTTATTGACTGAATCATGTCCCTACAAAATTCCTCTGTTGAAGCCCTAACCCTCAGTACTTCAGAATATGGCTGTATTTGGAGATAGGGCCTTTAAAGTGGTGAAGGAGTTAAAATGGGGTCATTAGAGTAGGCCCTAATTCAGTGTCACTGGTGTCCTTATAAAATGAGGAAATTTAAACATACAGAGAGACCCCAGGGATGCGCTTGCACATGTGAGGACCCAGCAAAAGGGCAGCCATGTACAAGCATAAGACAGAGGCCTCAGAAGAAACCAAAGCTGCTGCCACCTGGACCTTGGACTTCCAGCCTCTGGAACTGCAAGAAAATACATTTCTGTTGTCTAAGCCACCCAATCTGTGGCATTTTGTTATGGCAACTCAAACACCAAGGCACACTCTGTCACAGAATTCTGTTCTTTTCCTTTATACACTTATCCTCATTGTAAATACACATCCACAGTGGACACTACTGCTGCTGACCAAGATTTCTAGTCCTCCTTCCTCTGAGGACATGGGAGGATTGGACTTCCCAGCCCCTAGAGGCTAGGAGAGTCTATATGACTGGCTTTTGCAAACAAACGTGAGTGGACGTGAGATGTGTCACTTCCAGGTGACAGCATCTAAGAGGCACACCCAGTTCTCTGTGCTCTCTCCACCACAGTGACAATTATGGAGCACATGTCAGCACAGAGGTGCTACAAAGACAGAGCAACCCAGAAGGCTGAGCCACCACATGGAGAACAGCTGCTCTGGAGAGCCACCTGGACCTGCAGTCGAACCTGAGTGGGCAAGAAATAAACTTCTGTTGTGAAAAGTCACAACACAATGTTTGGTTTGTATTTGGAACATAACCTAGCCTGTCTGTCCTGCTGTGATATATATTTGTACCTCTTTACTGATTGTTTGTCTTTATCAATAGAATATAAGTCCCTTAATGGGAGGGACTTGGCTCTTTTGTCCATCTCTGCATCACCAGTGCCTAAGACACTAACTGGCACATCATAGGGCACTTGGGAGAGTTTTGCAGAATGAATGGGTCTGGGTTCCCTCCATGCCCAGGACAAAGGTTGGCACAGTGCATGCTCAGTGTTTCCTGAGCCCAACAGAATAGAATGAGGTTGGGCCTCCTCCCCCATGAACACTCATTCCTCCCTGCCCCACTGCCAGACCCCAACTGTCCCTCCTCCCCAGAGGAGGCAAGTTGTCACCCTGCCTCAAACCATCACTATGGTGTGTCACGTGCTCTTGGGTTTTGCACCTCTCCATTTGTTGTCTCAAGATTAAGTCTGGCAGGTTTTGCTGAAGCTTCGCTTACACTGTGCTGAGTTAGGACGATGTCCCAGCAAACAAGATAGACAAGCCCCTTCCCTGGGAGGGGATCACACTCAGCAGAGGCATTTTTGAACTCCTGCTGAGTGGTGAAGTAAGATGAAAGCCAGAAGCCTGGCAAGTGTGTCTGCATCCCTGCTGCCTCTCCAAGAAGCCCCTGTCCTGAACTGAATACAGTCTCTTAGACATAGCTTCCACATGAGCAAGAGGGGGCAAAGTAGGGTGGACACCATCCTGGACATTTTGGCAAGATCAAAAATGTGCTTACATCCTTGGCCTAGCAATAGGTCAGGGGTGGTCAAAATGCTTCATGTTGCATGTCAACTCCATGAAGTTGAGTTGACCCAGTTTTAAAAAGTTCTGGCATCAATGTGTGACGTCTGCCTTGGCTATGGGGTAGTGATGGAGACAGGGGGAAGGCATGCACGCCTCATTTCTATCATTCCCATTGTAAATACCCAATAAATGTTGACAGAAATCCATAAAACACCAACATTGGATTTTCCCCCAAAAAAATCAAAGATTAAAAAGTCCCCAATTGGTCAATAAGTATAGATTGAGTATCAACTCTGTGCCCAGCTCTCTGCAAGGACAGACAAGGGGCCTTTGACCTTGAGAAGCTTGTATCTTTCTCAGGACACACACACACACATAGACACACACACACACACACACACACACACACACAGGCAATGACAGCCAAGGTAGATGGGAGCTCATTGTTCCTTTTCAGTTATGAGAATAAAAGTCACTGGAGGCGTGTTGTTTGGGGTGAGGATGAACAGGGAGGAGTAGCAGCCAGACAGGAGGTGCGGAGGTGCTTACCAATATGCAGCTGAGCCCTGGCTCCCCCACTCTGCGGAAGGCACTGCCTGGTCACAGGAGAGATGGTGTGAAGAGGGGCAGTATCCAAAAGCCTGGGCCATTGACAAGCCACAATTTTTGCCATAGTGCTCTACCACCCTTATTATCATGTACTTAAATCGCTTTTGCAAATCAACTAACTTTGGACCCTAAATAAATTTATCTTTAAAAATAAACTTTATAACATTCCTATGCATAAAAAGCAGTATAATTTGCCACCAATAGAAGATTACTGTCAAACAATTACATAATTATTAAAACAGGAATATCTATACCTGTATCTCCTGAAATCATTTGTATGACATTTGGGGAATGCAGGTCCAATGGAAAAGCACTAGATTAACAACCAGGGCAGTGGGAACCAGTCCTAGTGCTGCTTTAACACTTAAGGTCATTTTTTTTTTTTTTTGAGTGCTGACTGTGTGTCAGGCACTGTGCAGATTTATTCTCCAGTCCTTATAACACCCATGTCAGGCAGGTAGTAGAATCTCTATTGCTCAGATGAGAAAACTGAGTGTTAAGAAGCTAAGTAATTTGCCTGAAGTCACACAGTTAGAAAGCATCCAAAGGCCAGGTGTGGTGGCTCACGCCTATAATCCCAGCACTTTGGGAGGCTGAGGTGGGCAGATCACGAGGTCAGGAGTTCCAGACCAGCCTGACCAACATGGTGAAACCCCTTCTCTACTACAAATATAAAAACTAGCTGGGCGTGGTGGCATGCACCTTGTAATCCCAGCTACTAAGGAGGCTGAGGCAGGAGAACTGCTTGAAGCTGGGAGGCGGAGGTTGCACTGAGGCAAGATTGCGCCACTGCACTCCAGCCTGAGCGACAGAATGAGACTCTGTCTAAAAAAAAAAAAAAAAAAAAAAAGTGTCCAAAGTGGGATTTTCTTCCAGGCCTGGCTGAGCTCAGGTGCTGGGTCTCTCTTACAATACTAGTCCAACCTCTTCAAACTGCTGGCCTCTCTGGGCTTCCACGTGGTCATTGTAAGATGGGGATACCAGACCAGGCATCCTCTCAGAGCTTTGGTCTCCAGTGGCTGAAGACAGGACCACAAACCCAGAAGCATTCCCACTTCAGGCTCCACCGAGTCTGGGCCAAATGATGCACTCATTTGAAGAGACCCAAGCAGGCTGGGGCAGCTGAGGAGATTACTGGAATATTCTGATTCATGAAGGGTGCTGATATAATTGACTATATGCCTAGAAGAAAACAGAGTAAGACCTCTGTCTGACACTAGTTACAACAAGAAACTCCAGGTAGATTGACAGCTTAAATGTAAAAAAGACAACAAATTAAAAACTTAGTTAACATCTATACCTATTGTCCACAATGTATTAAGTGGGATAAACGAGCAAGCTACAAAGAAATGTGTATCATAAAATCCCACTGGGGGAAAAAAACAAAGTAAAAGCCCATAGAAAACATATGTATGTCTGTAATTGTCTATCCAGGCTTGGAGAAGGACCTGGAATCATTGACACCAGGAGGTTAGCACTGATTTTCTCTGCATGACAGGGAACAGAGAGTGGGGAAAAGGAGAAAAACAGAGGGGGTGTAAGATAGAAAATTTAAAAGGATTGCTACGAAATGGAAGCGAAAACAGCATGGTAAGTAAAAATACAAAATATGAAATACTATCTACATTGCTGCTGCAAGTATTTACAAATTAAGTAACCATGTAGACAAGGGTTCTAATGGAACAGACTCAAATAAAAAACATTGCTTTGATTAGGTAATAAAATTGTAGGTGATTTTTATCTTAGATTTTCTGCTATTTTAATTTTTGTTTGCAATTTTGTAACACAAAAATAATGTTTTGCCATGCTTAAAGTCATTAAAAATATATTTTGAATTAAAAAAAATTTTCTGGATATGCCCAGAAAAGAAAAAAGATATTTCACTTACACTGCACAGAGGTGTTGCAAAGCTAGCAAGGTGGCTTTTAATGGTGAGGTTAATACCCTCTTTACAGTTATCCTCAGTCTAAATTTCAAAGGGATTTTCCAAACTAAAAAAAGTACCCCTTATGAACTATGGTTTCTTGTGTAAAACTTTCATTTTAGACATTTAACTTGAATTAAATGAGCGAGAGAAAGTGATGACAAAAATTCCTGGGTAGCAAAGGTCACATTGGCAAGGTGGGAAACATTGCCATTGATTGACTTTCTGATTTCGACTTCTCCAAGGCACCCCAAGTTTGTGCTAATCAGATGAAGGCGGTCACAGTCTTCCTTAGTGGAGAGAATGAAGGTTTTCATCTTTTATTAAACACTAGAAATCGCTAAAAGTGCTACCTCTGAGACTCAAGATTTAAAAAAGCAAACTGATATATTTTGCTAATTAAACCATTAAAAACCTCATTTAGGTGTAAATAAGGAAGGCCCATTAAATCTTAATGTACAGCATGGGGTGTGAGCTTGGCTCCAGTACTAAGCGCCCAGGCCCTGACCCCAGGAAAATGATTAAAAATAGAACTCCCACCAAAGCACTTCCTAGCCCCTACTGGAATAGGAGCTGCTCCTGAAAAAAATGAGGTAGCATTTCTGTACATCACTCCTACACACACTCACAGAACACAGACCACCATGAAAGGGAGGATAGTCCCTCCACCCCGCTTGGCTACTCACAATTTTAGAGAAGGGAAGCTTTAGGATCCAGCTGGAGCCAGAGAGACCCTGGAGATCTTGAGAAGCCTGCGAGCCTGAAATGGAGCATGGCTCAGTGTAGAGTCTAAGGCAGCACCTTGCTATCTGTAAGCTTTTAGATGACTCTGTGTCCCTGAGCTTTTGCTCCACTGGTTAAATAGGATTGAGAAGAATCAACCCTGTCTACAGAATCTAATGAGGATTAAATGAGATAATGTACATAAAATCAGTTACAGCAGGGCTTGGTCTGTTCTAGGTGCTCAATAAATATTTTAGAAACACACTCCAAAAACTAAGAATATAGTAAAAAGTCTTGAAAAATATATACTAAAAATTTTCAGTATTCTCTTTGTGGTTTTGATGTTCTATTATTATCTATGTTTTCTAATTTTCTACAATAATATTATAAAAAGTTTTTAAATACTGGAGAGACCTTAATTTTCTGCCAGCTTACCACACTGTTCGTGAGAGGCTAAAGACAGGAGATGTGGATTTACTTCTCACACTGTATGCTTTTGTACCTTTCTTTCAACCATTCACATGCATTAGCTTTTGCAAAAATGGGTGAAGGAATTAATTAATTTTAAAATGAAAAAAAAGTTTATTTATAAATGGGGGAAACGAGGCTCTGAGAGAAAAAATGATTGTCAAGGTGGTAAGTGAGGCCTCCCTCATCACAGCCTGTGTTCCCTCAGCATGACTTCTCTTCATATGACCCTCTTGAGAAAAAGGGTATTAGAAAAAGAAGTTGTTCTTGCTTTTGGAGATATATAGTTCTTAAGAGGCAAGGCACAAATAATAAAGGGGAACAGGGAGCCCCTGTGTCCTGGGGTTTGGCTGCACCTGCAGGGCAAGTGTGGGAATAGATGGAGTTAGCTGCCCATTTACTCAGAGAACTGTAGAGAAATAACACTGGAGGCAGAGGGTGCAGTGCACCCCTAATGATCGATGCATTCATTGGTTCATTCAGCAAATATGTCCTGAGAACTTGTCTTGTGCCAGGCACTGTGCTGAGGACACAGAGGTGAACAGCACAGGCTTTTAGGGAGTTTAGAGGCTGGTGGGGGCAGCAGCAAGGAGTTCAAGAACAGCCTGGCCGACATGGTGAAACCCTGTCTCTACTAAAAAATGCGAAAATTGGCCGGGCACAGTGGCTCACGCCTGTAATCCCAGCACTTTGGGAGGCCGAGGTGGGCAGATCATGAGGCCAGGAGATCGAGACCAGCCTGACCAACATAGTGAAACCCCATTTCTACTAAAATTACAAAAAAATCAGCCGGGCGTAGTGGCACGTGCCTGTAATCCCAGCTACTCAGGAGGCTGAGGCAGGAGAATCACTTGAACCTGGGAGGTGGAGGTTGCAGTGAGCCAAGATCGCACCACTGCTCTCCAGCCTGGGTAACAGAGTGAGACTCCACCTAAAAAAAAAAAAAAAGAAAAGAAAAGAAAACATGCAAAAATTAGCTGGGTGTGGTGGCACACACCTGTGAAAAAAAGAATGCATCTCACCTATGAGGGCAAGGCCGTGATGGGCAAGCCAGGTGACCTGGTTGGTGGCCATCCCAGAGAGGCTCTCTGAAGACGTAACTAAAACTGACACCTCAAGGATGTGCAAGGATCAGCCAGCTTATAAGTGGAGGGAAGATCCTTCTAGAAGGAGGAATTACATATGAGAAGACCCTGAGACAACAGAGAGCTTTCTTTGCTTTCTGGCCAGGGTGGTTGAAGGGTAGTGAACTTGGAGGTGGAAGGATGGGATCCATCAGGCATAGGGCTGGGTGAGATAGGGCTGTGGAGCTGGATAATATTGAGATTATCGTAAATGCCATAGGAAGCTGTCACAATTTTAATCAGGGGAGTGACATTATCTGCCTTCAACGTGTAAAAGACCTCTGTGGCTACTGTGTGAATCTGGTGGCACATGAGTTTCTCTTTCTTGCTTCTCTGTGACAGTTCTCATGCCAGCAACCTGGAAGTCAACGAGGACTCTTCTTTTTGTCTTTTGTCTCCTTCAACTTTTTTGTTTTGTTTTGTTTTGTTTTGAGATGGAGTCTCACTCTGTCAACCAGGCTGGAGTGCAGTGGCGCAATCTCAGCTAACTGCAACCTCCGCCTCCTGGGTTCAAGCGATTCTTGTGCCTCAGCCTCCTGAGTAGCTGGGGTTACAGGCACCTGCCACCAGGCCCAGCTAATTTTTGTGTTTTTAGTAGAGATGGGTTTTCACCGTGTTGGCCAGGCTGGTCTTGAACTGCTAACCTCAAATGATCCACCAAGCTCGGCCTCCCAAAGTGCTGGGATTACAGGCTCGAGCCACCATGCCTGGCCTCCTTCAACTCTTTATCTACTCTAGCAACAAGCTCTTCCAGTTTTGCCTGCTAAATATATGGTGAATCTGTCCACTTCTCTCCAACCGTATAGCTGTTACTTGGGCCTCAACTTATTGGAGCCCAAATTTATTGAAGACAAATAGAAAAAGCCCTGCCCTAGCTGGTTTTACATACATTATCTCATGTATCCCTCATTAGATTCTGTGAAGAGGGTTTGATTTTTCCCAGTCCTCTATTTCTTTTCTTTTTTTTTTTTTATTGATCATTCTTGGGTGTTTCTCGCAGAGGGGGATTTGGCAGGGTCATAGGACAATAGTGGAGGGAAGGTCAGCAGATAAACAAGTGAACAAAGGTCTCTGGTTCTCCTAGGCAGAGGACCCTGCGGCCTTCGGCAGTGTTTGTGTCCCTGGGTACTTGAGATTAGGGAGTGGTGATGACTCTTAACGAGCATGCTGCCTTCAAGCATCTGTTTAACAAAGTACATCTTGCACTGCCCTTAATCCATTTAACCCTGAGTGGACACAGCACATGTTTCAGAGAGCACAGGGTTGGGGGTAAGGTCACAGATCAACAGGATCCCAAGGCAGAAGAATTTTTCTTGGTACAGAACAAAATGAAAAGTCTCCCATGTCTACTTCTTTCCACACAGACACGGCAACCATCCGATTTCTCAATCTTTTCCCCACCTTTCCTCGCTTTCTATTCCACAAAACTGCCATTGTCATCATGGCCCGTTCTCAATGAGCTGTTGGGTACCTCCTCCCAGACAGGGTGGTGGCCGGGCAGAGGGGCTCCTCACTTCCCAGTAGGGGCGGCCGGGCAGAGGCACCCCTCACCTCCCGGACGGGGCGGCTGGCCGGGTGGGGGGCTGACCCCCCACCTCCCTCCCGGACGGGGCGGCTGGCCGGGCGGGGGGCTGACCCCCCCACCTCCCTCCCAGACGGGGCGGCTGGCCTGGCAGGGGCTGACCCCCCACCTCCCTCCCGGACGGGGTGGCTGCCGGGCGGAGACGCTCCTCACTTCCCAGACGGGGTGGCTGCCGGGCGGAGGGTCTCCTCACTTCTCAGACGGGGCGGCTGGGCAGAGACGCTCCTCACCTCCCAGATGGGGTCGTGGCCGGGCAGAGGCACTCCTCACATCCCAGACGGGGCGGCGGGGCAGAGGCGCTCCCCACATCTCAGATGATGGGCGGCCGGGCAGAGACGCTCCTCACTTCCTAGATGGGATGGCGGCTGGGAAGAGATGCTCCTCACTTCCTAGATGGGATGGCGGCCGGGCAGAGACACTCCTCACTTTCCAGACTGGGCAGCCAGGCAGAGGGGCTCCTCACGTCCCAGATGATAGGCGGCCAGGCAGAGACGCTCCTCAGTTCCCAGACGGGGTAGCGGCCAGGCAGAGGCTGCACTCTCGTCACTTTGGGAGGCCAAGGCAGGCGGCTGGGAGGTGGAGGTTGTAGCGAGCTGAGATCACGCCCCTTCACTCCAGCCTGGGCACCATTGAGCACTGAGTGAACCAGACACCGTCTGCAATCCCGGCACCTCCAGAGGCCGAGGCTGGCGGATCACTTGCGGTTAGGAGCTGGAGACCAGCCCGGCCAACACAGCAAAACCCTGTCTCCCCCCAAAAAATACGAAAACCAGTCAGGCGTGGCGGCGCGCGCCTGCAATCACAGGCACTGGGCAGGCTGAGGCAGGAGAATCAGGCAGGGAGGTTGCAGTGAGCCAAGATGGCAGCAGTACAGTCCAGCTTCGGCTGGGCATCAGAGGGAGACCGTGGAAAGAGAGGGAGAGGGAGACCGTGGGGAGAGGGAGAGGGACGGGGAGGGGGAGGGGGAGGGGGAGAGGGAGAGCCCAGTCCTCTATTTCAGTGGAGTGAAAGCTCAGGGACATGGAGTTGTCTAAAAGCTTACATATAGCACGAGGCTGCCTCCGAATCTACACATAACCTCCTAACTTCATTCTAGGCTGTCACCATTAACTATAATCTACACTCTGATCAGGAACCCTAAAGCAGCTGAGATGATGTACAGACTGGCTGTGGCTGAGAAATTACACTTCCCCCTGACACAAACACACACAAAAAATCCCTTATACATGCTGTGGATAGTTAAAGTAGGGCAACAGCCAGAAGTTCATGGCGGCAGCTAACAAATGCTGAGTGGGTTGGTGACCTTCTAGATCCAGGTCTTCTGGATCCCTCTGACCCATCTGGGCCCTTGTCACACATGCACACAGCCTGGGCTTATTACTTGAAGTCTAGGTGGGGAGCAGCGAGAACCAGGGCAGGACTCTCAACCCATCTGGGTAGAAGCTAAGTATTTTCTGTGTGCCCAGCATGCTCTTAGGCCTTTGGCAGAGGATGTGAAAATTCCAGACTTAAACATATATTCTTGTTGAGGAAGCAAAACACATGAAACAAGGTGCCCCATCCAGATCCATCTCACTCAAAATAATCTGTGCTGTTCTCCATTCTTTCAGGTCCAGGTGGGTAAGGTGCATGCTAAGGTATTTCTGCCTTGAAATCATGCATCAATAATCTCTGCACTTTAGCAGGGCTAGGGTTTAATGTTGTAAGCCAAGAATGACCACTAGTGGGTATTAAGGTTCTATGATAGAGACTGTGGTTACATGGGAAGCCTCTGGTCTGCCCACTAAATGTGTGACTCTAGGCCCCAGGAAATCACCATCCACAAGGCCCTGCAAAGCCAACTCCTATATTTCATCCTCTCTCTCTCTCTCTCTCTCTCTCTCTCTCTCTCTCTCACTCTCACTCTCTCTCTCAGCTCCATCAGCCTTCCTTTAGCTCCTGGAAAGTGCCAAGTTCTTTCCTATCTCAGAGACTTTGCGCATGTGTAACCCTTCTCCTCTTACACACTTTCCCCACCTTTACCTCACTCAGCTCCTCGTACTTGTTCAGCAATCAGCAGAAGCCTCACAGCCTATGGCAGGTCTCCTCCAACTCCTTCCTTCTTCCTAGCCAGATTCCTTTGTTAAGGCGCACTTAGAAGACTCTGTCCTCTCCTTAATGGGGATTCCCCAGTTCCTAATAAAACATCCACTCATGTCATTATTTGAGTAATGTCTGTCTCTTCTACTCCTCAGTATGTCCCATAAAAGCATAAAGTCTGTTTTTTGCTCATCCCTGGTGCCTAACCTATATCAAGCCCTTAAAGAATGAAAAAAAAAATGGGTCATGAGTGAATGAATAGGTGAATGGACGAATGAGTGAATTCCTTCATAGCCGCAAGTGTCTTGGATATGCTTAGTGTTCTTGGCGCTGGGGTTATGCCCCTCAGAGGCCACCCTGGGCAGTTAGGCAGAACCAGCCCCGGCCAGAGCAATCAGAGGAGCCAACTTTGCCTCTCCAGTGCTTGGCAGGGTCCTTTGTCCTTCAGTTCATTGAGGCCATAAATGAGCCAGCCACTGGGCCAGAGAATGATTGCCGTGGCCACTGCCTTCTGAATCCATGATATTGAACAATTCCATCATTTCTGACTAAGTGGTTCTAGACCAGTGACTCAATGAAAGAGTAAAGAAAAGTGATGGATAAACCTCCCTGCAGTTCTCCTGCTCCTGACCAGCTGAAATGGTATTTAGGATATCAAAGCAGGTAGGATCCTCAATTTGAGCTCTTCATCCAGGCCAGGGATGTTCCTTCCAGTGAAGGTTTCTGGTCTCTTGTGCACTGTTATCCTAGCAAACAAAATCCCAGTGGTTTTGCCTGTTTATTTTCTGGCCCTGTGGGTGTCTAAGTCCTGCTATTCTCTGATAGTCTGTAGCACTGGGGAGTAGAGAAGCCCTCCAAGCACAGAGTAAAGCCACTGGGATTGGGAAACAGGATGAGAAGAAAGATCAAGTCAGAATTCAAATCAAGCCCAACACACTGGGAATCTTTCTGGAGGAAATGGGATGTGGCCTTCCTGCAGGAGAAGGTAGGAGTCAGAAGGTGGGTGAAGGGGAGAGGGGAGGAAGGGGAGGTCTCATGTCTGTGCAGGTGTAGTGATGTGTCAGGCTAGCTAGAGTGACTAGGGGAGTTGTGACTGTCCCCTGCTTTGCTGTTAGAACCACAAGGAAGCCAGCTAGTGCCCTGTGGAGAAGGGAAATTTTCAGGTAGACCAGCAGGTTGTGCAGCATCTAAGCCATCTTCACGGTTTGTGGCTGTGTCTGCCTTCATGACAAAGTGAGAATGGCTCTGGCTGTCTCCATTTCAGAGGCTGCTTTTGAAGTCTGGCTGACACTCAGAATGCCCCACTGCACTCTGCATCTCACTGGCCCAAGCTGAGTTGTAATCTTTCAAGAGCCAGCCGTTCACCGCATAATAATCAAACCAAGATGGATGGAGGAGGAATACAAAGAGCATCCCACTGGCTTGGCTCCAAGTCAGGGGGCCTTCCCTAATGCGACAGACAGACAAGAGAAGAGGCTTCGGTAATCCCACTGTCTTCCCCAGGATGAGTGGAATTAGCATTTGTATGTGTACTCAATGGATTCAGGCAGCAAAAGCCCTGAGCTAGGAGGTCACAACCATGCCCTCTCATCCTGCGTCCCACTACACTCTCTAGCTTTGGGGCCTCAGACAAATTGTTACCCTTCCTGGATCGTTCTGTTCCCATTTGTAAAATAAAATCTATAGCACCTAGTGGTCTGGGTAGACCTCTTGAAGGAGGCAATATTTGAGCTGATACCTAATTTGGAGAAAAAAAAACAGAAATAAATTTCTGGTGGAAATACTTTCTAGGCAGAGAAAATAGAAAGCGTAAACGCCCTAAGGCAGAAGAAAGCCTGGATTATTTGAGGAATAGCAACAACAGCAATGAAAACTGGTGTGGATGGATCAGAGTTGGGGAGAAGATTATGTCAAGAAGCAGTGAGGAACCCGTAAGTACGGCCTTAAAGATCATGGTTTATATCATGCATGATGAGAACATGTCAAAGTATTTTGGGCAGGTGCGTGAAAAGATGTGATTTACATTTGTAAAAAACTTATTCTGGCTGCTCTGTAGAATACATGTTGGGGTAGGTGAGAGACAAGATGTAAATATGAAGAACATTTATGAGGCCACTGAAGAGATGGTGGCAACACAAAGAATCGATGGTAGCTTGGACCAGAATAATAAGGTGGAGATGGAGAGGTAGACAGATTGAGGATATAGGATTAAAATCAGTAAGACATAGTTCATGCATAGAATCCTAGAAGTCCAACAGCCTTCCTTCATTTCATCCTATCTCTGTCCCCTTCAGTTCAAGCTGGCAGCATTTCTACTAAGAAAGTTGATTAGATCCTCAAGTCACACATCTAATCCCTTTAGTGAATTGTCATTCAGCCACACCCTTGAGTGTTCTCTTCATAACATACCTTCTCATTTTTTGCAATATGGGTAGGCTGAGAATTTTCCAAATCTTCCAGTTCTGGTTCCATTTTGCTAAACGATTTCTTCTTCAATTTCTTCCTTTCCTCTTGCATTTTACTATAAGTAAAAAGGAGAAACCAGGCCATACCTTCAACACTTTTCTCTCTCTCTTTTTTTTTTTTTCCTGAGATGGAGTCTTGCTCTGTTGCCCAGGCTGGAGTGCAGTGGCGTGATCTCAGCTCATTGCAACTTCTGCCTCCTGGGTTCAAGCAATTCTCCTGCCTCAGCCTCCCAAGTAGCTGGGATTACAGGCTGCACCACCATGCCTAGCTAATTTTTTGTGTTTTTAGTAGAGATAGGGTTTCACCATGTGGGGCAGGCTGGTCTCCAACTACTGACCTAGTGCTCTGCCTGCCTCAGCCTCCCAAAGTGCCGGGATTACAGGTTTGAGCCACCGCACCTGGCCTTCAACACTTTTCTTGACAGTTTCCTCAGTTAAATATTGAAGTTCATCACTCACAAGTTCTACTTTTCACAAATAGTGTGCAGTTCATCCAAGTTTTCTGCCAGTTTAACAAGGTTCACTTTTTCTCCAGTTTTCAATATCATGTTCTTTATTACCATCTGAGACCTCACCAGAAGCAACTTTAACATTCACATTTCTAGCAACAGGCTCTTCAAGGCAATTTAGGCTTTTTCTATTATGTACCTCCTCAAAACTCTTCCAGACTGTATGTATTACCCAATTCCAAAGTTACTTCCACGTTTTAGGTATTTTTTACAGCATGCTGGTACATGGGGTTAGCAAGAAGAAGATAGGGGAAAAAAAAGGAATCTCAAATAATATCCAGATTGTTTAAGCTGGAATAACTGGGTGAATATTAGTGCCACTTATTTTTATTTTTTATTTTTATTTATTTATTTATTTTTGAGATGGAGTCTTGCTCTGTTGCCAGCCTGGAGTACGGTGGTGCAATCTTGGCACACTGAAACCTCTGCCTCCCAGGTTCAAGTGATTCTCCTGCCTCAGCCTCTCGAGTAACTGGGACTACAGGCATGTGCCACCACACCCAGCTAATTTTTGTATTTTTAATAGAGACGGGGTTTCACCATGTTGGCCAGGATGGTCTCGATCTCTTGACTTCGTGATCCACCCACCTCAGCCTCCCAAAGTGCTGGTATTACAGGCGTGAGCCACCGTACCTGGCCAGTGCCATTTATTAACATGAGAAGACTCAGATGTAAGTTCAGGGAATGGCTGTTAGACATCCATGTGAAAATGTAAATAAAGCATTTAGAAATACAAACTTGAATTCATGGGAGAAGTCTAGGTTTGAGGTAGATATTTGGGAGTCATAGGCAATATTACCAAATATTTAGTAATAAGGGCATCCAGGGAGATGCTCTTAGGTAAGGAGATGGCCAAAGACTAGCCCCTGGAGCCTTCTAATCCTTAAGTGTCATGAAGAGGAGAAAGTACCAAGCAAGGAAATTAAGGAATAGCAGCAAGTGAGGTTGGTGGACAGGCAGAGAGTCAAGTGTTTTAAGGAGGACGGGGGGATCAATTACACCAAGTGGGGCTGAGTGGCTGGGTTAGATGAGAATAAAGAGGTGGCCGCTGGCTTTGGAAACATGTACATATTGGTGACTGACAAAAGTAGTTTCAGTCAAGTAGTGTGGATGGAATTTTGAACATCACTGGGATGAAGAGAGAATAAAGGTGAGAAAGTGGTGATGTGGTTATGAATAACTGATTTGAAAAACCTTGTGCAATAGGAACAGAGCATTCAGATAGTACCTGGGAGAAAGTGGGGAATAAAGAAAGGATTTTTAAAGTTAGGATCAGATACTCAGATAGAAACAGAAAGAACAGAAAAGAGTGGCTGGGAATTAGGCGCAGGGTGAGTGAGAGTCAGAAAACAGTTCCTGGTACTGATACCAGAGATTTCCATGGAAGTCCTACACGCCCCTGTGGAGAGGGAGGAGCTCTGCAGGGCACCAGGTGTAGCCAGGCACCTGCCTTAGCAGTCTCTCTCCTGTCCCTACCCAGGAGCCTGAAGAGAAGGAGGGAGAAAGACTGAGAGAAGCAGAGATCAAAGAACCAGGAAGAGAGCCATTTAAAAGGAGGAAGAAGAAAGGCAAGAGCCAGCATGAGTTCTGATTCTGTCAGGATAGAAGTCAGCCTGCGAGGAAAGAATCTTATTAGACACTGGTTTTCTATCTTCTAGTTGTTTTATCTAATCAATAAGTTTAGTTTACTTTGGAGACTTTCCATTTATTGTAACTTTGGGTTTTTTAAAGAAATTTCTAGCCTTAAATGAATCTCTCTTACACACATACACACACACATGCACGTACAGGCACACACACACCACCTCCACTCAGTACATGTGGTAATGTTGTATAGGGGCAGATGATCCTAAAATCTGCCCCAGAGGGTTAAACATCACACATCTCCAGTCAGATATCATATTCCATTATCTGGGTGACAGTGATTGGCTCAGACGAGACACCTGACCAGTTAAGATTCAATCCTGGGACTTTTGCTTGAATTATTGGAAAAAGAGACCCTCCTCTTTGCAAACAGGTGTCAAGCTGGTAGAACACAAGCCCAAGGCTGTCAGATACATGTCTTGGCCACTGCATAAGTAGAGCCTGTGTATTAGTGAGGGTTCTCTAGAGGGACAGAATTAGTAGGATAGATGTGTATATGAAGGGGAGGTTATTCAGGTGTGTTGACTCACACGATCACAAGATGAAGTCCCACAATAGGCTGTCTGCAAGCTGAGGAGCAAGGAAGCCAGCTCGAGTCCCAAAACCTCAAAAATAGGGAAGCTGAAAGTGCAGCCTTCAGCCCATGGCTAAAGGCCCAAAAGCCCCCTGGCAAACCACTGGTGTAAATCCAAGAGTCCAAAAGCTGAAGAACTTGGTGTTCTATATTCGAGGGCAGGAAGTATCCAGCATAGGAGAAAGATGAAGGCTCGAAGACTCAGAAAGTCTAGTCCTTCCATGTTCTTCTGCCTGCTTTATTCTAGCCTCACTGGCAGCTGATTAGATGGTGCCAGATTGAGAGTGAGTCTGCCTCTTCCAGTCCACTGACTAAAATGTCGATCTTCCTTGGCAACACCCTCACAGACACACCCAGGAACAATGCTTTGCATCCTTTAATCCAATCAAGTTGACACTATTAACCATCACAGCCTGCTTGAGAATGGAGCTGAAAAGATAAAAGCAGAGCTGAGAGAGGGAGATGAAGCCAGAACTAATTTTGAACTTCTAATTTTCATGAATACAAAAGTGTTTTCTCCTTTCCCCCAACTCAAGTAAACCTGAGTTGGTTTCCTGTCACTTACAACGAGAGTCCTCCTGGAACCACCCAATGCACATAGCACAGACTTAAATACTAAGATAGCAGAGGTAAGCAAGGCAATCTCAGGATCACCGGGAAGGCCAGGATAAAAGGAGATTCACCTGAGCTAGTCTTAAAGGTAGCTAGAGGAGCAATGAATGAAGTCCAGAGAAAGAGGAAGCTCCAAGACTAGCCACGGGCAGTGTCAGCATTTCACAATGTGCTGTGCATCTTTTACGTCCATGGTCTCATTGGATTCTACAGCAACCCTGTGAACAGTGAGGAAGCCACACTCTGTTTTATGCAAATAAAACGGTCTCAAAGGAGAGAGAGGACTCACTCTAGCCGTGCCCAGATCCCAGCCCAAGTTTTCTAGCTCCAGGAAGAGTACTTGGCAGGACCTCCGCCAGCTCAGGTAGAACCTTTGTACTAATTAACAAAACATGCACTGTCCAGGCACTCACAGCCTCCTGGGCAGATGGGCTGGCTGCTGTTTTTCTCTAATTCCTGGAAAGGCATTGCCCACTTCTTATCCTAGGGCTGTTGTGCAGAGCCAGCCTGTACACTGTGCCTTGAAATTGTGGACCACTCTCCTTCCTTCCCTCTTTCTCCTTTCACTTACATTCTGTGTTTCCTTTCCTGTCTCTGAGCCTCAAGGAGCTCCACACAAAATGAAGCTGGGTTAAACACAGGTCCCCAATAATCTTTTCTATTTTGAAATTCTATTACTATGCTTCAGCTGAGGTGGTAAGAAGTAGCCTCCCATGAGATATGATGTTAGCCTCCCAACAGCACCCCCAAAATTGCCTTCACTGGGATCATAACTTCATCTTCCATTGAATCCTTTTGGATTTAACCATTGAAGACAATCATGGCAATATGAAACTGGGGGCTCACAATGGTTGACTACTGTATCCTTAATGTGTATCATTCCATTTCATCTGAGATACATACCATTATTTCCATTTCAATGATGAAAATGCCAAGATCAGAGAGGTTTAAGTATCTTGCCTAAGGTCACATAGGAGGCAAACCTAGTTCTAATTGATCCTAAAGCCAGAATCTATCCACCAGATATCCCAGTCATCACCTCTTAATGCTCGATAACACTTCATCAGGTTTCACCCAGGACATTCTAGAGATGCAGAGCAGTTGAGCTTTGACAGGGAAAGAGTGAAAGCCAACCCCTGAGCAAAGCCAACATCTCCAGGCAAAGTGGAATGGAGGTGTGGAGGCTGCAGCAGCATGACCTCTGCTCTAACTCAGAGTCTCCCACTGAACCACCCCTCCCCACAACATGTGTGGCTGCAAGCAAGTTCCTTTACCTCTCTGGGTCTCAAGTTCCACATTTGCTGGAAGGGGACATCAAGCCATTTTTCTTCTTACAACACAGAGCTGGCACAAGGGCATAGAAGATGACATGTGACCCAATGCCATGCAGGTGTAACATCCTCAGCCTTACACAGTCAGGGTGCTTTGTGATGACTGACAGCCTCTCTGCTGTCACCATGGCTTCAGGTCCACTCTTTAAATTGTTGGCCTTAGTCATGAAGCTACAGAATTCAACTGAGGAATGCAGTCATCCTTAAAGAAAAAAGAACTCTCTCCTTCCAAAAACCTCTTGCAAGGATAAAACTACATTTGCCCTTGTCCCTTGTTTCGAGGTAAAGTCACATACTCAATTATGCTGGCTTCTCTGTCTCCCTTTGCAGGTGCTGGGTGAGGTTAGACCAGGGTTATTGATGCAACATTCCTATTTTAAATGCAAAACAAAAGAGACATTATTTGTCTTGAATGTAAAATGAAGTCCCAGTGCATTTTTCAAGCTGCTAAGGCACAATTGGTCTAGTATTCATTTCTGTGGCAAATACAGAAACAAGCGAAAACCTAGCAGGTTTGAGGTATTTGTTTCCCTGTTAATATAATCAAACAAACTCTAAGGAGGCATTTTCTAATTTACTTTTGCATTGGATCCTTAAATTTATATAAATAGTGCTGGAAATGAAACTCTTGTGTCTTTATAATCTTGCATCTCACGTCTGGAAACCGAACTCTCCCCAGATTAAAAAAAAAATTGGAAGTAACTTAACGTCAGATGCATCTCTCTAAAGTATTGTTCTTCACCATTTTTGTAATGGCTGAGACAGTAGTGATCTTAGAGCAGCCTGTCCACTGAAGCTTTGCATTTGCATAGGATCAAATCATAAGTATCTGCTAGAAAACTCATGGCTCAAAGGACCTGTTCCAGGCTTCTACTATCTGCAGCTAATTTCCTTTTCATAACAGGGTTGTCTTTTTTCATTGAGAGAACAAGAGAGAGAAAGAGAGAGAGAGAGACATTATTGAATCATTAGAATAATTGGTCCCCAATAAGTAAAATTTTCTTTAGATGATTAAATTAATTCTAGGGGAAAAAAGAGAATTTTTCCAGTAAGCTCTTATGTCTTATTTCTTACTCAAAGAAATGGTTACCCCTTTTGCCACCCCACCCTCCTTATTGTACACAAACACAGACAGCGAGAATTTGCTTTCTATTAAGGGGCAGGTATTTATTTTTTCTATATTCAGAAGCCAGTGCTTTGGTTCTCAAAGCTTCTTTTCAATGGGTGCTTAGAGACAAAACATTGATGATGCTGGTGGGAGAGGGGCGGCATGTGCCTGGGTGGACTTGCAATCATTCTCTTCCCATTCCTCAAGTCCACACACCCAGCTCAGTGGCAACCAGACATACCACTTCCACTCAGCTCCACAACTGTCTACTAAAAAAGAGACTGGACAACACCAATCTCAGAGCTGTAGGACAGACAAAGAAACATGAGTAGTGACTCTCCCATGTGTGCAAAGCTGTTGTGGGTCAGGCCCAAGACAAACTTGGGGTGCCATGTGGTTAGTGGGTATATCAGGAGGGCCAACAAAGAATGTGTCAAGAGAGTAAAGAAGTCCAAATCCAGGCTGATCTGGTTTTCAACCTTGACACCACTTCATAATAGCTCTGAGATCTCAGACAAATGAATTCACATTCTAAATATCCTTTTCTGAAAAATGTGACTAATATCCTAGTGCTTCTAACAGAGGTAAGGCAATGCAATAGAGATGGGTGTTTAGCACACACTGCCTGGCACCCATCAGATGCTCAGTAAATAGCACAAAGTACAACTGGGTCAGAGACAAGGGAAACACTGTGCCCATTGAGATTAGCCTCAGAAGCTTCTTGGAGAAGGCAGGTTTTAAGTGACAATGAGTAGCTGGGTTTGACCAGGCAAAAAAAAAAAAAAAAAAACCCTTTTAATGTATGAATAGCTGAACCAAAGGCATAAATGGGACGCTGGGCATGACTCATAGAGGACACACTAAAGAGAATGGCCTGACACCCACCCTGAAGCCTCCCTGTCACCAACAACCCAACTCCCTTAGTCTGGATGGTTCAGGAAGTATAAGATGGTTCTTACCTTTTGTCTATTTGACATAATGAGAAAGGCGAGATTGCAACAAACAAAATTTTCAGAGCATTTCAACTTGAGGTATGCATGTTGATTCAAATTAGCACAAGGCTTGCCAAATAGCTGCTCAGTAAACCCTTGTTGGTAAATGGCACTGCTCTGTCAATTACTATGGACAATGATGAGTAGGATTCCTTGCAAATAAAGTATCACATCCATTCACTATAATTACCCAATATAATACTGTTGCTGTTCCCTGCATCTACTTTTGACAGGAATACACAAATGATACCAAAAAGAGCTCAGAGCTGACATGTAGTCTTTTTAGAACTAATCACCTTCCACAGTTTGTTCTGTGTTCAATGAAAGTTCAGCCAAAATGCGTAGACTTTTCCCACCTCAATCTCTGATAAACAGCAACTCGCATTCAGGATGAAGACTTAAGGTTTGCCAGACCCTTTAACAGGGAAGAAAGATTTCACTATGGCCACTAGTCTGTTTTTGCTAGGGCAGGAAAGTGGACTCATATATTTTCATAGAGTATAGGAGCTAGAGGTGACCCTAGAGGTCACCAAATCCAGTGATCTCACCCACAGATGGGAAAACCGAGACCTATCAAGAAAAGATGTATTTTAAATCAAACAGTTAACAAAGCAGAGCTAGGGCTCAAATCCAGGATGACTGACCCTTGCTCAACTCGTGTGTGCTGGAAAGATGCTTAGCGATAAAGTCAACCCAATACAGTTAGATACATTATATTAGATAGATTCATAGAAAGTATATTAGATAGATTCATAGATTAGATAGATTCATCTATCGATGATTGATTGATAGGGAAGATAGAGATAGATAGATACATAGACACATAGATACATAGAGGTGATAGATAGATGATTGATAGATGATTGATAGATAGATAATAGGAGAGAGATGATATAGACAGATGATACATGGATAGATAGATGACAGAATAGATAGATGATAAATAGAAAGACAGATGATAGAGATGATAGATACATGATAGAAAGGAATCTCCATTCCTCATGCACTTAGATAAAGTTTAACCACTTATTACCCCCACTTCTATATAATGGACAGTTTCCTTCTTCACCTATGCCTTCATGAAGCCACCCCTAAGTCTTTCCCTTTGGAACAGTCTACTTCTTTTTCTTCCTCCCTTCCTCCCTCCCTCCCCCCCTCCCTTCCGTCCCTCCTTCCTTTATTCCTTTTTTTTTTGAAAAGGTCTTGCTCTCTTACCCAGGCTGGAGTGCAGTGGCACAATCGTGCATCCCAGGTAAATCCTGTGAAATGGTAACTCTCTTCAGGCAAGGAACCTGCCTCTATTCCTCTCACATTCTCTACAGCAGAGAATCCAAAACAGTTTTATGGACTGGCTACATTAGAAAATTGATTGAGGAACTTTCCAAAAATTCCTAATCCTGGGCTCCACTCACAGAAATTCTGGTTCAGGAGGTCTGAGGTGGAACTAATAATCTGTATTTCTGCAAAGCTTTCCGTGTGACTATGAGGATTAGGCAAGTTTTGCAGCACTACACAGAGCTAATATGCCAGGAGGTCTCAGTAAATACCTTCTAAATGACCTTTGAAGGAGAGATTCAAGCCCTTACCATAAAACAACATTTTTTCAGAAATGCGAGACGATTTTGGTTCTAACAGCTGCAGGACATTGTCTTATCATTTTCTTATTCAAAAATCATAAAGGAATTAATCTCCTTTTTGAGATAATTTGTTACAGACTGTGCAGGTGGATGACTAGAAGATATTTAATCATTTATAATCCTGCAGAACTTAGCTTCAGCGTGATGTAAGGGTATTAAAAATTACCTTTGGATCATTTGACAAATAATGTCAGAGAAAGAGGGAGAAAGAAGATGAAAGCCTGGAGAATGGGGACATTCCTTTGCCAAGACCAAAATAAATTGCACCTACTCGATTATGACAATGGCTTTGCCTGAAAGAGGTTGAAATGAAGATGATAAATAAAGATGTTCATGGCCAGAGGCCCAGTATCTGCCTGGAAGGCAACGGCCAAACCCAGGCCCACCTTCCTTGGCCCATGCCAAAGCTTCAAACAGATCACCAATAACTGGAGCCACCAAGGTGACCCAGGGCTAAGACTGATATATCCAGATATTGCGTGTGGTCAGTTATTTTAATAATATTTACTAGCAATAAGCAGAGGGCTTGAAGGGCAGAGACAGTTAATATAAAGATACAGGGTTGTCATCATGGGGTAAATGTAGAATGGTATAAAGGTCCCAAGAAGTACCCCCACCTCTAAGGTCTAAATCTTGAACTTGGTAAGATATTTGAGACAGGGTAGCTAAAAGGCTCTTTGGTCTACAGCTGTGGAAGAACCAGCTCCTGTTGCCTAAAGAGACACCATAGAGGTCAAATTAAGAGACAAGTTGATGGTACATCATGCATATGGATAAGCACTGTTGCATCTTGACAGATGACAAAGAAGACTTCTAAGACGCATTTTTTTTCAACCCGCTGGCCTTTTCCTGACTCTAAAATAATAATACCACAAGAAGAGATGAGCCAACTGGCAAGCATCCATGAGCAAGTGGCCCCAATGAAAACTGCTCATGCTCTGCCCCCCTGAACAATGTGACACTCTGCTCCCCAAACTGCCTGTTCAGCAAACCTTCCCACATCTGCATGTTAACACCTCAATACAGCAAAGTCATCCTCAGAGCAAAGAAAAGCTCAAGGAATTTGGATGAAAATGGACTTGGGAACCTAGAGACAGGAGACTCAGAAGATTCATTATTTAGTATGTGTCCCCTTTTTTTTTTTTTTTTTTTTTTTGAGACGGAGTCTCACTCTGTCGCCCAGGCTGGAGTGCAGTGGCGGGATCTCGGCTCACTGCAAGCTCCGCCTCCCGGGTTCACGCCATTCTCCTGCCTCAGCCTCCCAAGTAGCTGGGACTACAGGCGCCCGCCACTACGCCCGGCTAATTTTTTGTATTTTTAGTAGAGACGGGGTTTCACCGTTTTAGCCGGGATGGTCTCGATCTCCTGACCTCGTGATCTGCCCGCCTCGGCCTCCCAAAGTGCTGGGATTACAGGCGTGAGCCACCGCGCCCGGCCCTAGTATGTGTCCCCTTTTACACACAATCAGGAATACAAGAAGTGGTAAGAAACAATGAGCAATTCTCTACTTATCTAGTTGGACCCTGTATTAGTCCATCCTCACGCTACTATAAAGAACTGCTCAAGACTGGGTAATTTATAAAGGAAAAAGGTTTAGTTGACTCACAGTTTTGCAGGGCTAGGGAGGCCTCAGGAAACTTACAATTGTGGCAGAAGGAGAAGCAAACATGTCATTTTTCACATGGCAGTGGGAAGGAGAAGAATGAGAGCCAAGTGAAGGGGTATGTCCCTTAAAAAACAATCAGATCTCATGAGAACTCACTCACTATCACAAGAACAGTATGGAGGTAACCGCCCCCATGACTCAATTACCTCCCTCCGGGTCCCTCTCATGACACCTGGGGATTATAGGAACTACAATTCAAGATGAGATTTGGGTGGGGACACAGCCAAACCATATCAGACCCATGTTAGAGAACTCAAATAAGGACACCCAAATTTTTCTAAGATTCCTAAAAATCACAGAATGTCAGAGACGGGCTTGCTTTTAGACATTTCATAAGGCAATCTTCTCAACTGACTAACGGAGAAACTGAGGTCAAGTTTGCCTGGGGGCTAGGTGAGGAATTAGAGACAAAGCGAATCTGAGAATCCCATTTTTCTAAAATGCTCAATGCTCTTTCACATATGCCATGAAACAGAAAGGCATGATAGGTGGGTGAGTAGATGGATGGATGGATGGATAGATAAATGGGTGGGTGATCCTTTGGCCTTAGTGCATAGAAAAAAATGAGACAATGCAGAAATGTAAAATCTAACATGAGATCTTAGATAAGGAGTTTCTTCTTTCATTCATTCCCTCATCTCCTTCAACTGCCCCATTCCCCCATAATTAAGGTTATTAAATTCAAAAATTGGAGTCTCGTGGGCCAAGTTTTAAAGTTATTCTCTTGAATATACAGTTGACCCTTGAAGGACACAGGGTTAGGTGTGCTGACTCCCCACACAGTCAAAAACCCATGTATAACTTTGGACTCTCAAAAACTTAACTGCTGATAGCCTACTGTTGACCAGAAGATTTGCCAGTAACATAAACCATCAATTAGCACATATTTTATATCTTATTTCTGTTATATACTTCTATATTATTATAATAAAGCAAGTTAGAGAAAATAAAATCTTAAGAAAATCATAAGGAAGTGAAACATATATGCTATTCATCAACTGGAAGTGGATCATCATAAACGTCTTCAACCTCATATTGTCTTCACATTGAGTAGGCTGAGGAAGAGGAAGAGGACAGGATGGTCTTGCTGTCTCAGGGGTGGCAGAGGTGGAAGAAAATCAATGTATAAGTGAACTAGCGCAGTTCAAACCTGTGTTGTTGAAGGGTTAACTGTATATCCTCACTCTTTCACTGAGCTCATTTCATCTCATGACTTTACATTATTATTTAAATTGACAATTCCCCTATCTGTATCTCCAGCCTGGACCTCTACCCCTATCTTCAGACATACATCAATTGCAACATCTCCCTTTGAATGTATAATGGATGTCTTAAACTTAGCATGTCCTAAACTTCTGATCTCCAGTCCCCCACACTGGGTCCTCCCACAACCTCCCCCATATCAGTTAATAACAACTATGCTCTTCTGAGAGTTTCTACCCAAATCCTTGGAGTCATCATCAAAAATTACATTTTTCTCTTACATTCCTCATCCAGCCCATCAGCAAATCTTTGTTGTTTCTACTTCAACAAAACAATCAGATCTTACAATTGTTGCCACTGACACTGATTCCAATACTGGTTCAAGCTACAATAATCTCTCCACTGGAATCTTGCAATCACCTCTTAATTCTGCTCCCTGATTCTATCTTGTTCCCCTTTGAGATATTCTTAACACAGATCAGATGGATCCTCTTAATGTGTAAGGTAGATCATGTCACCCTTCTGCTCAACACCCCCTGAGAGGTTCCCCTGTCACTCAGAATGAAAGCTCAGTTCATTAAAATGAGCCAGAAAGCCCTACATGATCTGAACACCGTTATCTCTGACCTCATCCTCTACTCTCTCTTGCCATTCCAGCCATACTCAACTCCTCATTCTTTGGGCATAGCAAGCCTGCTCCAAGCTCAGAGCCTTTGGCTTTTCTGCTGTCTCTGCCCAGGATCCTCTTTCCTCTGTTTCTACCTGGCTCACCTTCTTGTCTCCTGCATGTCTTTATTCAATGTCACCTTCTCAGTGAGGCTTTCGCAGGCCATATTTACAACTGTAGTCCCCACACTCAAAGCTTCATATCCTCTTCTTGGCTTTATTTTTCTGAAATGCCTTACAGCTTCCCAGGCAGTCCATATTCTGCCAAGAAGTAGAAAAGAATTAAATTGTTCCTAAAAATAGACACTGAATCTCCCTTAGTCTTCTGCTGCCTTTTCATGGAAAGTATGCAAAACTTATGAGGCTTGACTTTTTCTTCATTTCCCTGAAAATCAGGCACTAAATCCAGAGCAACAGGCTGGAATTAAAGATATTGATTTGCTTAAATGAAGCACATTCTCTGACACCTAGTTTAAAAGAGAAAAATCTCTCTCGATGCTGTCAAGAAACTCTACATTTTGCAGCCTTGAAACAAATGCCAGGAGAATGTCGTTCTTTTGACTTTATTCCCTCTGTAATATTTTTATTGTATTTTAATTTACCCTTTTGTTACCTAAGAGAAGCAGAAAAAAAAATCGAACAAAAGTACTACCATGGCTTGGGATAAACTGAAAAGTCAGTCTCTCTCTCTCTCTCTCTGTCACACACACACACACACACACACACACACACACACACATTTCTGACATGATCCTATTTACAAGTTTATTTCTCTCTTCTTTCTGACTTGGAGACATCAACAGTCTGGCCTGGGAAGTGTGTCAACAAATGCTGAGATCCTGCCTAGGTAGTGGCAAATTCAAGAACGAAGTTCTGACAATATTGCTGTTCCCAGCTTCATTTATGCAAGAACATTTTGGGTTATATATTGCTTAAAAGGCTTGGCAATCATACATTCATAATCACTGCAAACAGGCCAGCTGACTGGCCACTCCTGTCCCATCATCATCATCCAGGCTCCTCCTTCTCTGTTTTCCACACTCACTACCTTTTGATTCATTAAGGAACACAATGACTTGAGAAGATTTGTCTCTAAAAATTCTCATCTGGCATTTTACATGACTGACCAGAACATTTTTCTCCTGCTATCTATAAATATATCTCCTCAGGGGCTAACTGCTCTCTGAGATGATAATAATTAGTGTAATAATCCAGTGCTTGTTGAGACCTCAGTATGTCCTATAATGGGAGCCTCCTAACTAATCTTTCTGTTTCTAAACTTACCTCCTTAGGTCAACTAAAAATGCCTTTTTAAAAAGATAAATGGAGGGAGGTTCCAAGATGGCCAAATAGGAAAAACTCCGGTCTACAACTCCCAGCATGAGCGACACAGAAGACAGGTGATTTCTGCATTTCCAACTGAGGTACCAGGTTCATCTCCCTGGGGCTTGTCGGACAGTGGGTGCAGCCCATGGAGCATGAGCCGAAGCAGGGTGGGGCATCGCTTCACCCAGGAAGTGGAAGGGGTCGGGGATTTCCCTTTCCTAGCCAAGGGAAGCCGTGACAGACAGTACCTGGAAAATTGGGGCAATCCCACCCTAATATTGTGCTTTTCGAATGGTCTTAGCAAACAGCACACCAGGAGATATATCCCGTGCCTGGCTCAGAGGGTCCCATGCCCACAGAGCCTCGCTCACTGCTAGTACAGAAGTCTGAGATCAAACTGCAAGGTGGCAGTGAGGCTGGGGGAGGGGCATCTGCCATTGTGGAGGCTTGAGTAGGTAAACAAAGTGGCCAGGAAGCTCAAACTGTGTGGAGCCCACAGCAGCTCAAGGAGGCCTGCCTGCTCTGTAGACTCCATCTCTGGGGGCATAGCTGAACAAAAGGCAGCAGAAACTTCTGCAGACTTAAATGTCCCTGTCTGACAGCTTTGAAAAGAGTAGTGGCTCTCCCAGCACAGAGTTTGAGATCTGAGAATGGATAGACTGCCTCCTCAAGAGGGTCCCTGATCCCCAAGTAGCCTAACTAGGAGGCACCTCCCAGAAGGGGCCAACTGACACCTCATACAGCCTGGTGTCCCTCTGAGATGAAGCTACCAGAGGGAGGATCAGGCAGCAACATTTCCCATTCTGCAATATTTGCCATTCTGCAGCCTCCACTGGTGATACCCAGGCAAACAGGGTCTGGAGTGGAACTCCAGCAAACTCCAACAGACCTGCAGCTGAGAGTCTTGACTGTTAGAAGGAAAACTAACAAACAGAAAGGACATCCACACCAAAGTCCCACCTGCACGTCACCATCATCAAAGACCAAAGGTAGATAAAACCACAAAGATGGGGAGAAACAAGAGCAGAAAAGCTGAAAATTCTAAAAATCAGAGCGCCTCTTCTCCTCTAAAGGAATGCAGCTCCTTGCCAGCAACGGAACAAAGCCGGACAGAGAATGACTTTGATGAGTTGAGAGAAGAAGGCTTCAGATGATCAGTAATAACAAACTTCTCCGAGCTAAAGGAGGATGTTCGAACCCATCACAAAGAAGCCAAAAGCCTTGAAAAAAGATTAGATGAATGGCTAATTAGAATAAACAGCATAGAAAAGACCTTCAATGAACTGATGGAGCTGAAAACCATGGCACGAGAACTACGTGATGCATGCACAAGCTTCAGTAGCTGATTCGATCAAGTGGAAGAAAAGGTATCAGTGATTGAAGATCAAATGAATGAAATGAAGCCAGAAGAGAAGTTTAGAAAAAAAAAGAGTAAAAAGAAAGGAACAAAGCCTCCAAGAAATAAGGAACTATGTGAAAAGACCAAATCTATATCTGAATGGTGTACCTGAAAATGACAAGGAGAATGGAACCAAGTTGGAAAACACTCTTCAGGATATTATCCAGGAGAACTTCCCCAACCTAGCAAGGCAGGCCAATATTCAAATTCATGAAATACAGAGAATTCCGCAAAGATACTCCTTGAGATGAGCAACTCCAAGACACATAATTGTCAAATTCACCACAGTTGAAATGAAGGAAAAAATGTTAAGGGCAGCCAGAAAGAAAGGTCTGGTTACCCACAAAGGGAAGCCCATCAGACTAACAGCAGATCTCTCAGCAGAAACTCTACAAGCCAGAATAGAGTGGGGGCCTATATTCAGAATTCTTAAAGAAAAGAATTTTCAACCCAGAATTTCACATCCAGTCAAGCTAAGCTTCATAAGTGAAGGAGAAATAAAATCCTTTACAGACAAGCAAATGCTGAGAGATTTTGTCGCCACTAGGCCTGCCCTACAAGAGCTCCTGAAGGAAGCACTAAACATGGAAAGGAACAACAAGTACCAGCCACTGGAAAAACACGCCAAATTGTAAAAACCATCGATGCTAGGAAGAAACCGCATCAACTAACGAGCAAAATAACCAGCTAACATCATAATGACAGGATCAAATTCACACGTAACAATACCAACCTTAAATTTAAATGGGCTAAATGCTCCAATTAAAAGACACAGACTGGCAAATTGGATAAAGAGTCAAGACCCATCAGTATGCTGTATTCAGGAGACCCATCTCACATGCAGAGACACACATAGGCTCAAAATAAAGGGATGGAGGAAGATCTACCAAGCAAATGGAAAACAAAAAAAAGCAGGGATTGCAATCCTAGTCTCTGATAAAACAGACTGTAAACCAACAAAGATCAAAAGAGACAAAAAAGGCCATTACATAAAGGTAAAGGGCTCAATTCAACATGAAGAGCTAACTATCCTAAATATATATGCACCCAATACAGGAGCATCCAGATTCATAAAGCAAGTCCTTAGAGACCTTCAAAGAGACTTAGACTCCCACACAATAATAATGGGAGACTTTAACACCCCACTGTCAACATTAGACAGATCAACGAGACAGAAGGTTAACAAGGATATTCAGGAATTGAACTCAGCTCTGCATCAAGCAGACCTAATAGACATCTACAGAATT
Organism: Homo sapiens; assembly: GCF_000001405.40. NCBI lineage: Eukaryota > Metazoa > Chordata > Mammalia > Primates > Hominidae > Homo > Homo sapiens. Next base: position 49,230,743 of record NC_000016.10, read on the forward strand.
CTCCACCCCAAATCAACAGAATGTACATTCTTTTCAGCACCACATTGCACTTACTCCAAAATTGACCACATAGTTTGAAGTAAAGCACTCCTCAGCAAATGTAAAAGAACAGAAATTATAACAAACTGTCTCTCAAACCACAGCGCAATCAAACTAGAACTCAGGGTTAAGAAGCTCACTCAAAACTTCTCAGCTACATGGAAACTGAACAACCTGCTCCTGAATGACTACTGGGTACATAATGAAACGAAGGTAGAAATAAAGGTGTTCTTTGAAACCAATGAGAACAAAGACACAACATATCAGAATCTCTGGGACACATTTAAAGCAGTGTGTAGAGGGAAATTTATAGCACTAAATACCCACAAGAGAAAGCAGCAAAGATCTAAAATTGACACCCTAACATCACAATTAAAAGAACTAGAGAAGCAGGAGCAAACATATTCAAAAGCTAGCAGAAGGGAAGAAATTACTAAGATCAGAGCAGAACTGAAGGAGATAGAGACACAAAAAACCCTTCAAAAAATCAATGAATCCAGGAGCTGGTTTTTTGAAAAGATCAACAAAATTAATAGACCGCTAGCAAGGCTAATAAAGAAGAAAAGAGAGAAGAATCAAATAGACACAATAAAAAATGATAAAGGGGATATCACCACCAATCCCACACAAATACAAACTACCATCAGAGAATATTATAAACACCTCTACACAAATAAACTAGAAAATCTAGAAGAAATGGATGAATTCCTGCACACATACGCCCTCCCAAGACTAAACCAGGAAGAATTTGAATCCCTGAATAGACCAATAACAGGCTCTGAAATTGAGGCAATAATTAATAGCCTACCAACCAAAAAAGTCCAGGACCAGATGGATTCACAGCTGAATTCTATCAGAGGTACAAACAAGAGCTGGTACCATTCCTTCTGAAACTATTCCAATCAGTAGAAAAAGAGGGAATCCTCCCTAACTCATTTTATGAGGCCAAAATCATCCTGATACCAATGCCTGGCAGACACACCACACAAAAAACAAAATTTTAGGCCAATATCCCTGATGAACATCAATGCAAAAATCCTCAATAAAATACCGGCAAACCGAATCCAGCAGCACATCAAAAAGCTTATCCACCACGATCAAATTGGCTTCATCCCTGGGATGCAAGGCTGGTTCAACACACACAAATCAATAAACGTAATCCATGATATAAACAGAACCAAAGACAAAAACCACATGTTTATCTCAATAGCTGCAGTAAAGGCCTTTGACAAGATTCAACAGCCCTTCATGCTAAAAACTCTCAATAAACGAGGTATTGATGGGACGTATCTCAAAATAATAAGAGCTATTTATGACAAACCCACAGCCAATATCATACTGAATGGGCAAAAACTGGAAGCATTCCCTTTGAAAACTGGCACAAGACAGGCATGCCCTCTCTCACCACTCCTATTCAACATAGTGTTGGAAGTTATGGCCAGGGCAATCAGGCAGGAGAAGGAAATAAAGGGTATTCAATTAGGAAAAGAGGAAGTCAAATTGTCCCTGTTTGCAGATGACATGATTGTATATTTAGAAAACCCCATCATCTCAGCCCAAAATCTCCTTAAGCTGATAAGCAACTTCAGCAAAGTCTCAGGATACAAAATCAATGTGTAAAAATCACAAGCATTCCTCTACACCAATAATAAGCAAACAGAGAGCCAAATCATGAGTGAACTCTCATTCACAATTGCTTCAAAGGGAATAAAAAACCTAGGAATCCAACTTACAAGGGATGTGAAGGACTTTTTCAAGAAGAACTACAAACCACTGCTCAACAAAATAAAAGAGGACACAAACAAATGGAAGAATGTTCCATGCTTATGGATAGGAAGAATCAATATTGTGAAAATGGCCATACTGCCCAAGGTAATTTATAGATTCACTGCCATCCCCATCAAGCTACCAATGTCTTTCTTCACTGAATTGGAAAAAAACAACTTTAAAGTTCATATGGAACCAAAAAAGAGCCTGCATTGCCAAGACAATCCTAAGCCAAAAGAACAAAGCTGGAGGCATCATGCTACCTGACTTCAAACTGCACTACAAGGCTACAGTAACCAAAACAGCAAGGTACTGGTACCAAAGCAGAGATATAGACCAATGGAACAGAACAGAGCCCTCAGAAATAATAACACACATCCACAACCATCTGATCTTTGACAAACCTGACAAAAACAAGAAATGGGGAAAGGATTCCCTATTTAATAAATGGTGCTGAGAAAACTGGCTAGCCATATGTAGAAAGCTGAAACTGGATCCTTTCCTTACACATTATACAAAAATTAATTCAAGATGGATTAAAGACTTAAATGTTAGACCTAAAACCATAAAAACCCTAGAAGAAAACCTAGGCAATACCATTCAGGACATAGACATGGGCAAGGACTTCATGTTTAAAACACCAAAAGCAATGGCAACAAAAGCCAAAATTGACAAATGGGATCTAATTAAACTAAAGAGCTTCTACACAGCAAAAGAAACTACCATCAGAATGAACAGGCAACCTACAGAATGGGAGAAAATTTTTACAATCTACCCATCTGACAAAGGGCTAATATCCAGCATCTACAAATAACTTAAACAAATGTACAAGAAAAAATCAAACAACCCCATCAAAAAGTGGGCAAAGGATATAAACAGACACTTTTCAAAAGAAGACATTTATGCAGCCAACAGACACATGAAAAAATGCTCATCATCACTGGCCATCAGAGAAATGCAAATCAAAACCACAATGAGATACCATCTCACACCAGTTAGAATGGTGATTATTAAAAAGTCAGGAAACAACAGGTGCTGGAGAGGATGTGGAGAAATAGGAACACTTCTACACTGTTGGTGGGACAGTAAACTAGTTCAACCATTGTGGAAGATAGTGTGGTGATTCCTCAAGGATCTTGAACTAGAAATACCATTTGACCCAGCTATCCCATTACTGGTATATAACCAAAGGATTATAAATCATGCTGCTATGAAGACACATGCACTCATATGTTTATTGTGGCACTATTCACAATAGCAAAGACTTGGAACCAACCCAAAAGTCCATCAATGATAGACTGGATTAAGAAAATGTAGCACATATACACCATGGAATACTATGCAGCCATGAAAAAGGATGAGCTCATGTCCTTTCTAGGTACATGGATGAAGCTGGAAACCATCATTCTGAGCGAGCTATCACAAGGACAGAAAACCAAACACCACATGTTCTCACTCATAGGTGGGAATTGAACAATGAGAACACTTGGACACAGGGTGGGGAACATCACACACTGGGGCCTGTCATGGGGTGTGGGGAGGGGAGAGGGAGAGCATTAGGAGATACACCTAATGTAAATGATGAGTTAATGGATGAAGCACACCAACATGGCACATGTATACATATGTAACAAACCTGCACGTTGCACTCGTGTACCCTAAAACTTAAAGTATAACAAAAAAAGAAAGATAAAAAAAGATAAGTCAGGCTGGACATGGTGGCTCGTCTCTGTAATCCCAGTGCTTTGGGAGGCCTAGGCAGGAGGATCACTTGAGGCCCGGTGTTTGAGACCAGCCTGGGCAACATAGCAAGACCCATCTCTACAAAAAAAATTAAAAATTAACAGGGCATGGTGGCAGGCATCCCAGCTACTTGGCAGGCTGAGGTAGGGGAATTGCTTGAGCCTGGAAGTTTGAGGTTCCAGTGAGATGTGATTGCACCTCTGTACTCCGGCCTGGGTGACAGAGTGAAACTCTGCCCTAAACATAAAAATAAAAACAAATAAATCAGAGGTTCTCATTCTCTTGTTTAGAACCCTATAGTAGATTCCTATTGAGATTAGAACAAAATTCAAATTCTGTAGCCTGTGTCTTCAGGTACTGCAAGATGTTCTTTGTCTTCCTTTCAACTTCATATCCCACTTGTCTTAGTTCATTCCAGCTACTGTAACAAAAATACCAGAAATTAGGTGGCTTATTAAAAAAGGAAACTATTATAGTTCTAGAGGCAGGGAAGCCCACAATCAAGGCACTTGTTGGTTCCGTTTTTGGTGAGGGCCTATACCTCATGGATGGTGCCTTCTAGCTGCGTCCTCACATGGCCAAAAGGGCAGGCAGACTCTCTCCTATATAACAGCATCCATCTCATGGATGATGGCTCCACTCTCATGACCTAATCCCCTCCTAAAGGACCCATCTTTAATACTACTGCATTGGGGATTAGGTTTCAACCTATGAAATTTTGAGGGGACACAAAGATTCAGACCATAGCACCACCTCCTTTCTCCTCATTTTTTATGCTCCTGCCATATTGGTCTTCTTCCTGCTCTTCCACAAGCCAAGCTTATTCCTGCCCCAAGAGTTTTGCACTACTGTTACCTTTACCTAAAATCTCCCAAATGCCTGCAAATAATTCAGGTCTCATACATTCTCTTTAGGAGACTTTCATGACCACCCAAGCCTCTTACCACTCCTGGGAGTTACCTTCTACTCTGTTACTTTTTGCAGGACTTATCCCAAGCAACAATTCTCTTTATTGATTTGCTTATCTGTTTTCTTTATTTGTAATATGGGATAATAATAGCACCCAGTTTATTGGGTTTAATGAGGAATAAGATAACAAAATTAAAGTACTTAGCCCAAGTATCTGTCTATATAATAAGTGAGCAAAAACCAGCAGTTATTGCTGCTATCATCATCATCTCCTTCAAGTAAAGTAAAAGGTATAGGGGTTGGGAGAAATAAAATAATCTCTCTGGCTTTTCCAAGCCTTGATTCTGTGATTCTAGAATTTCTCCAGACCAGCCAATCTCTCGACCTCTACTTGGGGCTGAGACAGTGCCCTCTAGAATCCTGCAGATTTGCCACCTTGAGCCCTCCTTTTCAGAGACCAGAGCCAGCCACCTGTCCCTGAAAACTCAATGCTTTCCTTAAAACTGCCCCGCAGAAACACAGACATGGGCATACACACTCACAGGCTCACACCTGCTCTTGGAATCCTGCTTAGCTTTCAAAGGAAGGAAAAAAGTTGTTCATGTTGATATTGATGTTGCTCTTTATCAAATTGTGGCAGTTTATGTTACAGCCCCCGCATGCTCCCCCAGATCCCTGCCTACAGAAAACACACTCAGTTTTATTTTTTCTTCCTCACTACCAATTGGACAGACTTTGAGAACCCTTTTAGGACATTTTGGGGTATTGTTTCCCAGCATATGTGGGCAGCATTACTATTTCCACCCCCTAAGGACTACTTAACAACATCAGCAAAGCAATTAAGCCCAGTTTTCAGGAAGATGCCAGCGGCTCTGCAGTGTCTGGATGGGAGTCTCAGCCCAATTATTTCCAGCTAGTTGTGAACTGTGGAAAAGTGGACTTTACTTCATTAAACTTCAGTTCCCACTGATTAAAAGTCGGGTATGTTGGAGACAGTAAGGAAAAATGAAACAATTAAACTTGTCATCAATAAAATTGCTGCATATTCCTCAACACAGGGTTTTACTTCTCTCCAGAGGAGTGATTAAAATGAACTGATTGAACTATAATTTGACTGACTAGAGAGACTCCATCCATTGCATTGAAACGGAACTTCCACTTATGGCTCTTTTTGGCTTGGAACGTAAAACCCTCCTGCAGGCCTACCAGGGCCCAGTGACAGATGCTCTGAATCCATCAGGTGCTGGCCCTGCCCAGAGATGTGTTGAGGTACTGTCGTGGGCAGAATAACACCTCCACCAAGATATCCATGCCCTCGCCCCAGAACCTGTGAATATACTAGGGGACTAAGCCTTGATTCTGTGATTCTAGAATTTCTCCCATGGCAAAGGGGACTTTGCAAATGTGATTCATGTTACCAACCTTGACAATGGGAGAGTATCCAGAATCAGTCAGGTGGACCCAATATAATCACATAGATTCTTAAAATCAGAGAGCTTTTCCCAGCTGGCTCAAAGGGTGATATGACTGCAGAAAAGTCAGAGATTCAACGTTGCCGGCTATGAAGATGGAGGAGGGGGGTGGCTGCTAGGAGCTTGAAAAGGCAAGGAAACGGATTTTCCACTAGATCTTCAGAAAGAAATGCAGCCCTGGCAAAGCCTTGCTTTTAGCACAGTGAGACCATGCCAAACTTTAGCTAACCTACAGATTGAAAGAAAATAAATCTATGTTGCTTTAAGCCACTAGGTTGGAGGTAATTTCTTACAGCAGCCCTAGAAGGCAAATTCAGAGTTCCAGGTGTGCTTGGAAAAGACAGGCAAGCACTGGAATCTCCACACTCCAGAGGCCGAGAGCTGGAACCAGATAGGGGAATGGAGAGACGGTGTGATACAGGGCAAAGGGCAAGCATTTGGGAGGAGGGCAGACAGGGGGACACTCCTCATGCCCCTAGCATGCTGTGAAGGAACCCAGGGTCTGAAGGAGATTTTATTTCATTTTTTAGCCAAGACTCTGCACACAATAGGTGATCAATAAATGCTGAGTGATTGAAAGGTGAATGAAAAATATGTTAAAAGAATGACTAAATGAAAAAATATGTAAATTAAATGAATGTTAAATGAATAAAATTATCATATCCAAGTTTATTAGTGTGAACACTTTGACATTGGGTTAGGAAACTACATGTTTTTGACAGGGCAGAATTTCATGGAAATGAAGAAGGATGAGAAGGAGGCAAAGTATAGGCCCACTTTCAATTTCCATGATGCCTCTGGGTGCTTTGAGCCCATTTCTAGGGCTTGTCTGAGATTTGTACCTAGATTTGGGGCCAGAATATGAGTTGGGACTTACCATATGTCTTAGTCTGTTCAGGCTGCCATAACAAAATATCATAGACAGGGTGGCTTAAACAATAGAAATGTATTTCTCATAGTTCTGGAGCCTGGGAAGTCCAAGATGAAGGCACCCACTGATTCAGTTCCTGATGAGAGCTATCCTCCTGGCTGCAGACCACTGACCTCTCACTGGTCCTCATGTGGCCTTTGTGCATGTATGCCAATATCTCTCTCTCCCCCCTTCTTAAGGGCCACTAATCCCATCATGAGGGTCACACCCCCATGACCTAGTTTAACCCTGATTACCTTCCAAAGGCCTCATCTCCAAGTAGCATCACACTGGGTATTAGGGATTTATCATATTAATTTTGGAAAGACACAAACATTCAGTCCTAACACCACAGCAGCTGTGTAACCCTGGCTGAATCACTCAACCTTGGTGACTTCCATCAACTCATCTGAAAGTTGGGGTTTGGGATACAAGTAATAGGCAGTACTTAACGAGTGCCTGTCATGTCCTAGGCTCTGTGCTAAGTGCTCTTTGGGCATCAAACCTCTTAACACTCCCAAACACTCTGTACAGACTGAGATCATGTCCTCATTTCCATTTTATATATGAGGAAGTGTAGGCTTAGAAAAACAAAATGACTTGTCCAAGATCACAGCCACACAGCCAAAATTTGGACTCAACTCTATCTGAGTCCAGAACTGGGATTCTTAACTGGGTATGCAGAAATATTATGGTTGATGCTGGTGTCATGATTCCTTGAAAGTTCTTCAGTGGTGGAAACATTCTAGGGAATTAGACAAAGGCAGTTTAAGCCATGTGAACCTTCTTGCTTAATAAGAGTTCAAAGGAAGCTCTGAAATATCTATAAATGAATAACAAAGGTGTGTGTATGTGTGGTTACTTGTGTATATTTGCAGACATTGTGCAGAAACTATCATTGTGCAGCAGAAATGTTACAGGTAGAACAAAGCCCTGTACAAGGCCTGCCATTCACAAAGCATCCAATAACAATTTATGCCTGCTGCCATTTTCCACTGCAAGAGAAATGTGATTTCTGTATGTCAGGCGACAGTGTTTAAAAGGCCTCCAGTGATTCATATTTCAATGTATATTTACTCCACTCTGGCAAACAGCCTATGCGGTGCCTCTCCACTGCCTTCTTCCTAGCAACCAAGGCCTTTTGTCGTCACAGCCTCAAATGGGCTCATGGTCGCTTTGTGTGTGGGACTCAGGTTCCTGACACCAAACCTGTCTCTCCTCTCCAGCTGACTGCATTGAAAGATGAATCAATGTGGCCACTATCTTGGGAATGAGTTCAGTGTCAAAGGCCCATGTGAATCTTGTTTATGACAGTCCTCCGGCACAACCCAATGCATCCTGTTGCTCAGAAGTAAGGACCTTGGGTAAGACACCTGGTGTTGAGACTGAACAGAAATTGTGCTGTTCCTCTCCTTTGAGGCTGGATCCCTCCCCCTGGCCTTTGCACAAGCCTCCAAGGGGCCCATACACTTGATTCCCATGATGGAAGGGAAAGGAGGAAGGGAGAAGGGGAAAGGAAACTTGAACTTCCTGGGCGTCATCTGACTCTGCAGACAGATCTTCTCCCATCTTTACAGATAACATCTTTCCCTAGGCTTTCAAAGAGCACCTCTTTGCCAATGACTGCCAAGTCAGGCTTCGCCAAAATGGCTTCACCAAAGTCTAGACTCAAATAGCCAATACCTAATAGCTATCTCCACCTGCATGTCTTACAGACATCTCAAACTCTACATGTCCACCTGTTTGCTCTCCCATGGGCATATACACGTGTTCTTAGTTTAGTCTTACCCACCTCAGTAAATAGAACAAAGATTCAAACCCAAGGCTGTTCCTCTCTCATGTTTCCAGAATTCCTGTGCCTTCTCTCTCCACCCTGACATGCAACCCATCAGCAAATCTGGATGACCCATCTTCCCAAGTATACCTCAAGTCTGCCCACCTCCCTCTGTTCCTACTATCACTATCATCTCTGAAATACCACAAAATCCTCTTGATTTGTCTCCCTATAGCTACTCTTGCTCCTCTTCCAAATTAGTCACCTCACAATATCAGGAGTAATTTTTTTAAATGAAGAAATTGGATCACATCACTCTGCTTTTAAAATACTTACATGCCTTCCCTTTGCACTTAATATAAACCTAGGCCAGATGCAGTGGCTCACAACTGTAATCCTAGTGCTTTGGGAGGCCTAGACAGGAGGATCACTTAAAGCCAGGAGTTAGAAACCATCCTGGGCAAAATAGCGAGACCCCACCTCTACAAAAAAATAAAAAAATAAATAGCCAGGCATGGTGGTGCACACCTGGCGTCCTAGCTACACAGGAGGCTGAAGTGGGAGAATTGCTTGAGCCCACGAGTTCAAGGCTGCAGTGAGCTATGATGGCACCATTGCCCTCCAGCCTGGGTGACAAAGCAAGACCTTGTCTCTAAAAATCAAACCAGCAAACAAATGAAAAAAACCTAAACTTCTTTCCTTGGGCTTCAATGCCCAGCATGATCTAACCCCTGCCTCCTTCTGCAACTTTATCTCATGTCTCACTTCCCTTCATTTACTATTGGTTTAGTCACCCTGAGCTCCTCTTGGTTGCCCACGTATGTGAGTTCTTTAATACCTCATGGCCTTAGTACATGTGGTTCCATCTGCCTAGAAAGCTCTCACTCCTGCATTTCCCATGACTGTTTATTTTTTTCCCTCCAGCCTCAGAAACCTAGACTTATCACTCATCTGTATAGTCTATTCACCTTCTCACCCACCATCTTCTGTCACTTTACATGATTCATCTTTATAGTACTTGTAACAAATTGTTTCTATCTTTTATTTTCTTATCTATTATTGTCTATCTTCTTCTGTAGCCTGAAAGTTCTAAGCAAGCTTGTTTCATCCCTGAAACAGAATCAATGCTCTGTGACTATTTAATTAGTCACCGTACAAACGAATGAGTGACCTGCCCAAGATCCCACAGCTGACAAGTAATAGAACAAAGATTCCAACTCAGGGCTGTTCCTCTCCAACACCCATGTCTTTAAGGTTGAATCATGGTTTTTGACCTCCAGGCTGGTCCTTGGCAGAGTTTTACATCTCCCTCTCTTACCCCGTGATGCTGGGAGTCTAGTGTTGCTATGCTGCCATTCCCCCCAAAGGTTTCAGTGGAAAAGGCAATCCTCTAACCGAGGAATCAGAGGAAGAATTTCAGGAACCCAATAAGAGGAAATGTGGGGAGATTCAATGTACCTTCCAGGCAGCTTTCTGGTCTACCTGTGTTTTAAATTGGCCCCCTCTAGGACACATACTCTGCCTCTGTGTATGGCATTGGAAAGTACAGCCAACCACTCCCTGAAAACCTTTCCACTCATCTATGTGTCCTCAGAGACTGAGTCCCAAGTGTGTGAGACTATGAAGGCTTTCAGACCCTTTCTGGTGGTCTAGGGGGGTTGTTATAAATACTTTATATATCCCATGTCATATGCCCACTCAGTTTCTATGCCGCTATCAAGGAACCACTGAGCACACAGCCAGCATCCTACCTCAAATATGTTGCAGCTTCTCTCCCTTTCTTTCTATGCCAAGATGCTTTCCACAGCCAAGCAGGTCCTTCAGCTGTTAGCAGTTGTAGCCTGAAAGTGCGTGCTAGACAGTAGCCCCAAAGGAGGTCCTCAACCAATGGGAGTGAAAGTCAGTGGCTACGCTTTAGCTTCCTGTTCTGCAGAGGGACAATTCTGCAGTGCATTCTACACAGTTCTTGAGGAGACCCAGCCGCCCACTGTGGCAGCCCACTCAGTGAAACACCTTTTACTGGCTTTTTCTCTTTCCCTAGCTCACTCTCCCTGCTTCCTCACTTTGCCCATTCAGGTCACCCACAATTAAATGACTTACACCTGCATTAGTCCCTTTTCACACTGCTGATAAAGACATACCCAAGACTGGGCAATTTACAAAAGAAAGAGGTTTAATGGACTTACAGTTGCACGTGGATGGAGAAGTCTCACAATCGTGGCAGAAGGCAAGGAGGAGCAAGTCACATCTTACGTGGATGGCAGCAGGCAAAGAGAGAGCTCCTGCAGGGAAACTCCCATTTTTGAAACCATCAGATCTCATGAGACTCATTCACTATCATGAAAAGAGGGCAGAAAAGACCTGCCCCCATAATTCAATCACTGCCCACTGGGTTCCTCCCACAACACGTGGGAATTGTGGGAGTTACAATTCAAGATGAGATTTGGGTGGGGACACAGCCAAACCATATCACGCCCAATTCTGTGTCTCAGGCGCTTCATTCAGTGGAAGGCAAATTAAGAAAGGCTGAAGCCCACTATAGTTGGTCACCACCCAGAAAACTGTACAGGGTTTGTTGGGAACTCAGGCTGCAAAGAAAAAAAAGCCAAGTATTGGCACTGGTTAGTGCCCCAGAATAAGTAAGTTTGCAAGTACAATTCATTGCAATGAGAGGAAACCTTTCCACCTGAGGCAGTCCTTGGCCCTAGACCATCAGCGAGCTTGAAATTCTGAGGTCATCACACTCTGCTCTAAAACTTTGCATAACTTCCTTGTCCCTTACCCTGGCTCTTAGGCCTTTTATGGTCTGGCTCTGCCTAACTTACAGCCTCGCTGTTCTTCCTACAGGGATTCCTTCTAACTTCTCCACTCCCCATGCTCCAGCGGGACACCAGCACTTCCCCAACTCAGGGCCTTTGCTTTTTATGTCACCAAATAAGGCCAAACTTCATGGTCATTAACTTGTGCCGTTACATCAGGCTCCACCTTTGGAAGGGCCCTGTGCTTGGTTGAATGTTCTGCTTTTGCCATTTAAAAATTCTTAACTATTTATTAAACAAGGGGTTCTGCATTTTACTTTGCACTGGGCACTGCAAATGATGTCCTGCTTCTGGAGTACGTAGAATGAGATCTGGCTTTCAAATAATAGTAATTTACCATACAGGATTATCAAGAAATTTTTATCTCTCTTATTAGGACATAATCTCACTTTTTCATCCCTTATCTCTACACCAAAACATTTTTTTAAATCAAAAGTGGATTATTTGAAAGAAGGAGAAAATTGTTTCAAAGTTGTCAATCTACCAATTTCCTTAGTGAATTTTGGGCCAAGGGCAGAGTTCATTCCCAGGGGTGTCACGTATTCTCACGTGCACATTAAATATTGTCTAAAGGTGGAGGTTCCATCTGTGAGTTTCAAGGAAGGGAATTCCACGAGTGTTCTTTCATACTTCCTTTGTTGAATCTCAACATCTTATTCTAGTATTTTGCAGGTCTTTAAATACCCATGGTTTATTTATGAACTGAGGGTTATTAACTGTTTGAAACTTCATTAAGTCCTTCCCTGGGGACAGTCTGGGCTGAGGTCCTTTTAGATGATCCCTCCCCAAATATCTGTCTAATTTAGATTTAATAGAACAGTTTATTGTATGTTGATAAAATAATAATGAATTAATAAAGCCTTCACTGAGACTTAGGTAACAGATATATAATCTATCATTGTTAAAGTGCCATGCAAATGTTTTTAATAATCAGCATTTAATATGCAGCAACCCAGACGTAAATCCAGCCTAAACACACATTTGGAAACTCATTTTAAGCAGCTCGTGAGTTTCTTGGAGATGGGAAAACCTTAAGGCTGACTGTACAGCAGGCCATCTGGTGTCCTTGAGCCCCTTAAAACCTGGTAGTGATCCTGGGACCACAGGAGAGGCAGAGAGTCCATTGCTGGAAGATGCCCCTGGCTTCCTCTCCCCAAGCTTGGAGTTTGTGGATTCTTGCTGCTCTGTCATGCACTTTAAGATGTTCCACCCATAAAACGCATCAAGGACACTTTTAACCGGGAGATTCAGAACCCATGATTATTTATAACATGACAAGGAGTGCTACCGCAGAGCTTCCCAGGGCAGTAAGTAGGATCTATAGAGGGTCAATCTATATGTATATGATAACTAAGTCTTACCTGCTTTTCACTTCTCCCAATCTCAGACTTGCTCTCTGGCTGGAGTTTTCCAGAAAGGGGGATCTACACCAAATATTTAACCAAGATATTACAAAAAAAGTCATCTTTTATCCCCCCATTTACTGCATCTTATCCTTAAAAGAATATCGATACATGGGCAGCTGACACTTGTGGTCATCTTAGATTTGGGCAAAAGGTCACATGTCAGGTTGGAGTTTTTATTACCTTAGACAAGTACCTAAGAGAGGTGAAGGCAAGTTGTCATGTTGAATCCATTCAGGAGGGCTTCTGTTCCCACATCTCAAGAAAGTTGGCTCTACTCACAGATAGAGACCCATTGTACAACCAAACTATCTCCACCAATGATCAGTCTTGGCCACAGGCTTCCACCATCATCACACTTCTTTAGGATTAACTGTAAATCAGAAGTTGGTTAAGTGAGAAAAGTACTGGGTTTGAAACCACAAGACTTGAGTTCAAGGCCAATATACCACTCACTAGCCTTGTAACCTGGGCAGATTACATGTCCCTTCTTTGAGCCTAAAGAGATATTAACTTGAAGTGCACTTACAACTTCTGTGGTCTGTCCTGGGGAAGTGAGACATTTAATGTCATTAGTAGCCACACTCACCTTATCACTGATTAATTTGCTCGATATGGAAACAGCTTGGGAAGCAGAGAGCAGGTCAGTAAGAAATTGGCAAGCAACCACAGACAATTATGATGAAGATGAAATATTGGGGTCTGCAGTGGCACTGGTTAGACAAGTTCTAAATGCAGCAGTGGCCCCTGTAAGAAGCTCCAGGTGTTGATGGATGCAGTGTGGACACCTTCAGAGCAAAGAGAAGAATGAGGATGGAAGGGAAGAAAGGCAAAAAACAAAAACTTTGCTGGTTTGACCTTTCAACCAGAAACGACCTCTGGTCACTGGGAAAAAGAAATCTCAGAGCTGTGTGGCTCATCCCGGAGGAGCTTCATGCCTAAGGGCACAGCCAGAGCTCTCCTGCCTGCCATCCAATCCTGGCAAGTTACTTGTACTCACTGTGCCTTCGTGTCTTCTTCTGGAAATTGGGACTAATAATCCACCAGAAGCTGTTGGAATCAAATGGGTGCATACATGTAAAACTTGGCTCAATGTGGGTATGCTATCACTAGGATTCCCCCATCCCCACCCCTGGGCTCCTAGTTCATAGGGAGAGGGAAGCCTGGTTCCCCTGCTGATATTTGGATATTTGTTTCTTCCAACACCCATGCTGAAATGGGATCCCAGTGCTGAAGGTGGGCCTAGTGGGAGGTGCTTGGATCATGGGGCTGGATCCCTCATGAATGGCTTGGTGCCCTCCCCAGAGACATGAGTGAGTTCATCGTCAGTTAGTTCATGTGAGAGCTGGTTGTTTAAGAGTCTGGCACCCCCTCCCCTCCCTCTCTTGCTCCTTCTCTCACCATGCGACACACCAGCTTTGCTTGCCTTTGGCCATGAGAGAAGCTTCCTGAGGCCCTCACCAGAAGCCAAGCAGATGCCAGCATCACACTTCTTATACAACCGCAGAACTGCATAAATCTCTTTTCTTTGTAAATTTTCTTTGTAAATTACCCAGTCTCAGGTATTCCTTTATAGCAACACAAAATGGACTAATACACCTGCTCAGTGGTGGCAGCCCTCTTAGCTCTTACCATACCTTCCTGCAGATCCTGCCATCTCCCAGACTGCCAGGCCAGGACCAGTGTCTGGGACAATGGCCTTGGGCAACATAAAAAGGATTTATAGCCTAGCTGGCAACTCAGGCCCCTGCCTCCTGTCATGGAATTTTGTCATCAGAGGCTCTGAAATTCCCAGGAAGAGATTACAGTGTCAGCTCTTAGTCCTGCCACAAGCACCTCCCGCACACTTGTCAGCATTTCCAGATGTGCATATACACAGACACATGTGCACACACAGGTATGTAAGAATACACATAGGAACACATGTTCACAGACATAAGTACCCATATACACATATACAAATCTGTAGAGAGATTCACAGACTAACATGCATGCATATACATGCAGCAAGATATACGTCCATATAGACACATATGTACTTACAGCCTGATGCACATACACCCACAAAAGATAAATATGCACATATATGTGTGCACTAGTAAAATGTCACCTGGCACACTGTCACACTGTCACACACTGTACAGTCATGAACTAGACCACATGTGCAGCACCTTCAAGAAACAGAGAACCTAGGAAGCCCCCAGCCTTGGTTCTAGCTCAAAGTCCACACTACACGGGCCCAGCTTCGTAGCCGTGCTGATGGCCCAGAGCAGAGGGAGGAAGCACGTGAAAGGAGACAGTGCTCTGCTGCTGGGGAGATCCAGCTGTCAGAGACTTAGGCTTGGAAGCCCTGAGACCCCAGGGAAGTCAACTCTAGCAGCCAGTGGCTGTGTTGCCCAGAGGGCTGGACAGGAATTTTTTCTTAAGGCTTTTGGTCCCCAAACCAGCTTTCCTACCAGCTATGAAAAGGAATTTCTGAGCAGCTTCTGGTTGACTGAAGGCAGAACCAGCCAGGAATGTGGCAAGCTTTATCCCGATGGGCTTTACTGAAGAAGAAAATGAAAACCAGGACTCTGGACAGAGTTCACCAGGGGTGAGTGGGTGGGGATGGGTAGGAGGTGAGAGGCAGAAGGAGAAGCAGGACCTAGTCAGGAGGTACTTGTAGGATGTGGGAAGACATGGGAGAGACCAACCTATGGTCTTCTCCAAACAGAAGCCTCTTCCCAGATTAAGCATCAAGATTTGCATTTTAGATAACAATTCTGTATTGCAAATTTCTGCCTATTCCGAAATCCTGTACCTTTCACATCATTTTGTAGATTCGTCATTAACTCCCAGAACTTGTCAGGATGTCATGGCCATTCAGACCGGCCCTTTCATGATGCATGAATCCGTAATCCATGGATCCTCCAGCATACCTTCTGCTTTTTCTATTATAAAGCCCCACTGTGGAATTTCTGTCACATTTCTCTCTGATGCTTGTTGATTATGGCTTACTATTCCCAAATGCCTTCCTTCTGCCCCTCAAATAAGGCTTCCAATCTCAGAACCAGCATCCTCACCTGGCACCTGTTGCCCACCTCAAGATGACAACTTCTGCCTGCTGAAGACCCCAGAACCATGACCAAGACAAATGAAAAGTTCTAAATGGTGGAGAAGATGACCAGTGTTGCTGGCCCCGCTGAAGATTCAGCCTAAAGCAATCTACATTGCATGTTATCTGGAGGGACAAAGGAGAACTAAAGCACCTACAAAGAAACTGCCCACCTTGACTCCCTAGGGCGATTCAGAGAGGATGTCAACTCTCAGGAATTCCCCATGTTGTTTGCTATATTTTGTCTGGGACTATTTAAAAAATCATTTATGGGAGGCTTCCATTCAAATGCACCTGGAACAAGTAGTATATTTACTGTCAGGAGCTATTAGTACAAGGAGAGCTCATGGGACAGATGCATTTTGATGGAGAGCACCCTGAAATATTGGGGATTCTTTGGACCTCTCATTCAACTGGACTACCAGGAATGAGCCAGTTTACATTCCCCTCCTGCCCAACTTCAGATGGGAGTCCTCAGGCAGAAACTAAACAACCCACCAGTTACGAGGCACTTATGTCAGGATTCATGCATCTTGCAAGGGGGGTCTGAATGGCCACAATACCCTCAGCAATTCTGGAGTTTATGAATCTGTGAAACTATGAAAAAGGCACAGGACTTTAGAGTAGGATTTGGTTCTGGATTTTGCAATAGAGAGTTGGTATTTGAGCTGCAAACCCGAGTGCCTAATTTGGAAAGAGGTTTCTGTTTGGAGAAGGCCATAGGACCAAGGGATTAGTTGGCCCCCACAAGGCTTCCCACATCCTACAAGGTCCTCATGACCAGCTCCTGCTTCTCCTGCTTCCCATTTATATGGACCCCACACTCCAGTGTGGAGTGAATTGGGATCTGAGAACACACTCAATGCTCCATTTCCATGACTCTGTATTTGCTGTTCCCTAAGCAAGTGTTCTAATTCTCTTGTTTTTCACCCGCTGGCTCCTACATATCCTTCAATTCTCAGTTTAAGGGGGATCTCTTTGGAGTAGTCTTCTTTGACTCACTTTTCCTAGAGGCTAAGTGTCTTTCCTTGAGCTCCCTGAGTGTACGGTGGGAATTTTTGCTTTCGTCTCAATTTCTCCACTTGACTGTATGAGCTTTATAAGAAGAGAGCATTTAACTTACTTATCTTTATATCCTTGACAGTAGCATGAAGCCTGCATGCAGTCAATGTTTAATAAGTATTAGTTACATGCATGCATGGACTGCGTGAATAAGAGGTACCTGGTGTACCGGTGAGCTTTGGGGCCAGGCTGTCCAGGTTTGTATCCTAGTTCTGCCACTCCTTGATAATTGGACTTTGATAAATGCCCTTATTTTCTCTGCACCTTAGCTTCCTTAGTCTGTAAAAGTGGAATAATAATAGGGCTGTTGTAAGTATTAAGTGAGCTAATATATATGGAATGTTTAAATAGCGGCTAGTCCGTAGTAAGCGCTCAACACGTTAGTCATTATGATTATGTCAAATTAGTCCAAATCCATTCCCATCTGAACGTCATCAGTGATTCTGAAGACTTCTCTTCTAAGTCAATATCAACAGAGAGGAATCAAGAAATGACTCTACTTGCCCTTTGGGTCTTGTAACAATTTCTTCTCTGGTGCCCAAAAACCCTCTATTGAGGCTGAGTGGACTTTATTTACAAGGGCCTAGTTAATCAAGTCCATCTGTAATGTAAATGTGCTTGTCATTATGCTAATACAAGCACTAGACATGCAAATCCATAAGCATTTGCATGCCTAATGCAACTGTTCTTGTCCATCCTGTTCTGTTGCTATTTACCATCCAGTTTTTATGACTTATGGATTTCCAACCCTTTAAATTTATATCAATGCCGTGACATATCTGCAAGCAGTGACAGTTTTATGAGCAGTAAAAAAGCTGCAACACACCACCACTAAATACTAATGACATAAATGGTAGTTGTAATGGCCCCTATTTTTATTACAATACCAAACCTCAATATATTGCAATTACCTCTGCACTCAAACTAGACCAAGCCAAACTGTACAGGAGCCATCCCAGTGGGGGAAAAGAGACCAGCAGCAGAATTTCTGGGTCGAGCCAGTCTATAGCACTGAGAAGCTGAGGTCAGCAACTGTGGCAAAAATTTCCTCTGAGAGGCCACTGGGCCTGCAAATCAGAAGCCTTCATCAGGGAGAGATGTGCCCAAATGCTAAGGTGGTCTCACAAGCCTTAAGTATTACTTAAAGGTGGTTCATAAGTTTTAGCCATCCACTCTCTGCCATCTCCATGAAAAGGATGAGTGGAATGGAGGAGGAGGCACCAGGACTACCCAGTCCCAATCCCAACCGAGTCCCTAACTTGTGTGACCCTGAGTAAGTCCCTTCCTTCTTTGAGCCTCAGAATCCCCATCAGGAGGGGTAGGAGTTCATCTCTCTAAGGGACTTTCTAACTCTGACAGCCTGAGACTGACTCTATGAGAAATTCAAGCCCAAGATGTAGCCATTAATTTTCTCCAGAATGAAAATATATCCACCAGGACATTTTTATGCTTGGTTTTATAAGTTCTGATTTCGTGCCTTAAAATAATAGCACCTTGAATTTATTTTATGGCATTTCCATCTAAAACACTTCTCTGCCTGTTACAGCATTCATTCTCAGTGTCCCTGGAGGCTTATCCTTTCATCTGTGCCAGTAGGGAAACTGAGGCCTGGAAAAGGGAAGGGATTTGCCCAAGGTTATGTGACACATCAGGGCCAACATCGGCATTAAAGCCTGGGTCTTTTTTTTTTTCTTTTGAGAGTCTCGCTTTGTTGCCCAGGCTGGAGTGCAGTGGCATGATCTCGGCTCACTGCAACATCTGCCTCACAGGTTTGAGCGATTCTCCTTCCTCAGCCTCCCAGGTAGCTAGGATTACAGGCACGTGCCACCATGCCCAGCTAATTTTTGTGTTTCTAGTAGAGACAGGTTTTCACCATGTTAGCCAGGCTGGTCTCAAACTCCTGACCTCATGATCCGCCTGCCTCAGCCTCCCAAAGTGCTGGGATTACAAGACATGAGCCACCGTGCCTGGCCAAGGCCCAGATCTTTACTGGTGACCTTCTATTAAGCTATGTTTCTGCCTCTCAAGCGGCCACCCCTTCCAGAATCTGCAAGTAAGAATAACACCTTCTTGGTGCAATGAGAAGAACAACAGAAAGGACCTTTGAAGCAACCCCTCTTCAATGCCTCAAATTCCACCAGGAGGGTTTTGTTCATTTGGCTCCTGAACTGGGCCCCTGGGAGAGGGAGCTCCCTAAACAGTTACCCATCACTAATATTTCAGTGTGGACTTGTTTATAGGCTCACTTTCCCCAAGGATAGCTTGTTAAGGGCAGCCTTGGATGGGCAGTTGTGGGGTGCATCAGTTAAGTACAGAGGGGTATTTTTGGGAGACAGGAGGCCTGGATGGGAGATACTGGATGATGAGAGGACAACAGGAGAGGAACGGGCTTGAGAGGGAAGAGGAGGGTCCATGAGAACAAACTTCCCAGCCCTACTTTCATTTGTGCTCTAGGCTGGGATTTCTTTTCAGGATAGATGCAGTCCTGCTGGCTGAGTGCAGCAGATGGTACAGAGAAGGTGCTTAACCAATGTCTGCTGAGCAACATTTTCAATACTAGAACTAATCATCATTCCCCTAAGGCAATTAAAATCCATCTGGAATTAAGAAAAATTGCTGGGACTGGCTGAAAGGTGGTGTTATGGACTGAATTTTGTCCCCCTCAAAAAATTCTTATTGAATTTGGTGGGGGGGACACATAATCCCCAACGTGACTGTATTTGGAGATGGGGCTTTGGGGGAGGTAATTAAGGTTAAATGAGGTTACGATGGTTGAGTCCTAATCTAACACAACTAATGGCCTTATAAGAAGAAGAAGACATGTGCATGCACAGAGAAAAGGCCATGTGAGGACACAGGAAGAAGGTGACCACCTGCAAGCCAAGGAGAGAGGCTTCAGAAGAAACCAAATCTACAGACACCTTGATCTTGACTTCTGGCCTCCAAGACTGTAAGAAATACATTTCTGTTGTTTAAGCCACCCATTCTGTGGTATTTTGTGTGGCAGCCTGAGCTAAGACAGAGAGAAGAGGTTTGATGCCATGTCCTGCTGTGGATGGGGGGTTGATTGATCCACTGCCCAGGACACATTTAGGTAGGAATGGAAAGAGTTGTCAGGCAGCAAAACTGCTCTTGTGGAATGGTAGGTGTCGGGTTGCCACTGAGAGACACTGGAATGCACCTATACTCTCTATTTAGAGGGCAATTAGGGTGTTGATGGAGGAATTTCTCCCCCACTGTATGAGGTGGTGGCAGTGGGAGACCTGGTATGCATTTATCCAGCAGAGAGAAAAAAATGGCAAGTCAATGGATCATTGTTCATGAACTGAAATCCTAGTTCTGCCACCACCCAGCTGTGTACCCCTGCACCAGGCTCATCTTGGTGCCTCATCTTCTATCTCTAAAACAAAATCACTGGATAAATCAGTGTTCCCAAAAGTCGGTCACTAAAGTACTTGCTACAGAATGTTTGCCACACTCATATGCCGATTGAACTATCATCTCCTGGATTCGTTTCATAGAATTGCTGTAGCAAATTACCATTACTGAGGTGTCTTAAAACAAAAAAATTTATTCTCTCACAGTTCGGGAGTCATGAAGGCTGAAACCAAGGTGTTGGCAGGGCCAGGCACTCTCTGAAGTTTCGAGGGAAGATTCCTCCTCTGCCTCCTCCAGCTTCTTGGTAGTTCCTGGAGTCCCTTGGCTTGTGGCAGCATCAGCTTAGTCTCTGTCCCCATCTTCTCACGGCTTTGTCTCCCCTGCCTCTTGCCCTCTTTTATAAAGATGTCAGTCATATGGGATTAAGAGCTCAGTCTTCTGTATGTCATATATACTATGCTTAGCTTATACTATATAGTTTACTGTTATTACCCACTTAATTCAGATTTCCAGAGAAGAGACTGTATTCAAAATGCCTCATACAATAACTGGCACAGAGCACATAATCCTCCCCATATGTTTCTGCATCCTCCCTCCTCTTATAAGAACACAAGTCATTGGAGTTGGGGCCCACCCTAAATCCAGTTTATCATCTTGAGTTTAACTTAATTACAACTGTAAAAATCCCATTTCCACATTCACAGCTCCTAGGGGTTAGGACTTGGACATATCTTTTCAGAGGACACTATTCAGCTCACTACATATGCCAAATATTTTTATTATATTAACTTTAAACCAGTCCCTCTTTTACTTGCCTTGTAATATCCATGAAGCTACAGGTTTGATGTGTTCACTATATTTTCCTTAAAAATATTTTTAAAATATATTTCAAACCTGCAGAATAAAAAATTCAAACTAACATAATGAACACTTGTGTATCTACGTTTGGCTTAACAAATCTTAGTACTTTGCAATATTTGTCTCAAATCTTTTTTCTTTCAAGATATAAAATATCATAGAACTATGTTAGGCTGGTTTTGTATTCTTTCAGATCCCATTCTCCTCCCCAGAGGCAACTACTCCTTAAAGTTGGTATGTATTATTCCTATTCATGTTTCTATACTTTTTATGATGTTAATATGTCATATAACATATATCTGTCATACATAATCTCAAATCAATCTGGACTCCCATGATTGTTGCAACACTCTTCACAACAGCTAAGATTTGGATGCAATCTAAGTGTCCATCAACAGCTGAATGGATAAAGAAAGTGTGGTACAGATACACAATGGAGTACTATTCAGCCATAGAAAAGAATGAGAGCCTGTCATTTGCAATAACATGGATGGAAGTGAAGATCATTATGTTAAATGAAATAAGCTACACACAGAAAGACCAACATTGCCTGTTCTCTTATTTGCGGAATCTAAAAATCAGAAAAATCGAACTCATGGAGGTAGAGAGTAAAATGATGGTTACCAGAGGCTGGGAAGGGTAGCAGAGGATTTGGGGTGAGGTAGGGATGGTTAATGGATACAAAAACAATAGAAAAAAATGAATACAACATACTATTCAATCTCACAACTGGGTGATTATAGTCAATAATAACTTAGTTGTACATTTTTAAATAACTAAAAAAGTGTAATTGGATTTTTTATAACACAAAGGATAAATGGTTGAAGAGATGGATGCCCCATTCTCCATGATGTGATTATTTTACATTGCATGCCTGAATCAAAACAGCTCATGTACCCCACAAATATATACACCTATCATGTACCCCAAAAAATAAAAAAATAAAAAAATTCTCAGATTACATATTTTTAATCTTAGGTAAATACTATCATTATACTCATCATTTTGAAACTTGATTTTATTATTCAACATTATGTTTTTGAGATTTATCCATGTTGCCACTTGTATCTATAGTTCATTTATTTAACCAAAATTTGGCAAATTTTTTCTGTAACTAACCTGACAGTAAATATTTTTGGCTTTGCAGGCCATATGGTCTCTATTGCAACTACTCATGAGACTTTGCTGTTGTAGTATGAAAGTAGGCATAGAAACTATGTTAATGATACTTATTGGAGCATAACTGTGTTCCAATAAAACTTTATTTATCAACACTGAAAACTGATTTTCATATAATTGTCACCTGTCATGAAAAAGTATTCTTCTTTTAATTTTTTTCAACCATTTACAAAAATACGTAGTAGGCTGGATTTGGCCCAAAGTTTGCCAAACCCTGGGTTAAGCGATCTCCAAGCTGCCAGCAGGAATTCTGAAAGTCTGTACATACACTTGCTCTATCCCCCTCTCATGATCTGACTTGAATGAGGCAGTATCCCCCACCATCCCACTGCTTCACACACTGCAGGACCCCTGGCAGTCCTGTGAGCATAAATGGTTCCAGTTGGCTCCCTCAGAGGAAAAGCTGCAGAGGTAAGCTAAACCCCACACTAAATGGGGATCTATGTCTGAAGAAGCTGAGGGTAAAAAATGACAGAAAAAGGCAAAATCAGCTTCAAGAAAGTATTTTAGAATCTCAAAATCCCATGCAAGAATGGCCCACCTAGAATCAGATACTAAGAAAACTCCCAGGGAAACTGTGGGTAAACGGCAGGTAAGAAGAAGGAGAAAGAGCCTCGGCAAATAAACACACAACCTGGTGCCACATAGTGGGATACAGTCACCAGGGCATGTGCACATAGTTGGTGAACTGTTATCTCCCCTTATAAGATCTGAAATTCTTCCATTAAAGGGTCATCTACTGCATTTAGGCATTGTTCTCTGGCATAATAGAGTTTATTGACCACAGATTTCTCTTGCACTCAGAACTTTTATTTGGTAGACAGCAAAACTAAATCCAACCCACATGACTTGAACAAAAGGGAATCCTGTAACATGAGGATCCTGTAAGTGAAAAGTTCACAAGTAGAAGAGTTTTCAGGAACAGCTGGAAGCAGAAGCTTAAACAATGTCACTAGGATATGGTTTTCCTCTGTATTACTCAAGTCATTTTCCTCCATATTAGTGTGATTGTCATCAAGCTCTTCCCTTCTGATTTCATAATGCTTGCTAGTAGCTCCTGTCACATCTCATTGGCTCCAGTGGGATAATGGGAACATTTATGAACCAATCACTGTGTTCAGATAAACTCAAGGCTTTGATTAGCCTGGCGAGAGTCACATGCCTGGCTGCAGAGAAAGAATTGGTTTCATCTGAAGCACACAGATTGTTGCCTAGGAATAGGGGTACATCACTAATGGAAAATTGGGAGCTTCTACAAAAGGTAGAACATATGTATGGCTGCATGGTCAAAATACAACCAATGTCCACACTGACATGACTCTTTCACAGGTAAATTCCTGAGTGATAACCTCAGAGTCAGAAGAGGAAAAATAGATAGAGGCATTGTTCAAGGAAGACTGGTCTGGATGAGAGATCTGGATCACCATCTGGAGGTGAGGAAACCCAAAAGGGAAAAGGACAGGCCTGGGAACCAGAGACCCAAAGGGCATTGCCAGTGTTCTCAGCCCCCATTGTTTTGGACACCTCCATGATGATGGCAGGCCCCAAGGGCTGGTGAGGGTGATCTTTTCTATTGGAGAAGTCATACTTGTCCTTCAGGACCCAGCTCAAAAGTCATTTCCTGGATTTGTGGTTTTAGTTCTTACATATAAAGGGCTTGGAAGTCATCATTCTCATCCTTACAACAACAAAAAGGCTATCAAACCGAAAATTAATGGCTTTTCTTGGACTTATTAGAGAACTAAGGCTGCAGGGCAGAAATCTGAAGAGCCAAGCAAATACAGAGAAATAGTCAAAATTAGCTTACTTGGAGCAGAAGCCACTGGAGTACAAACTAGTAGGACACTTAAATGGTAGTTTTGGTGAAATGCTGGAGGTTGAGTGTGGACTAGCTTAAGAGTGAGAAAATCATGGGGGCCATAGTCCCAGAAATACTCTCACACTTTCTTGGGTTTTACCTCCAGGAACCCCAACAGATTTTCATGTGAAGAGCCAAAAAAAAGTCCCTTGTGTTTCTGGCAAAGAGTGGGGGAAATTAACCATTTTGAAAAATGCTCACTCTACCCTCCATAGAAAAGTCCTACTATTCAGTGAAAAAGACTTTACTAGAATCTTATCTCACTTAAATAGAAGAGCAATTACCCAATCTCAGCCCCTTCTAGTCTTCCTGTCTCACCTAAGGGTGGAGGAAGGAGTTGTGATAAGAAATACTTGTGAAGGTCACAGCCTAGAGGCCAAGGCCCACTAAAACACTAAGATTTAATCATAAGATTATAGAATCCCTTCCCTTATCCACAGCATACTACCACAATAACAGAATGGCAGTATAATAGCAGTGGAATATAGCTGAAGGAGCTGAGAGGCTCAGATTCTGTTTATTTAAGAAGTAAATTTCAGGAAAACTCAAAAACATGAGGACAGATCAAAAAAAAAAACCCAAGGATACAAGAGGAATTTGAAGTCCCTAACACTTATGGCTACAGAAAACAATAAACATACACCAATACTTAGCCAGATTAATACAAAACTTTACACTAAAGGCCTACTTACGTCTCGGTTCCTATTTCCCTAGATATCATATCTGGCTTTCGACAAAAAATTACAAGACATGTTAAAGACAGAAAAAACACATTCTGAAGAGATAAATCAAGCATTAGTATCAGACTTAGATATGACACAGATTTTGGAATTATCAGATAAGAAAATTTAAATAACTACAATTAATACATTAAGATCTCTCATAAAAAAGTAGATAACATACAAGAACAGATAAGGAATGTAAACAGAGAGATGATAACTCTTTGAAGAAATCAAAAGGAGATGCTAGAAATCAAACCCACTGTAATAGAAATAAAGAATGCCTTTAATGGGCTCACAGTAGAATGGACATGAAAGAGGAAAGAATTCATAAGTTTGAAGATGTGTCCATAGAAATTTTACAGATTAGAATACAAAGAGCTAAAATGATGGGGAAAAAAAACAGAATAGAATACCCCAAAACTGTGGAGCAATTTCAAGAGTTTGAACGTAATTCAAATTAGAAGGAGCAAAGAGGATGGAGCAGAAAAATACCTAAAGTAATAACCACCAAGAAATTTCCAAAATTAATGACATGCACCAAACTATAGATCTTGGGAGCTCAGAGTAACATCACGCAGGATAAATGCCAAACATTCTACACCTAGGAATATCATATTCAAACTTCAGAAAAAAACAAAGACAAAGAGAAACTCTTGAAAGAAGCCAAAGAAAGACAAACACCTTTGCCTCTACCTATAAAGGAGCAAAGATGAGAATTACAGTGGACTTCTCATCAGAAACTATGCAAGCAACAAGAGAGTGGAGTAAAATATTTAAAGTGTTGAAAACAAAACAAAACAAAACAAAGAAACCCACCAACCTAGACTTCTACATCCAGCAAAATAATCCTCCAAGAGTGAAGAGAAAAATGGAGACTTTGGCAGACATACAAAAACAGGAAATTCATGACCAGCAGAAATGCCCTATAAGAGATGCTAAGAGAGATTCTTCAGAAAGAAGGAACAGTACATAGGTCAGAAATGCAGATTTACATGATAAAAGGAAAAGTATCAGAAAAGACATAAATAAAGATAAAATAAAATCTTTTATTTTTCTTAATCTAATAAATAAATGTTTACTCAAAGCAATAATAGTAACAATGTACTATATGATTATAACATATAAATAATTGAAATTAATCACAGCAATTTTATAAGAGATAGGTGGGAGGAATTGGAAAAATTCTATTATGAAGTACCTGTACTACCTGTGAAGTATTAAAGTGTTTTTTGAAAGTACACTTAGATTATTTGTGAAGATATATTGCAAACTTTAGTACAACAACTAAAAAATTTGAAAAGATGTTTAATTGATATGAAAAAAGGGGAGAGAAAATAAAATAATATATAATGCCAATTAAAACCAGAGAAGGAAAAAAAGAACAAACACAATGAATAAAAAACATTCACTAAGTAGATAGATATCAATAGATACTTCAAATATAACTGTTTTAAGCACACTGATTAAAAGACAGAAATAAATGTCAAAGCTGAACTTTTTTTAAAAAAGAAAACCAAACCAAAACACACATATAGATTAAAAGTAAAATTATAATCTATTTTGTATCTCAATAGCTAAAAGAGATAATTTTAAATATTCTCAACACAAAGAAATAACTATTTGAGGTGATTGATATGATAATCAGCCTGATTTGATCTTTCCGCAATGTATGCATGTATTGAAATACAACATTGTACTTCATAAATATACAATTGTTATTTGTCAAAAATAAAATAATGCTTTCAGGTCACTTTTTAAAAAGTAAATGGGTACAAAAATGGGTACCAAATGATACCAAAGCCAGACAAAGACACCACAAGGAAAGAAAATTACAGGCCAATGTCCCTAATGAACATAGATGCAAAAGTTTTTAACAAAATAACAGCAAACAGAATGCCACAGCACAATTAAAAGGATCACTCACCATGATCAAGTTAGATTTATCCCTGGTATGCAAGGATGGTTCAAATGTGTAAATCAATAAATGTGATACAACACATTAACAGAATGAAGGATAAAAATCACAATCACCTCAGCAGATGCAGAAAAACATTTGACACAATCCAACATCCTTTGATGATAAAAACCCTGAGAAAATTAGGAATAGAAGAAATGCACTTCAACACAATGAAGACCATATATGACAAGCCACAGCTAGCGTCATACTCAGTTGCAAAAAGCTGAAAGCTTTTCCTGTAAGATGAGGAACAAGGCAAGGATGTCCACTCTCACCACTTCTGGGCAATACAGTACCGGATTTCCTACCCAGAGTAATCAGACAAGAAAAAGAAATAAAAAGCATCTAAATCAGAAAGAAAGGAGTAAAAGTGTCTACTGTTTGCAGATAACATGATCTTACATAGTGAAAACCCTAAAGATCCACTAAAATACGGTTAGAACTAATAAATGAATTCAGTAAAGTAGCAAGATACAAAATCAACATACAAAATTCAGTTGTATTTCTCCACATATAATGAGCTAACTGAAAAATAAATAAAGAAAACAATCCCATTTGGAATAGCTTACAAAGCAATAAAATACTTAGGAATAAATTTAACCCAGGAGGTGAAAAATCTATACACTGAAAACTATCAGACAGTGATGAAAGAAACTGAAGAACACACAAATAGAACAATCTTGTGTTCATAGATTGAAAGAATTAATATTGTCAAAATGTCCATACAACCCAAGGTAATCTGCAGATTTAATGCAATTCCTATCAAAATTTCAGTGACATTTTTCATAGAGGTAGAAAGAACAATCCTAAAATTCATATGAAATGAAAAAATTTTCCAAATAGCCAAAGTAATCTTGGGCAAGAATAAAACAACATTGGAGGTATCACATTATCTAACTTCAAAATACACTACAAAGCTATAGTAATCAAACCAGATACATAGACAAATGGAACAGAATAGAAAACCCAGAAATAAATCTACACATTTATGGTTAACTGATCTTCTAAAAGGGTGCCAAGAACACACAATAGGAAAATGATCATTTCTCCAATAAATGGTTCTGAAAAAACTGAATATCTACATACAAAAGAATGAAATTGGGCCCTTATCTCACAGCATATACAAAAATCAATTCAAAATGGATTAAAGACTTAAATATAAGACCTGAAGTTATAAAACTACTAGAAGAAAACATAAGCAAAGCTCCAAGACATTGGTCTGGGCAATTATTCTTTTAAGTATAGCCCAAATAGCACAAGTAACAAAAGCAAAAGTAGACAAATGGGATTGCATCAAACTAAAATGCTTCTGCACAGCAAAGAAAATAATCAACAGAGTTAAGAGACAACCTACAGAATGAGAGAAAATATTTGTAAGCCATACATCTGATAAGAGGTTAATATTCAAAATATATAAGAAACTCAATCAATTCCAAAGCAAGAAAATAAATAACCCAATTTAAAAATGGGCAAAAGATCTAAATGGACATTTCTCAAATGAGGACATACAAATGGCCATTAGGTATCTGAAAAGGTGCTCAATGACATTAATCATTGAGAAAATGCAAATCAAAACCACAAGATACCACCTCATATCTTAGAATGGCTATTATCAAAAGGACAAAGGATAACCAGTGTCAGTAAAGATGTAGAGAAAAGAGAACCCTTGTACACTGTTGGTAGAACTGTTCCTTAATGTATGCACATTTTAAAAACTAGGAGTTTTGGGAATCCCTGGAAAGAATGCAGATGTGACAAGAGAATCTTATGTGTAATATAAGTGTATGAAGCAATCTCACTGAAAGGAATGGGAGAAAAGGTGCTGACCTAAGTAACTTTGCAAATGAGCAGAGTCTGTAAGACTAAGGGCAAAAGGAACTTCACATAAGCTTTGTACTGTAGTTGAAAAAGTTATTTCCTACATGATTGCAGATTAACAATTCTGAAATCACTACACATACATACCAGGATTGAACAATTAAGTAAATGAATGGTAGATGGTTGGAGCTAGGTTCCTTGCTGTTAGAGTGAGAATTTACAGAAAAGCAAGGAGAGGAGGCTAGAATGATCCATGTGGTAAGAGACATCAGTATGAACTCATCTTTAGCCTAGTATAAATATAAATATTTATGCCCAGAAATACTTATTGATATATGCATATGCAAGGGTTAATATACACATATATTTTCTTTCTCTGTCAGCTAAGAGGTCCTACAAGCAATGACACCCCATGACAATGAAAATACCCAATGCCCAGATCTTGGTTTCTAATACCAAAAAAAAAAAAAGAAACCAGGGCTTCTCTGCGAAATGGCTGATTCTAGGGCAGGACTAGGAAATGTTTAAAATGATCCAGGAGTGTCTTGAAGTGCCAGAAAGTGAGGAAGTTAAAAAAAAAAAAAACTACATTGAAAGGGGTATGTTAAGTGGACACAGCAGCGAACTGAAAGAATTCCTAATGCCCCAAACTGCAAGAATTTGAGCAACGAAATAAAAAAGTAATGCCTTATAATCTAATGTATAAAATAAGTATCCATGAATCTATACTGATATAAATAAATGATTGAATAAAGAGAAGAGACAAATCTTTCTTGCAAGAGAATTCAAAATAATTTATGTGCTTGGCTCTCAACAAGAGGAAGAATAATTCTTCACTCCTTAAATATATGCTGGACATAGTGACTCCCTGCCAAAGAATACAGTATAGAAAGGAGGGAAGGAGGTGGAGATTAACTTTACAGTGGAGAAACCTGAAAAACTACCTAGCCAGGTGACGAAGGTCAGTATCAACAGTGATAAGTCACACTGATAGCATGCACCATTAATAGATGTGTTGAAAAAGCACTTTACTTCTGCGGTCTTCCTCCCAAAAGTTCATAACTCGTCTATAATCATGAGAAAATATTAGATAAATTCTCATAGAGGGGTATCCTACAAACATTTGACAGTACTCCTTGGAACTGCCAAGGTCATCCAAAGGAAACTTCTGAGAAACCATTACAGCCAAGAGGAGCCTAAGGAGACGTGCTGACTAAATATAATCTAGTGTCCTGGATGGGATCCTGGAACAGAAAAAGAAGTTAGATAAAAACTAAGGAAACCTGAAAAAGCATGAACTTTAATCATAATTTATGATTATTAAAATTGGCTCATTAATTGCAACAAATGTACCATACTAATGTAAGATGTTAATAACAGGGGAAGCTGGGTGAGAGGGAAACTCCGTGTTTCTATATGGAAACTTTCTGTGTTATCTTCTCAATTTTTCTGTAAACCTACAATGGTTCTAAAAAATAAAGTGTATTGAAAACAAAATTACTTCCTCCCTGAAGTCCTCTGCCTCCCCCGAGATCCCGTGGGACTTGGCACCTCTGTCTACTGTGGCACTGACCACATCTGCACATATCTATCCCCAGCAGTTCCTAAACCTCTGCCACAGCACCATCCCTGCCATCGTTTGAGAAAAGGGGATTGCGTTTTCTGAGAACTGCTTTAAATACAACGACCTGTGCTTGCATGCAGATGTCCTGGTCTGTTCCTGAAATAGCCCATCCCACTTCCTGTCACCAACTCCAAGGACACTGCTGTCTCCATTAGGGGACTTGGGTGTCCCATGTGGACTGACACCTTCCCTTCAGAGGCCAGGGATCACTTCGGCTTATTCCAAGATGAAGCTCCAGGACCAGAATCCAGTCAAGCTCCCTCCCCTTTTGCCCAACTGCTCTCCACCTCCTTTCTGGGGCTCAGGGACCCTCTCTGCCTCAACGGCGATCAGTTGCCTAGAATCAGGAATGCAAGCTTTAGTTGGGATTGTTTTCCCCACCACCTGAAGCAGTTAAGAAGTTCTATTTTTAAAGCCCTTGGTTTCTGTCTGTCTCGCTCAGAGGGTGGCTGGTGCTCCAGGACTCTGCTCAGGATAAATGCTCCATCTTTTGCTCTTCTCTCTCTCTCGGCTTTTATGCCATCGCCAATATCATCCTCCCCCTGGTGCTGTCAGGGAAGCTGGGCTTGTAATTCTTCCAGGGAAGGCATTAGAAAGAAAGAAATTAAGTTCAATCAAAGTGTCAGGCCTGAATTGTTTGTGTGTGGAGGTGCAGGTGAGAGGAGCTTAATAAGTTCACCTCTGTGCCTCAGTCTTCCCCTGTCTTCTCTCCCCCCCTACCCCACCATACTGTAGGCACTTGACCTTCATTAGGTGACCAGAGGGGCTAATCAAATAAACTAGTCCCAATCCTGTATCAGAAGCCAATCATAGCAGCAGTCTCAAGAGGATAGACTTGGCTATAGGAACATACATACACACACACACTCACACAACACATACACACACACTCACATGCACATACACACATATATACATATACACACACATATATATACACAAATACACATATACATGTATACACACATGCACACACATACACATAGACACACATACACATGCACAAATATATACATACATGCACACACATACACATAGACACACATACATACACACACATAAAAATACACACACATACACACATGCAAACACATATATACACATACACACATGCACACACATACACACACATGCAGAGCAACCACTGAAGTCTTTGTAACATGACAACATGGGCTAAGACCCAATTGTCTTGGTGTCCCCCTCAGCCAGCTCATCTCTGCCAAGGCTTCTTGACCCATCTTAACGCTGGTGAGGCTGAAGTCTATTCCTTCAGCTCAGACCTGTCCTCTAGCCTCCAGACCCTGATATCTTGCTGTCTGTTTGCCATTGACATGTAATACCTCAAAGGAACCTCGAATTCCATGTCCTCACTGACCTCACTACCCCTCCCCACCATTTAGTTCTTCCCTCAAGGAGTAGCAGTGCATAGCATAACCAGAAATCTCAGAGAAATCAGAGACCACCCCCCATGCCTCTCTCCCTGCGCTGCATCCTAATCCATCACTAAATCCTCAGGATTTAGCCCTAGATAGCTCTCAAATCCATCTAGTGTTCTCTAACCTCACTGTCACGGCCCTAGTCCACCTGCCTTTATCCCTGAGCCTGGTGGCCATCACAGCCTTGCCAGTATCTGCCTGCTTCCATTCCTGTCCCTGTCCAGGCCATCCCCTTCCCCACAGCCCCCATGGCGTTCTGTACATGTACAGACAATCGTAGCACTCCTCTGCTTTAAATCTTCCTACACGGGCCCATTGCTCTCAGAATGAAGGCCTAAATCCTCACCCTGGCCTGCCAGGACTTCCACGATCTGACTCCTGCAGCTCTCCAGCCTCATCCTGACCTCTTTCCCACCCTTACTTTTGGGGCAACACTATCTCTTCCTCAGTCTTTCCAGTGCTTCCACAGATTCATGATATTTTCCACCCTTGGGGCGTTGCCCATGCTATTCTTTCTGCCTGGAATGTTCTCTCCCCACCCAATCTTGGCCTAGCTAATTCCTAACTTCAAATCTCAGCTCAACATCACACTCGCTGAGGGCTCATTGTTCTTCATGTAGGCATTTGGTCCATAGTATTTATAACTCTTTGTGGTTATGTAACACAATATTATTATTGAGTTAAGGTGTACCTACTAGCTTGAGAGCAGGGACTGTGTCTGGTTCATGCTATAGTCTAGGCCCCTGGAACAATATCTGGCTCATTGTAAGGTTCAATAGCTGCTTTTTTGTTCCTTTTTTCTTTTTTTTTTTAAATTATACTTTAAGTTCTGGAGTGCATGTGCAGAATGTGCAGTTTCGTTATGTAGGTATACACGTGTCATGGTGTTTGCTGCACCCATCAACCCATCACCTAAATTAGGTATTTCTCCTAATGTTATCCCTCCCCTAGCCCCCCACCCCCTGACAGGCCCCAGTGTGTGATGCTTCCCTCCCTATGTCCATGTGTTCTCATTGTTCAACTCCCACTTATAAGTGAGAATATGCGGTGTTTGGTTTTCTGTTCTTGTGATAGTTTGCTGAGAATGATTGTTTCCAGCTTCATTCATGTCCCTGCAAAGGACATGAACCCATCCTTTTTTGTGGCTGCATAGTATTCCATGGCATATATGTGCCACATTTTCTTTATCCGGTCTATTATTGATGGACATTTGGGTTGGTTCCAAGTCTTTGCTATTGTGAATAGTGCCGCAATAAACATACATGTGCATGTGTCTTTATAGCAGAATGATTTATAATCCTTTGGTATATACTCAGTAATGGGAATGCTGGGTCAAATGGCATTTCTAGTTCTAGATCCTTGAGGAATCACCATACTGTCTTCCACAATGGTTGAACTAATTTACACTCCCACCAACAGTGTAAAAGCGCCCCTATTTCTCCACATCCTCTCCAGCATCTGTTGTTTCCTGATGTTAGAATGGTGATCATTAAAAATGGCTGCTTTTATATAAATACATGGGTCCTCCTAAGAACTCTGACAAGTAGGATTTTATTATCCTTCTTCATATCTGGCTCAGAAATACTCTACAACTTACCCAGGTCACACAACTGTTTGTAACAGAGACAAGCTTTGGACAAGACCTAGATGCCTCTAAAGCCCATGCTCCTGATCAGTATTTATACTGCCTTGTCCCTCTTCGTTCATGGGACCTATGGGCTAGGTATGTCCAGAGACTTCCTTCCTTCTGACCAAACACTACTCATGCAGGGGGAGAGGGTAACGAACCCCACAGAGCCAGGGCGTGAGGGTCAAGACATACACAAATCCTATGGAGAAAGCACTTGCCTTATTGGTCACCCAGCATATCACTATATGTGCACACCTTTTGTTAGTCTTATGAATAATAACTAACATTTACTACAAATGGCCAAAAAAATATGAAAAATGCTCAACATCACTAATGATCAGGGAAACGCAAATCAAAAGCACAATGTGATACCAACTTACTCCTGCAAGAATGGCCATAAGCAAAAAATCAAATAATGGTAGATGTTGGCGTGGATGCGGTGAACAGGGAACAGTTCTGCATTGCTGTTGGGAATGTAAACTAGTACAACTACTATAAAAAACAATGTGTAGATTCCTTAAATAACTAAACGTAGAACTACCATTTGCTCCAGCAATCCCATTGTTGGGTGTCTACCCGAGGAAAAGAAGTCATTCTATGAAAAAGGTACTTGCACGTACATGTTTAAAGCAGCACAATTCACATTTGCAAAAATGTGGAACCAACCCAAATGCCCATCACACAGCAAGTGGATAAAGAAACTATGGTATATACATACAATGGAATAGTACTCAGCTATAAAAATGAATGAATTAATGACATTCACAGCAACCTGGATGAAATTGAAGACTATTATTCTAAGTGAAGTATCACAGGAATGGAAAACCAAACATCATATGTTCTCACTCATAAGTGGGGGCTAAGCTATAAGGATGCAAAGGCATAAGAATGACACAATGGACTTTGGGGACACAGGAGAAAAAGGTGGGAAGGGGGTGAGGGATAAAAGGCTACAAATCGGGTTCAGTGTATACTGCTCGGGTGATGGGTGCACCAAAATCTCACAAATCGCTACTAAAGCACTTACTCATGTAACCAAACACCACCTGTTCCCCAATAACCTACAGAAATAAAAAAAAATTAAGAATAATAACTAACATTTGCTGGGTGCCTACTGTGTGCCTTGTACCATTTTAAGTGTCTCACATATTCCTTTAATTAAGCCTCACCACCATCTGATGACGTGGCCATTATTATTATCTCCATTTTCAGGGGAGAAAACTGAGGCCCACACAAAAGAATAAATAACTTACTGAAAGCTACACAGCTGATCAGGGCAGAGCTGGAATACAAAGCCAGACAGGCTATGCCTCAAGAGCCCACATTTTCAGCCATCA
The DNA here is from genome assembly GCF_000001405.40 of Homo sapiens. Lineage (NCBI taxonomy): Eukaryota > Metazoa > Chordata > Mammalia > Primates > Hominidae > Homo > Homo sapiens. Next base: position 49,265,532 of record NC_000016.10, read on the forward strand.
CTTCAACCAGAGAAACTTACTTGGCTCCGCTGTCTACAGCTTTGGGCAATCAAGATGCCCAGTCTGCCCCTAGATGAAGCTGTCTGGGTTTGTATCCCAGCTCTGCCCTGATCAGCTGTGTAGGTTTCAGCAAGTTATTTATTTTGTGTGTGTGGGCCTCAGTTTTCTCAAGTGAAAAATGAAGAGTCTTCTCTCTAGGGACATTAAATGTTGAGCTTAGTGACACAAGAATAAAAATCACTGTCGTTGATACATCGTGAAGGTGGGATCCCAAAGGCACTGTCATCATTCCTGTCCCCTAGAACCCACAGCTCAGAGCTGTCCTCCTGCTCCCTGTCTTTTCCTGAGCCCACTTCTTTAGCTTTCACTTCAATGCTGTGTGCTGCCCCAGGGCATAGGAAGAAATTCCTTTTTGCCTAAAATAGACAATTTCTGTTCTTTGCAACCAGAGTCCTCATAGAACTCCCAGTTGAGGCTCAAATCATGGACTATGGCCTTTGATGTTCTATGGCAGGTTTTCTTACACTTGGATATTAAGCCAACACTGTATCAAAAAAAAAAAGAGGGCAGCAGGGAGCTCAGTGCCTGTCACAGGGAAACTCAAGGAGGTGGTGGAGAAAGGACAGGGGCCTCCTAGATCAGGAGGGGGATCAGGGATGCCCAGCCCAGGAATGGGTATGAGAAAGGCAAGAAGGTGGATGCTCACATTCAAAGGGGCAAGCAGATCCAAGAGTGGCATTGGTCAGGGAGGGACAGCAGACAAGGTGGCTTTGGCAGTGTGAAGGAAAATGACAAGAGTCAGGTGGGCAGGCTCTCCAGCAGGTACAGTTTGTATAACAGCCTTTGTGAAGCCACCTTCAGCATCCATGCAGAAGCCAGACAGAAACACAGTGTGCAGCAATGGGCTGTCACCATTAAGGCAGAAAGTAAGGATGCAGTAACCACATGGCCTGCCTCCCAGGCATCCTATGGAGAAGTGAACGTGTTAGCCAATACAGGCGGGATGCCCCTTTCTCCTGCAAGACACACTGATGCTAATTACACTTCTCAGATGAACTCCTCAGTATTACAGAAGTAACATCATTTGTATAATCAGATTTCACTATGGGAAATAATAAGTAACCCCATTTCCCTCCCACATTCCACTCCACCCTGAAAACGACACATAATCAGAGGGAAAGATGAGAGGCTGATTCAGCAGATGTTGATTCACTACCTCTATGCCATCATCCATGCCAGGTGTTGGGAGCAATTGTTTACAAAACTGGGCTGCAAATCAAAATTCACACATAGGACTTGTAAAACTGCAGAGGGTCCAGACCCAGCCGAGAGCTACTGGATCAGAATATTAGGAGCAGGAACCAGCAGGTGCACTTCACACAAGCTACTGGGTGAAGCTACTGGCTGAAGAGTAGATGAGGCCAGAGATTTAGTGAGGTAGGGTGGGATGCAGGACAGATCATAAAGGGCCATGACAAATAGCTTAAATTTTATTGTAAATGAGCAGGAAACCCATTTGGAAGTTTAGCAGAGGAGTGCCATAATCTGACTCACATGCTGTGGCTGCAGTGGGGAGAATAGATGTAGGACAACAAGACAGCAGGCCACAAGACAAATGGGGTGACTGCCATTGTCCAAGGGGGAGGTGATGGTGGCCTGGATCAGCTGACTTTTGGGTTTATTTTAAGGGTAAAGTGGATATGACTTTGGAGATGGATTGGATATCAAGTGTAAAAGAGTAAGACGAGTTCAGGATAATGCCAGAGTGTCTGGTCTGGGCTACCAGAAGCATGGGGTTACCATTAACTGAGAAGGAAAAGACTTCGACAGGAGCAGCTTTGGAGACAGAAGACCAGGGGCTCCATTTTAAACATGGTATATCTGAGATGCATGTTAGCCATGTGAGTGAATATGCGGAGTGAAGAGTTGGGTATCAGAGTCTAGGGTTAGGATTGAGGCTGGGTGGTCCTTTAATTTTCTGTGCTATTTTTCAGTTTTCATTTGGAAATCTTCCTCCTCCTTCTACACACACACAGACACACACACACACACACACAAACACACACAATCCTTGAGGCTTAAATGAAGTGGACTCTACTCTCTAACTTGATGAGGGGGAAATGACTTAGACCACCAATTCGAACCTGCATTGCCTTTCCATAGAAATGGTTTTAGAGATTGGCATAAGATTCCTTTACAATTTCTTCCACAAAAGATTCCTTTTCTTCTGTGGAAAAAAACCACATTTGTGACATAATTAAATAACAATACCAGGGTGCATGAACATGAGAACTTTTCAAAGACTTTTGAGATCGAGGACTTGAAGCAGAGACAATGAAAGAGTTGGAGCTTCTGCAGCTGTATTGTGACTGTGAGGAGTGAAGGGAACTGAGTGCATGAGATAGACAGAGACCAGGCATGAATGATCAAGTTATGTCGGCAGCGATCTTTGTCTTTCATACTTACTTTTCTGTTATATGAGCCACCGGTAAATTCTCTTCCAAAAGAAAAAAACCTTCCAGGTCTGCCATAACTCGTCTGTGGACTGGTATTTGGAAATAACTATGGTCTATATATGGTCCTATGCCATCACAACTCAAGTGTGGTGTGCAAACTCATAACATGGGAGCTTGTTAGAATCGGGAAATCTCAGGCCCTAGCCCATATCAAAGGAATGAGAATCTTCCTCTTAATGAGATCTCCAGATGATCTGTATGCATGAATAAGCATTATTAGGCCACAAGGAGCTTGTGCTCTTCTGCAGAAAAAAAGACACATTTGTGATATAATTAAATAACAATGCTAGGGTGCATAAGCATTGGCAAAATTGCCTTGGGAGCAATAGTAATAACAACTCTACTATTTACTGTGCACTAACTCTGGGAAGGAGCTGCCCATCTCACTATCAGTTGGCTCCACAGCAATGCAAAGAAATACCAGCTGACTAATGGTACGGGATCCAGCCATAACTGGCATACAGCTGTGAGCAAAGAAGAGCCTTTGGAGCATGCTTCAGGAGGCATCTCACAATTCTAACAAAGACCAAGACATGCTCAAAATTATATTACACCATTCGGTAAAATACAGACATTTGCTTTTGAACCCCTGTGGAAATTCTAGTTCCCATTTTCATAGGTAATGACTTATCAATCCTAATAGAACTAGACATTATTGCTCCATTCATTTTAACAGATGAGCAAACCAAAGCTCAGAGATGTTAAGCTCTCCACCTAAAGTCACACAGCCAGGAAGTAGCCAACCTCACATGCATTCCCCTCTTTAGTAACAGCTGCTCCCAGATAAGGCTCCCTCTTCCCAACTCCATCTCCACCCCCACCTGGCTCCATGCTTGGCCAATTAGCTCATTTCTTTTTCTGTGACCATACAGATTGGTTCTGGGAATGCACATGACTTAGAGTTAGTTGAATATCCATCAGCTGTGGAATTTTTGCTGGCACTGTAGGGGAGAAAAGTGCTCTTTTCCTAATGGGGAAACTAGGCAAGGAGAATGTGAGCCTGTTATTGCTCGAGTCAAATTGTCACAATTAGGGACCTAGAAATAGGCCTGCCTGTGTGAAAAAGGGCTGATTTCTGATGATGTATTTAAGCATCTGGATTCAGCCATACCTGAATTCAACACCCCTTGGATTTTTTGGTTCTGGGAGTGAGTAAATTCTTTTGGGAGGGTGGTACTAAAGCCAGTTTGAGCTGAGTTTCAGTCATCTGAAACCACAAGAGTCCTGAGTACAGTTATAAAGTCAGTCTTCAAAACCAGCTCTGCTTCAAAGCCTATTCTCTTAATCAGTGCTTGCTACTCTGCCATACAACAGGGGTGAAATCCAAAGGTCATGAAAATTGAGTTGGATCATGAGGCACTTACAATGGTGTGGGAGTGGCTTAATGCAAGTGAAATAGACAGCCAAGTCCCTAACATTACTTTCTTATCCTTCTCTGTACTACACTCTCTTGTGCTGGACTGTGGGTGAGGCAGGCTCCCCGCCTGGTTTTTCTACGGACCTGCAGAGCAGAGCTGCTGCTGGGCAGGTACGCAGAGATTCTGAGGTCAGTATTGTCGAACCAATGTTTTGATTGACAACTCCAAGCCACCTAGGTATTTCTGTGGTGGATATTTTACAGTCTGAGGATAAGTATCTTTTCTCAGCAGCTTTAGACTCACATTGCTGCTATTTCTGCCCCCACTGCTCCCTTCTCCCATCTTGGGGAGAGTCACGAAGCTGCTTCTGTCTTATGCATGACTCTTCAGGCCTCACTCTCATCCCTGAGTCCTCATCTCAACACCCACTTCTGCTCCGTGTTGAGCAACAGCTCCAGGAATGGCATCCAGAATGCTTTTCATCTCTGCCCCAGACCAAAGCCCCTCTGCTCCTTGTTCTCTGTTTCCCACTTGCAGGATAACTTCTGCAAGAAAAAATTCAATAATTCACAGCTAACGTCAGTTTTCCCTAGCCCAATCACATGCTTGAGCTGAATTATGCAATTTTAACAGCAGATATTAACAAGGAAAAGGCCCATTTATTGGGCATGTGGCTAAGAGACCAGTTTTCCAGCTGCATCCTTGAGCTCACAGCTCCTGATGCACTTCCCCTCAATATGAAGATGGTTTCTGGTGGGTGACAAGTTTAATGGCTCCCATGGACCTCAGCTTCTCCTGAGCTCCTGAGGAGAGGGACTAATGAGGAGATGGCTCTGCTCTGATGGAGCAGAAGCCCTGAGCTCTGGGGACCAGGACTCTATGGCTGGTTTGCCATTCCATCATTCATACATGAATCAAGCCCCTACTATTCTAGGCTCTCTTCCAATCACTGAGAATAAAGTAAGACAAAAGGCAGCAAGGTTCCTATCCCCAGGGAGGGAGAGAGGCAGTAAACAAGTGAACAGATAAATGAGCATTTTCCAGGGTCACAACTGCCATAAGGAAAATAAAGCAAGGCAGTATGATAGAGCTCAGCTGGTAAAGAAGAGGTGTCTCAATATTAGACAGAGTGATCAGGATGGTGCCTCACTGCAAAGGTGACTTTTTAGCTCAGATACAAAAGTAGAGAAGGAAATGGCCACAGCAATAAGTGGGAGATGGAAGAGTATCCCTTGCGCATAAAGGATCGACAGGTGAAGATTCTGGGACAGGACACAGCTTGGCATATTCTAGGAACTAACAGAAATCCAGAATGAGCTAATTTGCAATAGAGAAAAACAATAGAGGATGATGTCTCAGAAGTTAGCAGAGGCCCCATCACGGAAGGCTTGGAGGCTACTATAAGGAGTTTTGGTTCACACTGGATAGTTTTAAGCAGAAGAGTCACTTGACTTAGTTTACATTTTGAGAAGCTCACTCTGGCAAGTGAGGAAAAAATGGGTTAAGAAGAGTCCTAAGAAGGCTCACAGCCAGGCTCAAGCATGTAATCCCAGCACTTTGAGGCAGGTAGATTGCTTGAGGTCAGGAGTTTGAGACTAGCCTGGCCAACACAGTGAAACCCCATCTGTACTAAAAAAAAAAAAAAAAAAAAAAAAAAAAAAAGGAGGCAGGCGTGGTGGCTCATGCCTGTAGTCCCAGCTATTGGGGAGGCTGAGGCAGGAAGATCATTGGAACCTAGAGGCAGAAGCTGCAGTGAGCCGAGATCAAGACACTGCACTCCAGTGGGCAACAGAACTAGACTTCACCTCCCCCCACCCCACCCCTCTACCACTCCCCAAAAAAAAACAAAAACAAAGAAGACTCCCATCAGATCTCTAAGAGCTAGCCATCAATGACTTTTTCTGTGGGCTGGGGCTATAAGGCAGGATGCTAGTCACAACTTTAAGCTGGAAACGCAGACACAAAGACCCTTATTGCTGTCTGTGGAGTCTTACATTGCATAGACTTCAAGCTAGCATGAGACCCTAGAGGCTGTGTGGTGTCACTCCTCGGGGAACAGACTTGTTTCTGCTCTCAGCCTGGATCCCAACTTTTCATGACAGAGACAGGGACATATTTAGGCAATCAAGGAAAACAGCTGCAAACTTCACAGCCTCAAAGAGCACCACTGTCACTCACTTTGATGCAGGAGGTTATTGAGGCCTACATGCTGGTGAACCTGCCAAGTAAGTCCCCACTTGGGAGGCATCGAGAGCCCAGAGCAGGAGGAAGAAAATGCACCAGACACCCAGATGCCATGTGAGGATGAGCTGTGAGTTCGCACCCACAGCTCAATTAGTATTGCTAACATGCCCTCTCCCTCAGCACCTTCAGAATAAGTAAATAATCCATCTACCTGAAATGAACTCCAAAAAGAGAGAAAAAGAGAGAGCATTTGGAACATTTGCTGAGACCTAAATTGACCAACTTTGATCAAGATGAGTTAGTAAAATAGCAGGCTCCTCATCAGCTGCATTTTAATGCCATATTTGGAGCCACTCAGTCATTATAAAATCATCTGAACTTCTCAGCAGAAGTACACATTGGAGAGTTTATTTTTGAGTCTCTCAGAATACAAAGGAGAGCCTTTCCAATTCAAGATCTGGGCAGAACACACAGCTTCCTTTTAAATGAGCCAGAAGAAAATGCCCAGTTGCCGCTCCTTTGTTAGTAATTCCCTCTTCCCTCTTTGAAAGTTTCCCTGAAAGTGTGCAGTAATTTCTGATGATGGAAGAAAAGGCTCTTGAGCCTCACCTGAGTAAGCAGGTTGCTGCGACTAGCAGAGCATTCCAGAGACCCTTTGTCAGGCTGAACTCCCAACTGGACACTGGGTCTGAGAAATGTAGGGGGTTGGGGGAGTCTTTGATTTTATTTAGAAGAAACCAGTCAAGCCCACTCCACCTCCATGATCTGCAGGAGAACCCAAAGCTATGATGGGATTTCAGAGTTCATTCTGCTTCCAGCCAGAACAAAAACCCAGTGACCTTATGGCCATCCATGAACAAGGAATTACCAGCCCCCTCATTGGCCAAGACCCTGTATGGCTACTTTTTACATCTGGCCAGTGTGCCAGTACCATGGGAAAGCCTGCTGGTTAGCAATCTCTGATCTTTGTTACCTACCACTATCACTAAGGCGGCAATGCCCATTCATTGCCACAGGCTGAATGGCTTGATCCTGGATTAAACAACCAATCAACCAATACCAAATCCCATTATTGAATGCTGGTGGGAAAAGGAGAGTATCCCTCTCCTTTAAGGAAAATAAAATATGGTCCCTGCCCTCTAAGGTGCTCAAAGTATGTTGGGCATGGGGACAAACAGCATACAAAAACAACTTGTGCTATAGAGTTGACTCCAGACAACAGGTACAATGCAATTCCGTTCCAAAATAAACATTCAGGGGAACAGTGAGGATTTAGAGAGGAGCACAGTGCCAAGCCTGCACCCTAGAATCTCACAGTCCCATGAGTCCCACTTCCAAAGTATTATACATATAATTCCTCATTCATTCATTGGAGAAATACTTTTCATGCTGACTGTGCTCCAAACACTGTGCTAGGCACTGAGGACACAGCTATAAACAAAGCAGAGAAGACAGATACCTTTGTGGAGTTCCCAGTCTGGTGGGCCAGGCAGATGCATTCACAATGCCACCAGTAATCCCTCCATCCATCTGTTCACGCAGTCATATGCTCACTTTCTCACGCATTCAAGGAACAATGAAAGAGCATTTACCACCCCTGGCACTGAGCTAGGCATTGGGCACGCTGCAGGGAGCCTGCAGATGAGGGCCTGATCCTCTTAGAGCTTAGCATGCAGCAGAGATGTGGGCAGGGCGTGATCTGAATAGGAGAGTTCAGGTGGTCAGCAGAGGACAAGCTAATGAATAGGGGTCAGGGAGGGCTTTGCCAATGAGGTACAGGGTATAGGAATGTGCTCAAATAGAGCACTGAGGTCAGGTTGGAGTCTGCTCAGATGAGGCACCCTGATCCCTCACCTTATACCCCTTCCTTGAAGTCTTTGGAGCTTAGCAAGATGAACAAAGATCTCCCTAGGCTCTGGGCTGTGGCCACACAACCAGAAAACCTCTGCTTAGAATCACGAGGCTCTCCTTCCTGATATCAGCAGCGTTGTGTTTCCTTGCCACCTCCTAAAGTGCAGGCAGCCTCATCTATGAACAGCAAAGCATTTTCCCAGTAAGAAGACCGAGCAACAAATCCAAATGCCAGCCCATACATCTGATTCTGGCCTCTTTCTCATTGTCCCTGCTCACTACCTTCTCAGGATCACAGCTGGGACTTGCTGGGGACAGGCTAGGCTCAGATTGAAATGTGAAGAACAGATAAAAGCAAGTGCAGGTACCTAGAACGGTTTCTGTCTCTGCCCAGGATCTGGGAGCACTTCCATTCCAGCTTTGTTCCTGTTAGTGATATAGGGGGTGGGGAGACGGGAGGGACTGAGAGGTCCAGGAAGTCCCCTGAAGGGCACTTTCATTGGCTGTGTCCATATCCTGCAACTGTGCCAGACACAGTTTGGGTTAGCTCATGACATGATCACAGGCCACCTGCTCTGTGCCAGGCACTGTGTAGGAGGCACAGGGCCAGGCAAGATGAGGAAGACACAGTTCCCACCCTGGAGGGCTCACCCTCTGCAGGGACACAGACATGCCAACAGAGCTCTTAGTCTGATGGGAGAGCCTGCAGACACGCAGAGAACATTCATCCACAGTGGTCGACGCAAATATACAAGCAAAGGGATGAAGACGAAAGATATTTAGGGGGTAAAATCTCCTATTCTTGTGGTTGATGTGTGTGAGGATGGGATGAGTGTGCAGGAACAAGAAAGAACACAGGGTCCTTTTCCTACATCCACCATTCAGGTTCGCTTGCTCTCTGGTTTCAGTTTTCGCATCTGTTTGATGCTGCTGGGATTACCCAGATGTTCCCATATGTCCTGTTTCTGTGACTGTGGGATACGCCAGGTGTCGATCGCTCCTTGGTATTGCTGGATTTATTCAGCACCTACTATGTGTCAGGCAGTGGTGAGCACTTTCTGGACCTTTTAGCATAGTCTTCACGACTACCCTGTTGTGAAGGCATTATTGTTCCCATTTGAAATGTGAGGACGCTGAGGCTCTCGGGGAGTGTGTATGTATCCGCTATGCAAAGAGATTGAGAGATCTTTGTAATCCCCCCTGGGCAATCCCACCCCGCCCCCGCCTTTTTTTTTCTCCGTGGAATTAGCTCAAAGGGAGCTGTGCCTGAGCTTTTTCCCTCTGTGCTTGACCTTCGGTTCCGGGGCACCACTACCCCCCTCTCTCTGCCCACTTCCCCACCCAGAGTCAGTATTAGGTTTCAATGTTTTGTTTGAAAGCCTGTGGAGGTGACTAGGCCCAGCCCCTGCGGGAGATGGGTGGCTGGACACCGACACTGATCAGAAAGTAAGACCTCCTGGAAGTAACACTAGAAGTCTTCTAGCCCACCCCTCGCATTTGTGAGTTGAAAAAAAGTAAGGCTCGTATTCGGGGAGAGTATTCTAAGGTCTCATATGAAGCCAGAGGCCAAGTGCAGGGCACACGTCCGCAGTTCAGGGTCTTTAGCCTTCCATTGGGTCCGCCCCGCCCCAGGACCCAACCTGCAATCTGTGGGAGAGTCCCACACCTTCCCTCCGCGCCGCACTATCCCCCACCACCACCTCATTAAGGCAACAATTAAGGAGAGGGGTGAGGCTCCCTCTCCATCTGGGTAATTGTGTTCTCATTAAGAGCGGATGCGCCCGGGCTCTGAGCATTAGCGCTCCAGTGCAGCTTGGAAGGCATGCTCCCAGCTCGGCTAATGGTGGAAGCGGCGGCCGGGCAGCAAGCGAGCTGGGGGGCAGGCGCGGGGCCCAGCGCAACCCAGCGCTGCTCCGCAGACAGCAGACACCACAGTGATCACCCTCGGCTCCTCGCCTGCGCGGCTCCCGGGGCGCTTAGCGCGGTGTGGAGAACCCGGGCGGAGAAGCCAGGTCTGGGCTTGTTGGGTCCTAGAAGCCTCCCTGAGTTCCCCTCACAGTACCTTTAAGCCTGGCTGGGTGCCGGAAACGCTGCGCAGAATAGGAAACAGCCTCTGCCCTGGGAGAACTGACGGGGTGTGGGGAGGGAGGAGGCAGGCTGGTAAGAGAGGCCACACTCCAAAGTGGGAGGCCAGAGCAGAAAGGCATGAAAGGCTTCCCGGAGGAGGTGACCAAGGTGACCTGGGCTGGGGAGGAGCCTTTGGGACCAGGGTAAGGCTGAATGAAGGGGTGGCTTTGGAACCCCTACAGGCTTTGCTCTGAAGGGGTTTATTTGAGATGAAAGCAAGAGGCGGGGCCCAAAGGATTCTAAGCATGAAAGGATTCCACTGTGAGGTGTGGGTTTCTGAATCGGTCCCCTTCCTAGCCTCTGGCTGGGGGAAAGCAAGTAGTCTCTACCTAGTGCCCCTCCTTTTCCATCTCTTAGTCTCCAAGTCTCTGGTTCCCTCCCAGCTGAAGCCCAATGCTCAGAAGGTGGCTCCCCTGCCTCTAGCAGAAGTAACACTCACCTCACCTTCACCCCAGAGGTGAGGGAGGTGGCCCAACCGCATGTGCCAGGACCCTAAGGCCTCGAACCTCCAGGTCCCTGGGGAGAGCTATCCACAGCCCCACTCAGGCCACTGGGAGGCTCAGGCCTGACGGTGAGGGCAGTTTGAGAGATATGGAGCCCCACATCTCCCCAGGCCCTCTGGGGCGTGGACGCCAGGTTAGCATGCTAAGGGCTGTGTGGGCTGCCTCTGCCCCATGGAACCCACACAGAGTAAGAGACAAGCTCAGCCCCAGATGTCTCCCTTCCCAACCAGCACAAAACAAGGCCTGGTTGGAAGGTGCAGAAGGGGTGTTGAACCTCGGGGAGCAATGCCTGTATGTGTGGGTAGAATATCTTCCCAGGGGAGGCAGCCTTTCAGCTGGACTTCTTGGGTCCTCAGCAGGATAGGATTTTGCAAAGCGGAGTAGAGAAGGGGTGCTTCAACTTCAATCAGGAACAGCAGGTGTGGAGGCATAAAGACAACAATGGGAGGTGGAATCATCAGATGGCAAGGGAAGGGGTCAGCAGGTGGAGAAAGAAGAGGGAGAAAGAAGAGGGAGGCTAGAGCCCAATCAAGAAGGTTCTCCGATACTAGGTTCGGACATTGTGGGAGGCAGGGATCCTTTCCCAGGAAGGAGGTCTGCTGAACTACAGCAGAATCAAAGGAAAATCAACCCCTCTTCTTCGAATTTGGGGACAATTCACTCCCACTGTACTCACTTTCCAGGCTGCAGAGCTAGGGCTCAGGAATGAGTCCCAGTTCCAGGATGCACAGGCTTCCCCTGGCCTGCACCCTAGCCCGAGGCTTAGCACTCAGGAGCTGCCACTTGGCAGCCAGGTAAGCACAGGCTGCAGCCAGGACTCACTCACCCAGGAAAAAGAATCTGCAGACTCCCGGTCTGGGAGCAGAGGAGGGCTGGATCCACAGAGCAGGAGGAACTCTGAGAGGTGTTTAGATTTCTCCCTGTCTTTATATAAATGGGCAAATTTAGGACCTGATAGCGGACTTGCCAAAGTCACTCCACCGGGACACAGCCTGGTGGCCCCACAGAACAGGCAGCCACGGAGACCAGAACCCTGGTGGTTCTTGCCCTCAGGAAGAGAGGTGACCCACCCACCTGCAGCCCAGGGAGCGCCAAAGCGTACAGGGGCAGCTTCCTTGAGCGGTGGCTCTCCAACCTTCGCGGCCCTACAGCCTCAAGCTTACACGCACCCTACTGACTATAGGGTCTCCACAAGCCCGGAGGGCTGGCCCTGCAACGGCAGAGCTGCTGGGTGGAGCTAGTTTCGCTGCCAAAGGCTCCAACTGTCTCCGACCTCTCCTTCCCAACCAGGAGACTTCGGAGAAAGCGCGTCTCTTTATTAAAAGCAGTTTTTCTTTAAATCCCTTTAAGGCCCCTTATTTCTTCTCATTCACACTTCCCTGGGGCCTAACAGAGTAGAAGGGAAACTGTTGGGCAGAAACAGAAAAGTACTCGGGTCCACTCCTCACTCGCGAAGTCCCTATCTATCTCTGTGGGTCCCGGAGGCACAGGGCTGCAAGGGCGCCCGCTAGAGCTGCTCCACGGCTTACCGGATTGCATGCGGAGAAGAAACGGGCCCGGGTTTCAACAGAGGCCCCGTGCTCCGTGAATTTCTAACTCGAACCAGCCGCTGGGATAAATCCGAGAAACGTTGTTTATTGTGCTATTATTAACTTTCCCTTCTCCCCACGCCCCTAGAGGAAATAAAATTCATTCCTGAATATTGGGCCAGGAAAACGTTTCTCTGAAAGGAACCACAACTGCAGGGGACCACCCGGCTGCAGCTCCCAGCTCCCGGCCCTTCGCCCTAGGCTGCCCACTCGCTCCGGCTCCCGACCTCCCCGCTGCCGAAGCAACTGGGTCAGCCTTTCAGACTTAAAACGAAGTCGTTTATTTCATTTTTGCTTTCACATTATGTTCCGATACAATCAAAACTCCTGGACGAACCTCTTGAATAAAGTCCTGTGAATGAGCGGAATCATAGGTCCTGGGCGCCCGAGTATGCGGCGGGTGGACTCCGGATTCAGAGGCGGTGTATAAAACATACGCTGCTTCGGGAACTGCGAGGGGGACGCGGTGGGAGACATCCGGGGACAGAAGGCCTGAGGAGTCTGCCGCTCCAGGCAGGGTCGTTTGGGTCCTCAAACTGGGACTATTCCTGATGCATTTGGAATGCAAAGAAAAAAATCAAACTTCGCTCCTGGGCCGGCGGCCGCGCCTGGCCTAGCAAGATTTCGGCCACATTTCTTACGTTTCCGCCAAAGCTGTGAACACAGGCGAATGCAGTGCTGGTCCCCGGCCTGGCGCAGGAAGGAGCGCAAGGCCGGCTTTGCAAGGAAGCCCTCGCGCCCAGGCCTTTCTATGGTTGCGTTCCCCCAAGTCTCCTGCCTTTCGGAACCTCGCCCTTTGGCACCCCAGACCCCCAACCTCGCAGCTGGGGAAGATGCGGATTTTAGAAAGCTGTTTCAGAAAAATAAAAGTCCCACTTCGACTTTATTAGATTAAAGCAAAATTAAACCTTGACTATTCACACGTATGTTACAGAGGAAGAGGAGGCGTCCGGAAGAAGCTCCTTGGCGTTTCGTGGAGTCACAGAGCACGACGGCATTGACAAGCATCAGAACATCAAGCAGCCTTAGATTTCACGATCACTCCGAATAGAACATAGAAATACGGAAACACAGCCAGTTTCCACTGGGAAGAGTTCTTCGTATACAAATGATATATATTTATATTTTTTAAACCAGTCACCACTAAGGTGAGTCCTTTCTCTGCTAACAAGCAGCCGAGGATACTAAGTATCTTCAGCTAATTAATTTGAGCAGTGTTTTAAGAAGAGCAACACTTGCCAAATTAAAACTACCTTCCCCATCCAAAACAAAACAACAACAACAACAAAACTTTACCCCTTTCCAAACTGAAAAAAAAAAGGTTGGGGGTGTGTAATATATCAGATTTCAGTAGGCAGAAGGATTCAGAGGGGGCTAGGGAGAAAGATTTCAGATTATGTAGTGAAATACAAAGTTTCTTTAAATAAATTGCAGGGAACATGAAGTTGGGGGATAAGAAACAATGACAAGGCAGTCTCTTTCTTGATTACTGCAACTGGAATGGGGGAGGCGAGTTTATTTTTGGAAATGGGAGTGCGCAGAGCTAAGCGAAATTTATTTCTCCTAATAAGGAAATGGACAAAGTTGTCCCACAGCTGGCGCGCACCTTTTTACCCAGATACAGTTAGAGAACATGTAGGAAGTTTCAAGTCGTGCTGCTTTCTCGCCCTCTTAATTTCAGCCTCTTTCTCACTCCCCTTCCTGCCTTCGCCCTCTCCCTGCCTCCCTTCCGGCTACGAGCCAGTCAGAGAGGAAACACCAGGAATCCGGAGAAGGTCGAGTACTTCCAGCCCCCCATCAAGTTTCCCCGCTCCAGCTTGAGGTATGCTCGGTCGCCTTTCTCCATTTGGATTAGGACTCCGTTGCTGGCGGCCTCCCGGGTCACGTCCTGGTCACCAGCGAAGGCTGAAATCACCGGCCACCCGTTTAGCATGAGGCTCACCTGAGAAAGAGAAAGGCCCGCTTCAGAGGCGCAACCTAGGCAGGCACCGAAGCCGCGGTGGAGCGAACCTCCTCCTTGCTTGGCTAACAGCCTGTAAGGCCTGGAAGCACGGAGAGGTGGGGGGTGGGGGGGGCGAATGGAGGAAAAGGGGCTTTGCAGCTTACTGCTGAGGCTCCAGTGGGGCGAAAGACCACACATCTGGGTGACAGGAAGGGCCTGTCCCCAAAACGGGAGTTGCTCTTATTCCAGTTTCTCAAATGAGCGCGCCAAGCGAATCTCGACTGTGCTCTGTGATCCAATTTAATAAACCCATGAGGTGGCTCTAGCGCCCTGAGACCTTTGACCTCTCTCCCGTTTCCCCTCAGCCTCAAAAAACAAACAACAAACAAAAAAAACCCAGCAACTCAGGCTCCTTCTGGCGCTACCGGAAAAACAAAAACGAACAAACAAAAAGCCCCTGATCCCTCCTGGACCCAGCTGCCAGGACACAGTGGAGAAGCCACTGTGATTTGTGATTAGAAGTCTCGCACCGAGCGGCACAATGTATTTCCTCCCCAAACCACGGGCTCAATTCCCTCCCCCATCCAGCCGCGCCCGCCACCGCCTGGTTTTGCCCCTGTGGTGGCACCGTCAGCCAAGGGCCTCGCGCCCTCTCCCCAGCTGTGCGTCCCACCTCTCTCGGCGCCCAAGGGAAACCTGGACATCTTTGGGGACCCGGAGAGCCGGCGAGTGATTGCTGGGACACGGCTGGAGCCGGGAGAGAGTAGCACTACGCCCCCTCCCTCCCTCCTCTCTCTACCCCTCACCCTCCGGGGCTAAATGCTGCTAGCTCAAAAACCCACAGTCCGCACGGGGTGGGGATTGGGGACAAGTGGGAGAAAACGGGGGCCCCGTCCGTGGTGCTGAAGACAAGCACGCAAGCCGCATCGCAGGCTTCTGAGCCGGGGCAAGGGGTAGGGTGTACTGTCGCGGTGCTTCCTGGGGAGTCCGGGAAGGCTTCCCAAGCGGCAGCTGTCTGGGGCGCTAACAACAGCCGTTACAAGGAAGTCCCTGAAATCCAGGGAACCCTTCGGAGAGGCCCGGAAGGCAGAAGCAGAAAATTCTGTCTCTCGGGGGATGGGGCTGGATCCCAAGAGCCAGAGACAGGGAAAGCAGAGGACAGTTGAAGCCACAGAACTGAGAGGCCCCGCTATCTGTCCCTCCAAGCAGCCCGAAGTACATGCAGCCGCCACTTCTGCCTACCACCTCCGGACAGCCCGAGCACCCCTGAGGCCAGTAACCCCCCTACGGGGCCAGGGCCCGGCACGAGGCGTCGGCTGACCTGTATGGTTTGTCTGTTGTAGACTTTTACCACGTGGAAGTTAAAACTGTAGATCCCTTTGCGCGGGGCGATGAAAGTGCTGCGTTCTGAATCAAAGTTGTTCCCAATGTTCACTAGTACCTATAACGAGACGGGAACGAAGGGGAGTGGGCAGGAATCGGTCCCGGACTGTCGTCCCCGCGCCTCCGCAGAGCCCTTGGAGAGGACCGGGCATCGGTCTTCCATCCATCCCTCCTTCACCAGCCCAATCTGCACGCCGCGGGAGGAAGGAACACTCACCTGGTCGAAGTAGATGATCATGGTGCGATTACTCATCTCGGACGGCTCGTGGTTGGTGCTCCTGATGGCAGAGAAAGCCACCTTGGCGCTGCCAGAGCGCACAGAGATGCCCAGGGCAGTGCCCGTGGGGTCGGACGTGGGGTTGGAGTCGCACACCACCAGGCACTTGCCCTCCAGCACGATGGGCTCCGTCTCATTCTGCCCGCGGGCCGGGCCCGCCAGCCACGCAGCCCCCAGCAGCAGCAGCTCCAGGACGCCCAGCATCGCGCCGCCGGCGCCCACCCCGCCCCCCACCCCCAGGGCTGCTCGCGCCAGCCGCCCCCCCCGTCCCAGTCCCGCTCCGAAGCCCCCTCCTCAGCTCCGTGCGCAGCTCCGCCGCCGCCGCTCTGGACACTACACCTCTTCCTCGCACTCCGGGACTAGCGTCCCCTCCGCGACTAGCGTCCCCTCCGCGCTGTGTTCCCGGAGCCCCTCCCGGGCCTCAGGGGTGCCGCGGCTGCCCAGCCGCACTTGGATGCATAGCCGCTGCTGCTCGGTCCCGCTGCTGCCGCCGCCTCCTGCCCGCACCCGCCGCTGCCGCCGCCGCCGCCGCTCTGAATTATTGATGCAGCCGGCGCTGCAGCCGGAGCGGGCGGAGAGCGCGCGCCGGGCACAAAGGCGCGGACCTCGGCCTGGCCCCGCCCCCGCCGCCTCCCGGCCCGCCTCCCTCCGAGGCCCTGCCCCCGCCCCGGCCGAGGCCACGCCCCCCAGCCAATCCTGACGCGCCGCGCTCCCCACCGAGCCAATGGCGGCGCTGTCCGCGCTCGGCCACCTGACCCCGGGCGCCGTTGTTATTAGGCGCGGCGAGGCGGGTGGCGCGCGGCAGCAGGGTTGGGCTCTCGCCGTGAGTCGACGAAGGGAGCGCGGGCGCGCGCCCGCGTCCGCGCACTGAGAGTCGCCTCGGCCGCTCGCTTTCTCGACTCCCGCCTCGCGCCTCGATCCTGTTCCGCCTCCCTCGGCCCTCCTGCCCGCCCCCACTCGTCGGCCCTCAGGTAGGAGGCGGCGCGCCCCGGGGTCGGGAGTGGAATCGCTGGAGGCTGCGAGTCGCCTGCCCGCCTGTGGGCGCGCCCGTTGGGAGGGGAGCGCCCCCCAGCGGGCGCGGGCGCGAGGGCAGCCGGCGCGCTGGGCGAGCCTGGCTCAGGGTCCCGGCGGCCGGGGTGCAGGGCGCGTGCGCGCGCGGCGGGGCGGGGCCTGCGCGGCTCTGGCGGGCGCACGTGGTGCCCGGGAGCTGCTGGGCGGGCACTCACCGCGGGGACTCGGTGCGGAGCCGGGGCGCCGAGTGTCTCCGTGTCCCTCTGCCCCAGCCGGCGGCCGCGATGGTGGAGCTTGGCCTCTCGCTCTCTCCCGCCTCTCCAGCGACTGCTCTGCCGGCCGCGGAGGTCGGATCGAGCGGTCATTCATTCATTTGTTAATTCGTTCACTTATTCAGGGGAGATCATTGAACCCCTACGGAGTACCGGGTACTGGGCCGGGCGCTGAGGACGCGGGGCTGAGCAAAAGCAGCCGAGGCCCACCTTCGTGCCCCTTAAAACCCAGCGTGCGGGGCGGCAACGAGTACTGCTTTTCTGTTTTGCACTTAAAATTTACATTTTGCATCCGTACTTTTTATTTACTGTGCACCCTTACGGCATGCTTTACGCACCCGTACCTGCACCTCCTAGCCTTGAGTGTAGACACCAGATCCTGAGATGGGCGATTTTTCGAGAATAATTTTTACCCTAAGTGGATTTTCGTGCCACGCATGGACTTGGAACTACACACACGTAGTCCAAAACGTGAAAGTCAAAATGCAGCTTTGCCAAGTGGCAGGGAGAAAGGAGAGCTGAGAAGATGAGGAGAGGAAGGGCGCGCTCCAGGCTTTCCAGCCCGGGTGCGGTAGACGTAGCCCTGAAGGATGAACCCAGGCTGGTAGTAGGGCGGCGGGAGGGCGGGGGGACCTGTCAGTCAAGTCCAAAGCAGAAACGCGGCGCCGGATCCCAGTCAGAGGCCGGCTGGAACGCTTCCCACAGGCTCCTGGCGCTCCGGTCCCCACCAGGCGACCTTGATCCTGGCGTGCTCAGCGGAGCCAGCGCAGCGTCGGGAGCTGGAGAGACGCGGGGCGCCGGCTGAGCGCTCCTGCCCTCTGCCTCTGGGCTAGCCTCTGGCCCGGCCTCCCGGCCTCCCCCAGGGTACGCTCTCCCCCAAGAGCGAACACCAGCTTTGGGATCGCCAGCAGCCACGTCTCTGCTTCTAGATCTCTTTTTTTTTTCTTTGAGACTTAGTTGATAGCTGTTTAAGGAATTATGTGGAGGAAATCTCACCTCCGACCCCCGCCCCCGTTGAGCACGGCCGGCCAGGGTCGCTGGGTGGGCCAGGAGGAAAGAAAGGGGCGGGGAAGAAGCAGCAATTTTACTTTAAATTAAAATGACACAAAAATATTTTTTCAACTCAGATCTTTCTGAGACATCCCCAGAAAGCGTTGCAAGCTGTGATTACACCTAATGTGAGAGCATGAACTAATTTAAGAGGTGAGAGCTGCATAATGAGGCTGCCTCCCGTGTAGCAGCCAAGACTGGCAGCTCTGGCGGCGCGCTGGAGGGGACCGGGAGGGGCACCCTTGTAGAACCAGTCCCTGGCGCCCTGGGATCTTCTCAGTGCCCTGGCGCTGTGTTGTCGGTCACTCCACAGATATTACAGGGTGCCTCCTGAATGCCGGGTTGCAATCAAGAGCAAGAGATGGGGCGAGTGAAAGAGCCTGTTTTCAGGAGCTCAGCATCAGGATGACGATTACCTAGAGGGAGGTGGTGGCCAGCCTCCCCCTCTTCTCTTCATGCTGAGGCTCTGGTGGGCAGTGCCCAAGCCTGAACTGCCATCTGTATGCCAGTGGTTACCCAACTTGTATTTTCAGTCTTAGCCTCTCTCTGGTCCAGACTTGTCATTCTAAGGGCCCTTTTTCACTGACTCACATTGTCTCCTCCCTCCCTGCCTTCCAAACTCAGCCTTTTCCTTTTTCCCTTTCCCACTGACAACAGCTGCACGACCCCCCCGCCCCCCCACGAGGTGAAAATTCCCAAGAACCCCATGTCTAACCTAACTCCCTCTCTATGTCCTGTTGCTTGAGCCATTCTCATTAGGCTGCCTGTTCGGAGTTCATTATCTCCTAATTTTTCATCCAGGAATTGATGAAGAATCACCTACTGCCTCTCCCACACACTGTTTATTCTTTCATTTGATGATATCTGTTAAGTGCCCTGAGATATGTAACCTCCACTTCCCTCCCATATAAGTGAGATTTCACGTTGATTACTTCCTTGGCTTTCCTCATCCCTTATCCACATAGCATGTGTTCAAAATAATGAATATTAATTTAATGTTAATAGATATGTGCTTTCCTGAATTGTGAGGATTAAATGAAATCATGTATATAGGGAGGAAAATCCATTAGAAACCTCAAAAGCAGTTATGTTTATTTTTGCTATTGTCACATTGTTAGAGTCAGAATTCTTTTAGCTGCAAGTGACAAAACCAACTCAAACTGGCTTAAGGACTTTATTGGTTGATGCAAAAAGCCTCGGGTTAGGTCTTGCCATTTAAGGTAGGGCTGGATCCATCAATCCGGGTTACCAGGATCTGTTTTCTAGTTGTGGCTTCATTTTCAGACAAGTTGTTTCCATATGATAGCCTCATAGAAGGTACTACCAGCTTAGTCCTAGCAAGAAAAAAGAGTACTTACTCTTCAATATTTGCAGCAGAAGTCCCAGGTCTGTTCTTATGAGGGCAGTTTGAGTCACTTGCTCTTCTCTGAACGTGGAGAAGGCACTGTTTAGATGATGGAGGTTGGATTCAGGTGCATCCCCTGGAATGGGGTTTGGCATTAGCTTCACGTGGTCTAGAATAAAGGGGTTCTCCAAAGGAAAATTAGGGTAGGAATGCTGAGTAAGCAGAACAAACAGATGTCTACTTTAGTCCTTCCCAAAGGGTGAGCTGCAATACATTGCAGACTATCAGAATGGTGATGAACACGGATGCAGTAGCCAAGAAAATAGATGTGTGTTTGTCGTGGTCTTTTTCAGTCTTCAAGATCTCAGTTAAACATGAAGTCAACCACTCACTATGATGTTATTTGAGGTTTAGCTTTGAAGTGGAAATGTACCACAAATAGTAGAGCCAGATAAATACAAATAAATAATTTTAACAGTCCATTCTAAAAGATTTCTTTGGTAATATTCTGTTGGAATTGATTTCTATCTTTTCATTTGTTAGGTTCCTGGAAAGTGAAAATTTCATTTCTTTGTGGACAGGTACCTAAAATGTCTCATTATTCATCAATTAATGAAAAACAAATGAAAATTTGAGAGAGATATTCTGAAGAATAAAAGGATCAAGTTGGGTCATTTCTAAAATGTAAGATTATAAGGTTTAACTTGCTAAGACTTTTGAGGGGTTGAATTATTGGTAAATTATTATAGAACCACTTATCTGAGGCTTTTAAAAGTGATGTGTTACAGAGATTTAGGGAACTGCAAGATTGCAGATAAAGAATTTATACTGTCAACTGTTCTATACTTTACCTTCTGCTTTAAATGCGGCCTTATATTTTGAAGTCAAACATTTATTTTCTCTCACTGCGTTCTGAATTTCCTACCACAGTGCATTTTGAGAAATGAATATAACAGCAGTCTTCATAGATGCCATATTCATGGCAACTCTGTCCCCCGCCAACACCACACCCTGGAAAAAAACCAACTTTCTATTGTTGGAATGAGGTAACATTTTCAGGAAAAGGGAACCATTTTCTCACAGGATATAGAACAAATTCAACCTTTTATTAAATCAAAATGGATTCTCTAATGTTTATACATATCATATAGGATTTCATCTCTTTCAATCTTGGTTCAAAGGCCCAGACAGTACCATTCCCTAGTATTTAGTCCATTTGCTCATAAAGCAGAAGAGAAAAGCTACTTTGTTCCGAAGGGTGTTAGATTTAGGATTCCAAGGTTATTTCAAATTAATGCCTGGAACTAGACTATAAAATGCAGGAAAGATTCTAAGTTGTTCAAAGATGAAATATCTTAACTTTCACCAAAAACTCTGTCTTCTGGGTATTTTTTGTTTTTCTGCCTTTCCAGATTTATTTTAAATACAACATTTTTGCTGTTTACATTTTTAAAAGTTACATTTCAAAATTGTTCATAATTGGACACTTTCATAAAATGTAGGCAAATGCAGTTTTACTTTTTAATGAAGGACAAGTCTGTTGATAACATTTTGATTCTTAAAATTTTTTTTATCTTATAAAAATGAAACAATGCATTTAAAGTGTCTTCAGCTCTTATGTTAATACCAAATTATACATTTTCTTAGCCCATGTTCAGGAGAGACAATATATCTTCCAAATTAAGAGAAGCTGGCACCATTTTTAAAACAAGGCCTTGAATCTGCTGTGGTATGTGCTGGTAGGAATTTTGTATGAAGCTGTTATTGAAGTAGATGACATTAAGGTCAAAGGAAAAAAAAAACAGAAAATAATGTAATCCTACAGAGCTGCTCTTAAGATCTTGAGAGAAAAACCACGTAGGTAACATCAAACACTAGTTGGAATCTTTCCAAGAAGTAATTATCTGTGTGCTGTTTGTGGTGGTTGATTATGGGAACAAACCAAGGTTTAGCCAATTCAGCAAACATTTATGGAGTGCCTGCAATGTGCATGTCACTGTTTTAAGGCCTGTGCCTACTGTAAAGGTGACCCACACATGATGCCTGCCTTGCAGGACTTGGAGTTCAGCGATAATAAGAGATGCATACCTGAAAAGCCTATTTAAGACTCTTCCGGTTCTACAAAGAAGGCTTCTTGAAAGTGGTAGCTTTGATTACTCTTTGGATTTATTTACATTTATCCTATAATCAGAAGGTATACAAAACAGACTCACACATATATAAAATTAATAGATTAGATAGCATTTAAACAAATATTTCAGGTAGGTACTTCAAATGCATTTGACATTTATCAAAGAAATGGTAAGTGCTGTCATCCGTGGGTGGCTGGATTAACATGTGGGACTACTTATCACCAATTTTGTTAGGGATCTTAGGGAAATTCCTGGATCTTATATTCACAAGCAATTGTATAAATACTTCCCACAGCTCAGAGACCTAATAGGATGGGGTCTTAGAGAAACATCTTTTGAGCCACAGACTTCTTTGTTACCAGAAGGAAAATGAAAGAAGAAATTTAAATACCACTTGAAGAGAGGTAAATAAATGAGAAATGGGGCTGAGAGGGCGGGTATTTTTTTAAAAATTCATTAAATGGAAAAATCCACAAATGTTAATTCTGGTAGATTTCTTAGAAATTACATCAGAGGAGCATGCTTGGTCTTCCCACCCTCATTAGGCCTCAGTGACAGGTACTTGAACAACTGAGCCCCTAATGTGCATGCTCCCCCACCCCTGAAGCCAGTCTCTGCCCTCCTCTTCCCTCCTCTTGCCCCTGGAAGCTGATCGCCACCAACTGGCCTCTGGGTGGATTTGGCCAATGGAAGCACCTGTAGAGGGAAGAGAGTGAGGTTAGGATATTTCTTCCTGCTGTCTCCGTGCTTCCCTGCAGAGAGTGTGAAGAAATGACCCTGAAAAGCCTCTGGCAGAGGATTCTTCTTTCAGGATGGTGTCGCCTCCTCAGCAGCCCATCCTCCTCCCCTGGACTCAAGCTCTCATTCCAGTAACACTCCTTCCTCCTTCTCCATCTTCAGGGGGAGGTTTGCCAGTCGGTGGGTTCTAAGCATATCTCGCTGATTCCCCCCAACCCTGCCGACACCTCTGTAGGTCGTCCCTTCATTAAAATCTCTCCATTTGAACTATCTGAGTTTAATTCCATTTCCTCCTGGTATCTCAGTGATACACGGTATCAGTACAAAAATCTCGCTTCACCTTCAGAACCAACAGATTTGAGACATTTTATCCTCTGTGGAACCATTAGTTATTTTGTCATTGGTTGTATCAGAAAAAAAAATCAGGAATGCAAATCCTTCTTTATTACAGATTCAGATTTGCATATTACCAATGTTATATATTTTAAACAAAACTATTCATCATAAGTTTTAAAAATTAACTACTGGAGTAGTTAATGAATCTGAATGTAATTATGTAGCTTTCATAATATTAAAGTAAAAATACTAAAAGAAGTATTTCTTAAAGAAGCAAATGCTCAATCTCCAAGTAAATTTTATTCTATGCTCTTCCGGTATAAGAATATGTTAATATCTTGAAAAATATCATATTATTTTGTGAACTCATAAAGCTATTTTGAGTTTTTGTAAAATGAAAACCTTACCAAAATGTATTTTATTGTTGGAAAGCTTGACCGTTACTGCTGTTTAATTTTTTGAGCTTGTAAACTTTATTTGTGCATGTTTTCAACAAAGAAGGATTTTATTGTTATTACATAAAACAGGTGATTTCTAGATTTTAAAATCACAAATTGAAAGCAAGGCACAATAATATATATTTCAAGATATAGGTACTTAGGAGGCATCCTTTTAGTCATCTGTTCAATGTAGCCATCTATTTTACACCTACTGTCTACTATTGTTTGAGGTCCTTGCCAAAGTATTGCAGGCTAGTTAGGAAACATAAAACAATTAGAAAGTAATCTATGACAAGTAAGCTATCTATAAATGGCAATGAAGGGTAGAACAAATTCAATGAAAATATCTATTTAATCCTAGTGTTTACTGGTCTAGAAGAATAGGCTGAGTAAATTAGTATTTCTCTGGCTGTTGTGGTAACACATTGCATGCTATAACAGTTTTAAGTAATTACAGGTGCATTGAAATTTATCTATGGCTTTGTCATCATATTCTAAAATGTCATGAGTACTTTTTTCTGACCTCAATTACTATGAAATTGGTTTCCAATATTTAATTAACCAAGAATATCAAGTCTATAGGGTATTATTAAGGTGAGACTTCTGTAGCCTTTTCAATAAAGACCAGAATTTTGGAGTGCCTTGAACCTTAATCATTGATCTTTAATTCTTATTAAGTCAACTGCCCACCTTTTAAAGACTGAGGCCCAGGAAGAGTAAGTTTCTCTGAGACAATGCATACAGTACAGTGCTTCTTGGGTATTGGCTCTAAGACCAGATGCAAAGAAAGGCTAAAATCCCATTTCATTGTTCATTAGGTGAGAACCCTTTGTTAAGCTGTGTAACCTCTGTGCATAGTTTCCTCATCAGCAAAGTCAGAAAAAGTATGTACCTGAAGGACTGATTGTAAGGCTGGGATGAGAGAATCCATGTGATCAGCCCTCACCAACAGGTGCTGCCCAGTTCATGAGTGCTGCTGCTGTCCTGCCCAAGTACCCAGCTTGCAGAGTGCCAGAGTTAGAGTCCCAGGGGTGTTCTCCACAGCTGCATGCTTGATCCAGGCCTATCAGGTGAGTTGGCTCTTGGCTAGTGGTTTTTCTTCTCTTGCTGTACAAAAGTCCAGACAGTAATGTCTTTTTTTCATTTTTATAGATATATTCCATTGAAAGTCCTCATTCTCAAATTTAAAACAAAGACTTTTTGTGTACCTCAATAGCAATGCACACACAGTTGGCTTCACAAACATATTGTACATTTCTTTTTTTCATATTTATTCAACAAATGTATATTGACTACCCACCGTGTGACAGGTGTTATTTGTTGACGGAACCAGGCATCATCAGCAAACAAAACTGACAAAGCTTCCTGCCCTCTGTGGAAGGCATCTGAGGAAGAGACTGGATTTTGTAGCAACATGTTATTCTCATTATAAACTTTATCATTGGAATACTAAAGCCAAATCATCCCCCATCTCCTTGATCAGGATACCCACTTAATCTAGGCAGCTACACAATTGTGAGAGCCTTTGTTTTTTTCTGCTGAAACATCCTTAAAAAGATACCTCACAACCCAAGATTTGGCTTTTCTTAAATACGATTTTTAATTTTTTTCATTTCTATCTAGAGATTTAATTGGAAATGGAAAATCATCAATTTTCCAATTAAATGTCTGTTCCAATCAACATTATACCTTTTAGGTTGTCATTGTCATTTTTAAGTTTAAGCAACTTTAAGGATTTTGAATCTGGCTGCCTGTAAATTAAAGGTGAAAGTAATCATTGTGTTGGATTGGAACATTTTGTCAATTGAGAGTGGTTTCCTTGTTCTTAGTGTATGAAAAGTTTATTTTTCTAATGTAGATTAATAAAGGAGATAAAGAAAAACAAAATGAGTGATTTATGTGTGTGAGAAAAGAACCATTTCCTCAAGGATTAAATAAAATTCATACCTTTTGTTTCTTTTGAAAAGTTTTTAAAATAAATTTTAATGAATGTGTCCTTTAAATATTCCTTTAAAAATGTATCCTATTTTAAAATGGACTCTCTGAGAGAAGGAATTGATACCTGTGTTTAAAATCAAAAATAGCATGCATAGAGACTGTTTTTCTAGTTGGTTGAAGCTTTTTTCCCTCTCCTTTACATCAGTGAACCAGCATCTTGCCCTTCAGACCCTACAGCACACTCTTGGGCTCATGAAGTGTATGACACATCCTCCTTGGGGGATCGGCCATGTCCTCGCTCTCATGACCACATGAATTCTTCTGTATGTCTTTTCTCACAGCTGAGTACTCTCTTCCTGACCCCCTTGTGGAATGGGGAAAGGAGGCTGTGACATTGTGCTTGTGCAAACAATAATTGAGAGCTTTCCGAGTCTCCTGCATCTTCATAAATGATTTTTTGTTTTATGCTGGGACAGTAGTTCTTTAAATAGAATATTCTCCCATGGAAATCGCCCACAATGCTGAGAGTACACCTTGCAAAAGGTAAGTCTAGAATATAGGGTGCCTCCTCAGCATTGCCCAGAAGCTGAAGTTAGGACTCTCTAGAATACCAAAAACAAATTTATAGCAGTTCATTAATGTAAGGAATTATGAAAACTGTGTGCCACCATTATCCATAGATGAAACAAGAGCCACCACGCAAGCACAGACACAAAGCCCTGAAGATGAAGCCATTGACAGGGCTCTCATTTATTCTGTAGAAACCCACTTGCCTGTTTTTGAACCAGTTTTCTTTGGAGCATATGTCTCACTGTGCAACCAAAGTGGTGTTTATATCCTAGTCACTTGGCAAAAATTCTGTCATTGCTTCAGGGAGATCCATTTTAGGCCTGAAGCATGGAGCTGGTAATAGATGGGATTTGGTACTTCTGAAGAAAAGACCCTACTGCAAATTTAGAGAGTTAATTTTTTCTTTTGTTCCCCATAATATTGTTGCTAGATAGAACTACCTTTTTTGACTAGAAGTTAAATATAGAGGCCTAAATCAATTAGGTAACTCCCACTCATTCTAAATGAGAACATGTTTGTTTTTCTCCAACGAGATGAGAAATATTTGAGGCGCTTCCTGATATCTCTATCACCCACTGCATTTTTTCACTTGATGTATATTTCCCCATGTATTTGGGATAATTTTCAAATAATTGCCCTTTAGAAATCTACTTGATATTAAATGTAAAAAAAAAGCAAGATGCAAAATTATTATAGGATGCATTTACAGAAATTACAAAATTTCTATAAACTATTTATGGAGGAAGACTTATAGAGTATATGTCAACACATTGCTTTATTATTGTCCTTGGTTATGAGTATGGTTTTTTTGAAACCTGCTTTGTACTTTGGGTGTTTTCTCACCATTGGTACAATTGAGGCATTTTTCCCTCTTCTTCAACCTTGCAAATCACACGTGAGGATGCTCATAGAAGTGCCTCTCAGACAGGCTGTTGTTTTGCTTTCACCAATAAATCATTTATAATTAGAAGTAGAAAACTATTCTTTCCAGTGCAAATACATCCCTTTCAAAAGCAGTTCTCTTTTTGTGAATGATGTCTAGTGTCTAAGAAACGAGGGTAACCTTTATTATATGCATTGCTCTAATCGAAGCATTGTTTTTTGCGGTGAACTCAAGGTTACATGTTTAAGAAAAGCATCGGGTTAATTCCATTAGGAAAAGTGTCTTATTCATAAACCTTTAGCCACTGGAAAAACACCATTAGGAGGCCACACAAGTGTGTATAGCTGGATAGAATTTGACAACTGGCAAAACAAAACAATAGCCTACAATTGCAGAGTGCTGTCTGTTTAAAAACCAACATATCTTTCACCAACAAATACATATTCACCTCAACACGAGACTTTCATGTGGTTATTAATATCAAATTTTTGAATGTCCAAATTTTGGAGTGTAGTCTAGCAGAGGTAAACTGATTTGCCTAAGGTCCTTCAACTGTCAGAGGTAGAATTATTTTCTCTCTCCTGGCTCTAAAACCTGTCCAGATTCTCCTGCAACACTGTCCTTCAAAAACACACTTCCGCTGACTCCAGTGCTGGTGATGTCATGCTTTAGCTAGTAGTTAGAGGTGACTTAACTTTAAATATGGAATCTTTTTTTCCTATTAAGCAATGAGGTTTAGTTTGAAAATTCTTAGAGATGATAAACCCCTCTCCTTTTTTTCTTCCTTCTCCTCTTTTGTCCTGAACAATGTTCCATATATATTACTGCCAGAAACAGATTCTTGACATTCCTGTTATGCTTTTCCACATCTTGTAATCATTTCTACAGCTGTTAGCATTGCCAACAATTATATTTCCACTTTTAAAAAATTGTTACAAAGATGCAGAGAGAAAAGAGGAAAGCCAAGGAATAAACTACAGGCAATTATGGGATATTTTTGTGATGTGACATTTTGGGAACTGAGGCAGCATCACTGATACTGCACTACTTTTTAATATCTAGATTTTAATCTTTTGTATGAAGATAAAATTCACATGCCTTAAACCTGACCACAACATAATAGGGCATTTATTTTTCTAATTTTGATACCATCCACATTTCTTAACTATAAGAAGAATGCTTATGTTGTACCAGGTTATATGATGTTGCCAAGAAGTAGATGTGTACCATTTACTAATACATCCTTTTGGAAAATGCGTATTAATAACATATTAAGGAGTAAATTGACGTTGTGCAAAGTGAGCCTGTGAGTTTAAATGTATGGATTGTACACCTTGCTCTTCCTAATTGCAGATTTAACAGGATTTGATGACCTAATGAGTTTATTTCTGAATGATTTATATTTCTTTGTCAGTTCAATGATTTAGTATTTTAAATTTTTTTAAATCACATTTTATTGAGATAATGCTATTAGTGTTTCTTTCCCATCACTTAACAAAGTTAAGTCACTCCTCTCCCACCCCACTTTTGTACCTACCAATGTTTTTTTCACAGTTACAGGCTGATTGGCTTGACGTGTCTTAGGATACCACCCAAAGAGAGCTTCATTTTATAAATACCAAGCTCATTTTCCTAAATATTTTCAAAAAGATAGATTTATCCTCATATAGTAAATTCAGATTAATAATTTTGGAAAGGGTCATG
Source organism: Homo sapiens (assembly GCF_000001405.40). Classification (NCBI taxonomy): domain Eukaryota; kingdom Metazoa; phylum Chordata; class Mammalia; order Primates; family Hominidae; genus Homo; species Homo sapiens. The sequence continues at coordinate 49,293,681 of NC_000016.10, forward strand.
TGACCATGGTATTACATGGCTGTGGAAGACCCTCCAAGATCTTGTTTTGGGATAGAAGGACTCAGACATCCAAACTTTTAAATTAATGAACTTATTAAATTCTAAAACTTTGTAACAGTGTTAATTTGAGAAGTATAATATTTTGCTTAAGGTCTGTTTTGCTTTGCAAAATGCATCTCCTTCATTTTCATATTATGTTGGAAGCTTAGCATGAAAGAACGTGCCTCAGAGGAAACCATAGGTAAGCATACTTTAACAAAAGTTAGTGTCATCATGTTTGTGTCTTTGCCTGTGGTTTTTTAAATGTATAATGTTTAACGTTGATTTGGCTATCAAATTACATTTTCTTTTGTTAAAAAATTCTGTAAATTAGAAATGTACTGAATCATTTATTTAGCAGACTGAAGGTGGGTAATGTTGGCTGAACAGGTTTAAGCCACAGTAATTTGAAAATGTAAATACATAAAATAATGTCATTTCTCTTCCACTCAATGTTTCTTCACCAAATAAAGTCCAGCCTGCTCTGAATTTGTTGCCAGTAGGAACAATGTTACAGTGAATCATGGTTTAATATACCTTGAAAATGGCACATCTGTTCTGTGATAGCTTACCAATTTTAGCCTCTTTATAAAATACGAAGAGTTTGTCAACCAGAATAATCTAGAACCTGGCAATTCAAATACCATTCAAAGCAAATGTTTTATCTAATAACTGGAACTAAATGTTAGGCCTCATGACAGTTCAATATTTACTAAATAAGTTTAATAACAGGGTAAGCCCTCAGTATCCAGAGCAGAGACAAGCACACCATATTTACACATACAAATTCTGCCTTTAGCCATCTGAAAGGGCCCCGAACTATTGCAGCAAGCAAAGAGTCTTTGCATTGTCCTAAAATCCATACAATACTTTATATTTTACACATTTTAATAGCTAGTTTAACAAATAACAAGTACCATGCTTAATTCTCTGCATGCATTATTTCAACTAATTATTGGAATAATCTTATAAAGTGGGTACTTTCGTCTCAGCTTACAGGTGAGAAAACAAAAGTTAAATAGATCGCCCAGGGCTCTGCTGGAACGTGTTAAGCAGGGATTTCAGCCTGTCCAGTCAGACCCCAGAAGTTGTGTTCTTAACCATTAGCAACACATCATCCCAGGCAGGCCCTACATGAGCCTCATAACCAATTTTATGCTGGATAGTATTATCCCTATTTCACAGATGGCAAAACTGAGGTCCAGAGACTTTAAGTGACCTACCCAAAATTACAGTCATGAGCAGAGGCACTGGAATGTAGGGCCTTGACACTCTACCTCACGTGGTCCTCTTTCCTGTTTTGGGTAGTTCTCCACTACCACTACTCATTTCTGATGCTGGAAAGGCTGTGTTTTATACATTTCTGTTTCTGGCTTGGAACGAAACACTCTGGGTCTCTGCTTGATCAGTGTCCCCTCTAAACTGCACCTCACTACAGTAGGGATGGCATAAGATACTTCTTTACACAGCATCTTTTTGTTCCCACCTCACCCCCAGAGCTGTAATAGGTAGAGCCAGCCAAATGTCAAAGGGATGATTTGTCTTGTCACCACTAGTTTCCCTTTTCTCTGCCTTGTATGTAACAGGAATATTCTTTAGTTCCTCCTTATGTTCTAAAGCACCTCCCCAACCTAAAAATAGAAGAGGAGTTGTGGGTCATTTACACTTTAGTGTGAATTTGCCCTTGTGACTTTGCCAAGGCTGTTGTGCCTAACCCTTTCAATCTAACAGCAGAATGAGAGTCTCTGGACTATCCTGGCTCCTTCCCTGAGAAGAATGAACTGGGAATTGTTGGTCTAGACATCAAGACTACCAGAGACCTATTGCTCAGAGATGTTTGGGCTGTACAATTTCTGTAGATATGGCATCTGGAGCAGCCTTTTCTAAGCAATGGCATTATCATTCCAGGCTCTCTCGCTCTTTCCATCTCTCCACCAGGTGGACTCTTGCCCTCCACCCCTTCCAATTTGTCAGTGATTCAGAGAACATTCTCCATCCTTCCAATGATTACATTCCTTCATCTTGCTGGGGCGCCAATTCAGTGATGGAGCGGCTCTTGGGAGCAGCCTTGGCTTATAGTGCAGCTCTCTGCTACCTTCAACAGGCTGGTATTCGGGGTGCTTAGATGTGACTGGTTGTACGCACGTGTGTGTATGTGCATGTGTGTACAGCAGTAAGAGCTTTCGAGGTAGATACTTGAGGAAGCCTCAGACATCTAGCCCCATTACTGGGGCAATGTCTTACTTGGGTTTTTCCAGAAACAGACCTGGAGACCAGGATTCAAGTGCCAGTGGTATATTTGGGATGTGAACCCTGCAATGCTGGTAGGAGAGTGGAGAAGTGAGGCAAGGAAAGGAAGGCCGTCAAGGGGCGTGTTAGGAGGTCATTCACCACCGCAGGTAGCCCGCTGGGGACCTCTGGGAGCAAGTGTGGCGCACAAGCCTCAGCATTACTGCCCTGTGCCTTGAGGAGTAAGGGATAAGGATTTTCCCCACCAGTTCCCTGTAGTCCTTGGTGAGAGCTTCTGGGGTGGAGGTTAAGGTCTTTAGGTCAGAGAAATTTTCTTTAGTTTCGGAAAAATCTTTCAGGCCGAGGTCCAGACACTCACTGGAACACACTGAAGTGGTTAGGTCCAAGGGCTGTAGGCAGAGCTCCCATATCCATCTGCAGAGGTGTTTCAGGTGGAAGGAGTGGAGACAGCCTTCTCTGCTCCACACTGTCTTCAGCAAGGGTTTCTGTATCTGTGCATTGAGGATTAAATTATTCACATGGTCAGAGAAGCCCATCACCACTGATAGTTATTGTAGGTATGGAAAACTAACGACTAAGAAGGGAGAAAAATATACCAAGCAGTTGGCTTGGCTGAACACAAGTAAAGACTCTTACAGTCACTGGTGTGAACTGCTTATTATCAATGTCTGATTACAGTGCTGCATACTAATGATTATGCATGTCATTAAATGTGTCAGATTAACTTTGTTATAAAATTTATGACAACATTAAATTTTATTCACATGCTCAGCCTTCATAATTTATTGCTTATGTAGCATGGTTTTAACTTCAGAAAAACCTCCAAGACAGTGTTGTCTTGATGACTACACTGCTTATCCGTGAGTCTAGTTTTCCTGTTCATTTGAAATGTTCACATTACATTCAGCTCTGTCTCAAGCACTGAGACAGAGCTGGAATCAGTGCCCAGCGATTCCACTTGCCGAGTGATTGAGGCTGGGGGATTACTCCCCTCTCTTTGTGAATTCTCTTGCTGTGTGTTATTGATTAATTCAACCAACTCTTAGTTGACCCTAACCATGCAACATGTATTGTGCCAGGTGGTGTGGATTTAGAATATGGATTAGACCCTCATTCTGTCCTCAAGGAGTTCCTGGTCTAGTAGAGAATCACATCACTTTATAGTTGATTGTTCAAGAAGGAAGCTTGTTCAAACATGAATAAAAGACTGTGCATCTTCTGACTTTGTAGGTGTGGAATAACAAAGATCTGTTCCTTTATTGGGTTTCCAGAAAACATCTCCAAAGCTATACCAGTCATCATTTTGTGCTTTCAGAAATGAGTAACATTGTAGGATAGTACTTATTGCTTGTACTTAGCTTTGTGTGCTAGCTGAGCATTTGTAAATAGAAGGCATTCACGGGTAAAATGTGTTTCCTTTAGCCAAATGCACAATGGTAGTGCCTTTCTAGAATCCAAGCTAAAGATGTCGTCACATGCCACATCCACACACTTCTTAGCAAAAATCCAACTAGAAGAACTTTGCTATTTACAACAAAGGCAAATGCTGTCAAGAAGTAGGCTTAGTACCACAGGAAGCGGAGCCAAATGTGTTCTTGAAATTTATAAGTTGACCTGAAAATAATGTTTTGGGAAGCCATGGCTTGCCGTTGTCAGCTGTCAAAATTGAGCTTGGCAGGAGAAATCAGGGTCAGGAACAGAATAGAGATAGTCAAAAAGAGACAGAACAGAGAGAGGGCTACTGTTGTTTCTGGAGTCCAGTGACCACCCGGGTTCTAGTGTGGTACTGGCAGTGGACTAAATAAGTGGATCCACCCTAAGGTGGAGAGAAGGTTCATATGGAGATAATTTAAAGAGCTGACTTTTAGCCCTTCCAAAGAATTACATGTTCCTAACTGCCAACCTAGGAACATCCTGGATTAACTTGCAATTTAAGGCTGTGGTATACCTGTTTCAAATAAAATAGCCCTGTGAATAGCATGGAAGTCAAATGATATCAACTAGGTTTGAAACAACCTCCTTCTCTCTTTTGAATGGAGCAGTGATTAAACGCAAGACATCAGCTTAGAAAATGCATGTATTAGCAAACGCCTAAGATGAGGAAAGATCTGGGCATGCCCTGAAGCCAATGCAATTTTTCTTTCTCCACCCCAAACCTGTGCTACGTGATGAATTTACAGTATTAAAAACATTGCTGCCGCCTACTTCTTCCAGCTGGGACTTCAGGACCATCTTTGAATCCTCCTCGGCTCTCCACACCCAGCAGTGCAGCAACTCCTCATCTCTCTCTCTCTTTCTCTCTTTTTTTTTTTTTTATTTTTTTTGAGACAGAGTCTTGCTCTGTTGCCTAGGCTAGGGTGCAGTGGCACAATCTCGGCTCACTGCAACCTCCGCCTCCCAGGTTCAAGCGATTCTCCTGCCTCAGCCTCCTGAGTAGCTGGGACTACAGGCACGTGCCACCACACCTGACTAATTTTTTGTATTGTTAGTAGAGATGGGGTTTTACCATGTTAGGATGGTCTTGATCTCCTGACCTCGTGGATCTGCCCACCTCGGCCTCCCAAAGTGCTGGGACTACAGGCATGAGCCACTGTGCCTGTCCTACCCCTCACATCTCTTTAAATATTTTTCAAATATCTGCCTTCCTTTTCAATCTCATGGACTTGGTTGTGGTTATGGCCTCTTGTGAGAGGGTTTCTTGCTTCCATTTTTCTCCGGCTTCAGTCCATCTTCCAAACCCATGTCAGCGGCTTCTCCTGCTTGCACAGAAAATGAAGTTCAGACAGTTTGCATTTGAGCCTTGGCTCACTTTCCCAGCCTCACCTCCAGTGACCCCCTTCTCTGCCCTACCCCAGTCCTTCTTAGCCCATCTTTCTTCTCAGGACACACCAGGCAACTTCATGCCACCATTCCTTGCGTATGCTCTTCTCTTGGCCCAGCTCACTACCTCTCTGAAATGTTCCAAAACGCTTCCAGGCAGAATTAATCATTTTGTGTCTGTATTCCAAAAACCAGGGTTCCATTCTCTGTTTATCATGGTGATGATAGTTATTTACTTGTCACTCTTAGTTAGCTTTGTAACACCTAGCACAGTAACTGAAACAGTAGATGCTCAAACATGGATTTATTTTTAACTTAAAATGAGATGGGTATTTTAGGATGCCAGAATCTTTGGGTCAAAAAGATGTGGCTTAGTTTTCATGTCAGGAACGGCTCTTAGTTCAAGCAGTGAAACAACCCTGGCTCATTCAAACAGGAAGGGAAAAAATTCAAGGCTGTTGAGTTGCTCACAGGCTCTGAGGGGTTCATGGAGGCAGATGCTGGTGGCCTCAGCGGAAGGAGCAATACACAGACTCTCCACAGAGAACCCATTCTGCCACTGCTGCTGGGTGCAGAGTCTGGTTGCACCTACCACGCCCCAAGCCTGATGCCAGATTCTGCTGCTCCCTCTGGAAACTGATGTCGCTCCCAGTGCAGCTGCCACCCCAGCCCAAATGGATTCCCTGCAGCCCCTCCTTAGCCCATGTCATGCCAAGAGTCAGTGCCATCTGATTGGCTGAGCCTGGATCACATGCCCAAGCCCTAGCTGCAAGAGAGGCTGGGAAAGCAAGCATCTGGCTTCTGTGGAGTTGTTGGTCTCTGCCCCCCATCAAGACTCATGAGGTGGCTGGGCACGGGCATGGTGGCTCACACCTGTAATCCCAGCACTTTGCGGGGCTGAAACAAGGGGATCACTTGAGGCCAGGAGTTTAAGACCAGCCTGGGCAACAAAGTGAGACCCCCATCTCTATAGAAAGAATAAAAAGAAAAAAAACTTAGGCATGGTGGTGTGCACCTGTGGTCCCAGCTACTGGGGAGGCTGAAGCAGGAGGATCACTTGAGCCCAGGATGTTGAGGCTGCAGTGAGCTGTGATGGTGCCACTGCACTCCAGCCTGGGCAACAGAGTGAGATCCTGTTCCCACCCCACCAATAAATTCATGCATACATACATATACTCTTGAGGCGGGAAATCCCCAGATTCAGCTCAGATGCTGGGGTGACAGAAGGTGCAAAAAGAGTGACAGATGTCCACTAGAACTTTCTTTCAGAACACCAGAACCCTGGTTAAGAGCTTCCTTTGATGGTATGTCCGAGACTTAGCAGGAAAAGCATGGCATGCTCAAATTGAGTAACTTGAGAATTGAATAAAGGGAACATTTACAAAGGATGGGCAGGATGCAGGGAAGCCACCAGGAACAGCTGCACTCCAAGGCCAGTAACACTGGGGAGCTTTTACCACCCCAGGCCTGAAGGGGCAAGGAGTGGGGCAGTTACCAGACCTGGAGACAGACACAGGGTTGTGTGTGTGGAGAGGTCCCTGGCAGGAGCCAAGACTGCATTAGAAAGACACAGCCAGCCCTGGGCAATTCCTCGGTAGGGAGTAAGTGCTCCAATTCCCCCTTCCTTCCCTATGGTCCCCTGCTGAGGCTTCCCACAAGCCCCATGCGGAAGCCAGAGGGCCAGGGAGCCCCACTTCTCAAAATGAGCAGAGTATGTTGAAGAAGGGCAGAGAGTGGATCCGGAGGAACAAGTAGAAGACAGGCTGCCCATGAGGCTTCATCATATGTCACCAACATTTTTCTATTCATTTTATTCAATATCTACTTTGGGGATGTCACTTCACATTTTAAGTACCTGAGCCCACAAGATCGATGTGATCTTAAAGTGTCCTTCTCCTATTGAATTTAACAAGCTGCTATTTTCCCCTCGTTTGCTATTCAGAATGCTCTATCATATGGTTCAACAATTTGTACTATTAAAGGTTAGCAAATGCCAGCCAAAAATTCATTTTTTTCCTTCCTGGGCTTGGGAAAAGAGGATGTGACATGTGACCTGCACAAACACAATGTCAAGAATCTCCCTTTACAAGTCTCCATGTAGAAATCCTCTCTAGGATTTGTGTCAGCACACGAGATCTCCTGCTGCTCATCTCTGCCTCCTCTTCATTAATATCTAGCCTCCTAAATAACGCAGATAGAAGAATGGTCATAAAATTGAGCCCTACACAATTACCAGTAGCTATAGGCCTCCCCAAGGATTCAGGCACTGTAACCCTGATTCTTTCAAAGCATCTGGTAACTTGTGCTAGAATAACCATTTACTTTGGAAAAGCATACCAAGGAGAAAGCTTCATCCTTTGTCTTTGCATAGATGGTGGGTTCCTTTACAGAATATGGAAACTGATTGTTTTCCCATAAACCTCAACTAGGAGAATGAGGTAATCATGTGTTATTTAGATAAAAGAATGTTCACCTTTCTTTTTTACAAAAATTATGGTAATAGAATTATTTTTTAAATGCAAATGATGGAGAAGTACACAGCAAAGGGCAAAAGTCACCCTTTCTGTGTGCCCACTTCCCTTGGTCCCCCCTCAATATTAACAATATGCCAGAAAAAGCAAGATTGTTCTAACCACATGATTACAAGCTGTGTCCTCAGGGACTGCTGAGGATGTGGTCTTGGAACAGTATGTACTCTACTTCTCCTTCAAGGTCCAGGCAGCCCTTGGGTCTTCAAGCCCAAGACAGAAAGTTCACTTTGTATCTCACTCTGGGAGAACAACACCCATTTGCAAAGCTGTAAACTTGGGTGGTGTATCATGACAGCCACTCGCAGGGGACTCTAGAGGCACTTCTATCTATTTACTTAAGTGTTAATTGTACATTTCTGATTTACCACTGTCCTACCAAAACAGGAATTTGCTTTCTTATTTTTTTTAAAAAAAAGGATGGAGGAATCAACTAACAATAAATATCTGAAATTCCTAGGTATGATTTTTGGCATTTGTAGCCATCAATTGTTTGCCAGGAGCAGAATGTGTATGCTTTTGTTAGAGTGTCATGAAATGAATATAACTGATATTTAATGTGAACATAAGAAATACTTGTTTCCCTGGCTAACACGGTGAAACCCCGTCTCTACTAAAAATACAAAAAAATTAGCCAGGCGTGGTGGTGTGTGCCTGTAGTCTCAGCTACTTGGGAGGCTGAGGCAGGAGAATGGCATGAACTCAGGAGGCGGAGCTTGCGGTGAACCGAGATCGCGCCACTGGACTCCAGCCTGGGCGACAGAGTGAGACTCCATTTCAAAAAAAAAAAAAAAGAAATGCTTGTTTCCAGTATTACACCAAACACATAGAGTTTTCTATATGGATTTTAGGGATGTGTTGCAAGGATTTTGAAAGCTGCCTCTCTGTGCTTTGTCCTTCAGGAAGAAATCCCTGACCTGGCTCACCCTGGCTCTTCTCCTCTCTTGACTCCTAGATCACATGGTGTCAGTATCCCTCATAATAGCCTGTACTCATCTGATCCCAAGTACTGTAAATGAGCTGGCTTTTGCGTACCAGGCTCATCTTAGCAGATTCCAAGTTCCTGGAGGGCAAGGAATTTGTTCCAGGATGACACATAGCCATTTGACTGAGTTCTTCCATCCTTCTTTTCCATAGCTTTCCTACAAGACCCTAAACCTTTGTCTCCATTACAACTATGGCAAATATCCATGCTGGATGAATACAAATGCCTACCCTTGGCAGCTGTCTCCTTCACCCATAGCCTATTCACCACAGATGTTACCTCCTTAAAAAACACATGCACACACATACACTATGGAATGAATCCATCTACTTCTTTATATCTTCATTGCCACAACTTTATCCAACCACTGTCATCTCTCCTAGGTCACTGTAGTAGCCTTCCAGTTGGTTTCCCATCATCCATTCTGAAGGGCTTCCATCAGTTCTTTACACAGCAGAGTTACATTTTTAAAATGCAAACCTGATCGTATCACTCCTTACTTAAAATTGTTCAATAGCTTCCTATTTACCATTCAGGAAAGACAACACTTTTCCTACAGCATAGAAGGTCTTGCATGGGCTGACCCCACTTGCCTCTCCAGCTCGTCTTATTTATAAGCTCCCCTTTGTCTCTGACCCCCAGTCCAATCGGCCTTCTTCCAATTCTTCGCTACTTTCCCCTGTCCCTGAGCTCTTGCACATGCTAAGTCTCTGCCTGGAAGGCTCTTCCAATCCCCTTCACTTAGTAGAATCTCCTATTCATCATTCTCTGTTAAATCAACACTTTATGAGTGAAACCTTCCTTAAGGTCCCTTGTGTGTGGATAACTTTGCCATGCACCTGTCCTTAAGATTTCCACAGTTGGTAATTAAGCAATTATTTTTTGAGCATTTGTTTAATGTCTATCCTAGAAGACTGAGGTCTGTGAGGGCATATGTCAAATCCATTGTATTCAGATCCAGTTTTTATTCATCATTATGTCTGCCGTACCACATCTGGCATATAGTAAACTCTTTCATAAATACTCTCTTAAAATACAGAAAGAGGTCAGGTGTGGTGGCTCATGCCTTTAATCCCAGCACTTTGGGAGGCCAAGGCAGGAGGATAACTTGAGGCCAGTAGTTCAGGACCAGCCTAGGCAAAATAGCGAGACCCTGTTTCTACAGAAAATACAAAAATTAGCCTGTCGTGGTCCCAGCTACTTGGGAGGCTGAGGCGGGAGGATCACTTGAACCCAGGAGTACTTGGCTGCAGGGAGCTATGATCAAGACACTGCACTCCAGCCTGGGTAACAGAGCGATACTTCATCTCTTAAAAATAAAATCATAAATAAAATATAAAAAAATAAAATACATAAAGAGGGGAAAGAAGGAAAGGAGGGAACAGAAAGTAGGAACAGAGTAAAGAAGGTGGGAAGGAAGTTGAAAGATTGTTAAAACACCAGTTCAGGTGCCTACTTTTAAAACTACTCAAGTGCTTCCACACTTACTACTTAAAATTGCTTCTTTGTTGTTGCCGTTTTGCTGTGGAATTTGCTAAAATCAGTTTCTTTTAATATCTTCCTTTGGACTACATGCTGTGTATAAAAATAAATGTTTGTCATGTAGATCCTCTTATTCAGCCTGATTCAAATACCCAGCTGCCTGCTGGATACCTCCACCTGGATTTCCCACCAACCAACATGTGCAATACTTAACTCATTGTATCCCTTTCCCTCAAAACTCTGATCTCCTTCTCATTGCAATATCCTCGTTAATGACGTTAATGACTTTACATCCCACCAGGAGCTAGATTCCTTGCTTGCTGACTGGACATCCAGTCAATCACCAAATCCCACTGATTTGCCCAACAAATACCTTGCCTACCTCTGTATTCCTGCTGCCATCTTGCTAGTGCAGTCACTTATTTTGTCTCACCTGAAGGATTGCAGTAATCTAATTGGCCTCTGAGTTCCAAATTCAGGAACCTCCAGCCCAACCTCCCCTGAATTGCCCCCAGAGTTCTTTCTTGAATGTGCAAATCTTATCATGTCAGTTTCTATAGATAATTCCTCAATGACTGGCTATTGCCCTTGGATTAACAGGGAAACATAACATGGCATTCAAGGCATTTTGTCCCTCATCCTGTGTCTTGCTCTCCAGCCTTGTATCTCATTGCTTCTTGAACTCCAGTCACATGGAGCTGCTTGCCCTCTCTGCACCAACCACATGGTGCTGATAGACACCACCATGCATTTATACATCATGCTCGCCTGGCCTGGAATGCCTCCACCCCAGCCGATCTGGCAGACTTCTCATCCTTCAAGTTCAAATGAAGTTACTCTCTTTGTACTTGCTTTGTTCCTTGTGACAGGAATGGGGCAGGAAGTCTGGTTAGAGGTTACTGATACGATCCAGCTGAGACTAGGGTAGTAGCTGGGGAAAGGGAGTGGAGAAGGCCTGAGACATGCTCTAAATGTAGAGTTTTCAGGACCTGCCGATGGATTGGATGTGGGGGTGAGAGGAGGGGAGGGATCCAGGAGGAATCCTAATCAGAGTAGGCAGCTACCACAGCAGGAACAAAATTATAAGGAAAAAGAATTACATACCCGTTATCCACTTCAACAGCTATCAACTCCTGAATCAATTTTTTTCCCTTTATAATCTTACCTGCCTCTTTGCCCTGCCCACCTTTACACACATAATAGATTATTTGGAAACAAATCCCAGACATTTCATAATTTCATCTGTAAATATTCCAACCGCATCTCAGAAATAAAAAGGCTCTTTCAAAAACATAACCATAGGCTGGGCATGGTGGCTCAAGCCTGTAATTCCAGCACTTTGGGAGGCCGAGGCAGGTGGATCACCTGAGGTCAGGAGTTCGAGGCCAGCCTGACCAACATGGTGAAACCTTGTCTCTACTAAAAAATATAAAATGTTAGCTGGGCATGGTGGTAGGCGCCTGTAATCCCAGCTACTCAGGAGGCTGAGGCAGGAAAATCGCTTGAACCCGGGAGGCAGAGGTTGTGGTGAGCCAAGATCGCACCACTGCACTCCAGCCTGGGAGACAAAGCTAGACACTGACTCAAAAAAAAAAAAAAAAAAAACCACACACACACACACACACACACACACAAAACAAAACATAGCCCAAACATAACCATATAATATCACTCCTAAAAACATTAATGAAGAAAGAACAAATGAAAAATTAATATTAGGACTTCATATCACCAGGTATACATTTAGTGTTTACAGTTTCCTGTTTGTCTTATTTTTTTCAACTATTTTATCTCTTTGTTGTTTGTTTGAATTGGGATCTAAATTGTCCTTGTATATTGATTCATTGCTGTGTTCCTTAAGTCTCTTTTAACCTCCCATCATGTCTCTCTTCTCTCCCTTCCCTTCCCTTCCTGCCCCTCCCTTCCTCTCCCTGTTTCTCCCCTCCCCTCACCTCCCCCTTCCCCCCTCCCCTCCCCTCCCCTCCTCTCCTCTCCCCTCTCCTCCTTCCCTTCCCTTCTTTTTTCTCCCCCACTTTTTTTCCTATTTTGTTGTTTTCATTGGCATTGTTGCTGTGTTAAAGAAACCTGGATGTTTGTTTTATAAAATATCAGAAATTCTCTGATTGCTTCTTTATGGTGCTGTTTAACCTGTCCCTGTGTCTCCTCTATTTCCTATGAATTGGCTTTATAAGACACAGGGGTTTTATTGTTTTGTTGCCTTTAGAAGGGGACAGCAAGATTGTTTCATTGATTATGTTTTATACCTCCATCAGCAAGTTCATAATGTCTTGTAATCTCTATTTTTGTGGCATTAACAGCTATTGATGATTATTGCCTATATCTGTTCATTTATTACAGGTTGCAAAAATGGCAATCTGTAATAAATATTCTCATTCTATTATTTTTCTCTTCATGTGTCAACTTAAATATTCTGTAAAGAGAAAATTTTCCCCTTCCCCCATTTGGCTACCATGGGGTAAAGTTTATACGGAATAGGTAGGATATGTGCTTTATTCTTCCCTGTGCATACCAGTTTTCAAATAATGAGGTGTTTCCTGGCATCTTCCAAAGGTGTGCTTGTTACTGTTATAATTAATGTTATTAAGAGTTTATGTGTTAAATATGTTTTATATGGTGATTGCAGTTATTGTATTTTACAATATTTAAATTGTTCAATCTTTGACCAGTGGAAGCCTGATCAAGTCAGCTCTGGACTACTTTTGACATGGCCCTAATTGTCTTTGATAGCTTCCTTGCTTTCTGGTATGTTCCAGGTTCAACTTATATATATCCTACCCTATACCTGGAATCAGCCATTTCTCTTAGGATTCCTGGTTCCTTTTAATGGGAAATATTATTTACAGACCACATTCTGAGCAGTAAGTGTGCTCATTGCTTCTGGGCTGGTTATTATTTACAGTGGACAAAGATAGAAAACACAAGTTTTTAAACAAAAATGATTAATCCATTCTGATATGTTCAATTCAAATTCAGGACAATCATGTTTTTACTTTACTTCATGGACCTCATACCCACATTCTCCCTTCTCCTATGCTGAAAATCCCAATTCTAAATAATTCCAATGTAATTACTAATTTGCTATATCCCACACAACACACAATCAGCCTCAGAGTAATTATACAAAAACTGTGATAACAATATGGCTAATGAAAACATTTCAATTTTTTTTCTCTTTGTCCTTCAGATATATCCCACTAAGGATGTACAGTCAAATTATTGTGTTATAGAATTACTTGGAATCATTCCTCTGTGTGTACCTATACTACCAACTGTTTATATAGTTAGGTTCACTTGCTTTATTTTGCTTTAAATTTTTAATAATTCATCTTTAAATTAAATTTAATTTATCGTTATAAAAATATTTGCATGATTGCAAAGTCAAAATGACAAAACAAGAGCTATTCAAAGTCCAGCATCCCCTCATTTCCCTCTCTTTTCCTATAAATAACCATTTAAATATATGATTTATCCTTTCCCTTTTTATATAAGAAAATGGGTTGACATATTTTTCTCCACTGTGTCATTCTTACTTGGTATATCCTGCCCGGTGATGACCTCATGGTGACAAATACAAGTCTCTGTATTGGGCTTCTGGCTCTAAGTACCAAATAAGGACAGCCAACGAGTGTTTAATAGGAACCTGCAGATTCTCACTCCTCTCTCTCATATGCCACAGCTGGTCTGTCAGGATATAACTTCAACTCCAAATTCTGACCCCTTCTTACCACCTCACTGCCACCATCATGGCCCAGGGACATCACCTGCTGCTGGGATTATCACAGTGGCCTCCTCACTGTTGTCCCTGTGTCCCCCGCTCTGTGCCCTGTGTTTTGTTCTCAATACAGCAGCCATCAGGCCCAGGAGAACAAGGATTTTCTCATGGTGACCAGAGCATTCCTTCTTCCTCCACCATGTCCCGATGGCTCTGGAAGTAAGAGATGACAAGGGCCATGTGGTACTTCCTTTCATCAGGTAGACAGCCGACAGATATAATAAGCGCTTGCAGTTTATATAATGTTTATTATGTTAATATAAGCTTTGCATATATCAATTAAGTCCTTTAATCCCTACAGCAACCCAGTGAGGATGGCTTCACAATTTTCCTATTATTAGAGACGAAGCCATTGAGACACAGATGGATTTCAAAATTGCTTACAACCAGGTAGTTCACAAGTGGTAGGGTTGGGATCAGGATCCAGGGAGTCTGGCTCTAGAGTCCATGCTTTAAGCCAATGCTGTCCAATAGAACTTTCAGTGATGAAGGAAATATTCCATATCTGTGCTGTCCAATCTGGTAATCTCTAGCCACAAATGGCTATTGAGGACTTGACATGTGGCTAGTTTGACTGAGGAACTGAGGAACTTTTTTTTTTGAAACAGAGTTTTGCTCTGTTGCCCAGGCTGGAGTGCAGTGGTGCTATCTCGGCTGACTGCAACCTCTGCCTCCCGGGCTCAAGTGATTCTCATGCCTCAGCCTCCCAAGTAGCTGAGATTACAGGTGTGCGCCACCATCCCTGGCTACTTTTTTATTTTATTTTATTTTATTTTATTTTATTTTATTTTATTTTATTTTATTTTATTTTTTGTATTTTTAGTAGAGACAGGGTTGCACCCTGTTGGCCAGGCTGGTCTTGAGCTCCCAGCCTCAAGTTTATCTGCCTGCCTTGGCCTCCCAAAGTGCTGGGATTATAGGTGTGAGCCACTGCACCTGACCAGGAACTCAGTTTTTAATTGTATTTAGTTTTAATTCATTTTTATTTAAATGAGAACACATTGTTACATGTATTAGACAGCTCAGCTCTAAACCACTATACTATTGTGCTTTTTATATATGACCAGAAGAGTGGCACAGAGTTATTTAACTCTTATTTGCAACTGTTATTTAAAACCAAAGATACAACATCTTTATGGGATTCCAGCTGCCACCTGTGAATTTGAAGTCTTCTAAACAATGTCATCCATAATCTATGAAACATATGCCTCTGTAATGTCAAAGCTCTGTTAGACCAAAAACAGTTATCCAAATACATTATGTTCCTTTTTATTGAAGGAAATGGAGGACCAAAGTGTTCTGACTCTCATTTGT
The DNA here is from genome assembly GCF_000001405.40 of Homo sapiens. Lineage (NCBI taxonomy): Eukaryota > Metazoa > Chordata > Mammalia > Primates > Hominidae > Homo > Homo sapiens. The sequence goes on from NC_000016.10 coordinate 49,308,892, forward strand.
CCTTACTTAAGAGCATAATTGTGTAAGATAAAAATAAAGAAAAGCTAATCACAAGAGGTAGATCATGACATTGCAGATTTAGTTGAAATTTACAAGTTATATTTCTATTGATTTTTTCATTGTATTTTTTTATTTTGGAAAATTGAAAATGTATAAAACTATTTTAAAAAAGAAGAGGAAAGAAAAATCCAAGAAATCTTCACCAACAGGAATTAATCACTGGCATATTTGAGTCAGTCTTTTTTCCTATGTATATAATATTTTTAAAACTGTATGGATTAATTCTTCCCTTTTTCTAAAAGAAAAAGCACATTATTGACTTAACCCTCCCCCACCTTGTCTATCACATTAATCACAGTAACTCTCCTTAGTCTCCAGAAATAGACACTGTTCTGAACTTGGTGTGTATGCTTTCAGCCCATTTTGTAAACTTTTACATGTATATTCACATATCCTTAGAAACACATAATATTGTTGATGTGGGAATTTTTAAAAAACATTTATATAAATGATATCACACTGTATGTTGTTCTGCAACTTCTTTCCACTCGTCATTTTTGAGCTGTGCGCATTTTGATAATTTACATCTAGAGTCATTCTATAACTATTATATCCTAGGAACACACCACAGATTATTCATTTCTTGCTGGTGGATATTTAGGTTTTGTCAGTTTTTCATTATTTCAAATTATGTTGCAGTGAACGTCCTTGTACATATCCCCCAGTGCATCTGTGCAAATATTTCTCTGTGCAGATAATTTTAAGATTATAGAATTCACTCATCTTCAATATTACTAGGTCCTTCCAAAGTACCTCCAACTTGGCTATGATGTAGACTCCCACCAGCAGCATATGAAAGCACTCATTTCCCCATACTTACACCAACATCTGATACCGACCAACTTAAACATTTTGCACATTTGAAGTAAGTAGCTTATTGTGGTTCTATTTTGAGTTTCTGTAATTGCTAGTGACGTTCAACATCCTTCCATGTTGATTGGCCATTTGAATTTCCTTTTCTGTGAAATCCTTGAACCTATTATTTATGCTTCTTTGTTTTGAGTTGCTTATCTTACTGACTTGTAGGAGTTGTTCATCATTTCTGGTTAACAGTCTTCTCTTACTAGGCATGTTGCAAATATTTACTCCCTATGTATAGCTTGTCTTTTAACCTTTTTATGATGTATTTTGTCATGCAGAAGTTTTAAGTTTTAGATTTAATGATGGCTTCTAACAGGCTTCTCTCATTCTTGTTGAACTGGTTACAAGCCTTGTTAAATCTTCATGTGTTAAATTCTAGGAAAAGAGAGGAGATTCGTGTGTGACTTGCTGATTTATTGGCTGATTGCCATTTCTCAGAGAAAAATATTTTCTTGTGCATATTTATAGCATTTCCTTAAGGAGCAAAGTCCATTTTTATATCATTGTGAATGTTTTGTTTTGGTGGTAATGATTTTTTGATATCTAATAATAAAATGTTGACAGTGGTAAAATCCTTGTGATAGCTTATAAAGCAAGAATTGATTTTGCTCTTCATTGCACACTCTTTGAAAGTGTATATTCATGGCTCTTTTTCCTGGATTTTTCTAGTTATTTTGATCTGCTATCTATAATTATACTGAAAATGAATTTCATATGTTTAAAAATTATTTTAGATATCATCTGTCTTCAGGCAGAAGTCATAGCAGACTGGAGGCAGTCTACCAGCTTTAAATCCCAGCTCTCCCACCTATTATCTGGAAACCTTAGGCAAACCACTTTAATTTTTTGCTTCTCAGTTTCTTAATCTGCAAAATGGGGTACCTGTAAAATAACAGTGCAAGTGTCATGGGACTTCTGTGAAGATTAACTGAGTGGTAACACTTCAGAGGGTCCTGGAGCAGTGCTTGGCATAGAGAAAACATTCTACAGGGCCCAGCAGTCATTGTCCCTCAACTACCTTAAGATTCATACAAATGAGGAGAAACACTGTAGATTTAGTGCTCTCTGGAAAGTATATTCAAGTCAAAGAGCAGCTGACGTCTCTAATTGTCATTTCATATGCCGTTAGTGACACCGAAAAATAGACCAATACAGACAATGACGAGCACAACTGATCTATATGAAACTATCATTTATAGATTCTCCATCACACACTTTCAGCCACCCAAGCTCAGTGCTTTCTTACTCCAAACACTTAAAAAACAAGTTAAAAACAGACAAAAAAACTCACAAAAGATATGTCCTTGAACCACAGCTCCAAAAGTCTGGCCCATCACAAGTGTGATGGTAGAGTTATCAGGGTCAGAATGTGTTTGGCCCCACCTGCCCCAGGAGTCCGCGAAGCTCCGTGAAGGCAAAGGCCATGTCCATGCCAACCACATGTTGGTGGAATTCAGTCATTTCTAGGTGCTTAGCGTCAGGTGGGTGCCGCCTTCATTCTTTGTTTTAACTGACAAATAATTGTGTATTTGTGGGGCACAATGTGATGTTTTGATGTATGTGTGCAATGTGGAATGATTGATCAAATCATGCTAACAAATCCATCACCTCACATACTTATCTTTTTTTGTGGTGACAACACTTGAAGTCTCCCCTTTTAACAATTTGGAAATATACAATGCATTATTACTTATTCTAGTCACCATTCTGTGCAATAGCTCAGTAAAGTTTATTCCTCCTGTCTAACTAAAATTTTGCACCCTCATCTCTCACCTTTTTCCCTCCAACCCCCTTTCCCAGCCTCTGGGAACCACCATTGTACCCTCTGCTTCTGTGAGCTTGATGTTTCAGATTCCACATGTGAGAATCACAAGTTAGATCATGTGGCATTTGTCCTGTGCCAGGCTTATTTCATTTAGTGTAATGTCCTCCAAGTTCATCTCTGTTGTCAAAAATAACAGAATTTCCTTCTTTTTAAAGGCTGAATAGTACTCCGTCTTGTACACGCACGTTTTCTTTATACATTCATCCAATGACGAACACCTCGGTTGCTTCCATAACTCAGCACTGTGAATTCTGCAGTGAACACGGAAGTGCAAATATCTCTGTGGCACACTGAGTTCAGCTCCTTTGGATCTCTACCCAGAAGTGGGATTGCTGGGCCCCATGGTAGTTCTATTTTTAGTTTTCTGAGAAACTTCCATGTTGTTTTCCATCACGGCTGTGCTAATTTACCTTCCTACCAACAGTGCACAAGGGTTCCCTTTTCTCCACAGCCATGCTAACACTTGTCTTCCATCTTTTTTTATAATAGCCATTTTAACAGGTATGAAAGAAAGGGGCCCCTTTGTTCTTTCCAAACGTTTTTCATGTGCTCTGTCCCCAGCCCCTGGCTGGCTGGATGCCGGGATCAGGGTGTGTGAATGCCCTTCCACAGCTTCCCAGGAGTGCTGGGCTCAGGGTGGGAAGAGCTGAGTTTGAGGCCCGGTCCCTTACTAACGAACAATAATTAATATAACCTCTCTGGCTTTAGGGAGTCTAGGGGACATGTGGTCATCAAAGATTGAGTGAAATTAACATGTGAAATGATGTAACAATGTGGGACTTTAAATAGTGAAAGCGGAATTTCACCAGAAATTACTTTGATGGCCACAACTAGATGTTAAAATGAAAGCTGACGCATACTTATGACAGAACATGAGCCACATTATTTTATTTCTGCATTTCTGCACTCTCTCCTTACTTTGGTAAATCATTTTGAAACAAGCACCCCCCACCCTGCAGCTCTTCCATTCATGAATGATGCAATATTGAGCTGTGATATTTTCAGAAGTGTTTGCTAAGCATTGGCAGCTTAACTAAAAGCATCCTCTCTATTTTGCTCTTGGATCACTGCTCTCACCTGTTAACCCCCAGCAGAAAATCTGCCTGCTGAACAATAGCTTGCAAACGCAGCGTGGCACTCGGTGCCGGTGCCGGCATAAAGGAGTCAGCGAGCAGGGCGTTGGGTCAGCTTGCTGTTGAGGGCAGGCTGTTTTTGTTGGCACATCCCTTTTGTGAAGGATGTAGTCCTTGTTCTACCATCTGTACCAGGCTGCACACCATCTATTTATTTGCTATCCTTGAACTAACGGGGTATTTTCCCCCAGCCATAAATGGGTTGGTGTGAGAGAAGCTTCTCCTGCTGAGGGACTCACTTCTGCACCGCATCCTCTTTGTTAATCTTCTGCAAAATAAGGCAGTTTTCTGTTGAAGAGAAAGCAATCATCAATTTTTCATAAGAGCAGCAAAGTTGTGAATATCAGAGGACCTCTTGAATAAAGAGCTTAGAGGTTCCAGTGAGAGACGAATAACAAAGCCCTGGGGGGAAGAAAAAAGTATATCCTTTTTTATACTATTTATCATCAACTCCCCCCTCCACGCCCCTGCCCCCCCATCATCCGCAGTTAGGAAGGAAGAAGCCATTTATGCAAGCTAACAGTCCTTCAAACCTCATGAACCTTAATTTTAATCCTTATCAGTGCCTTTTTAAATGAATAATACAGTGACCTTCAGCTTTGTCCTATATTATGTGAGGTTGATTCGTAAAGACTGCTTTAGTTTTTTAAATTAAGGCAGAAGCTATATGTATTCTACTCAATTCTAGCATTAGTGCTGTCCCAAGAGTGGCATTTATGTTCTTTTGCTTCTTTGGTATAAATAAATATCAAAGTAGGAAGACCAGTGTGAATTCTACAAGGAATAATAAACTAAAATAATATGGCATTGATTTTGTTCAGGATGTCTAAGTGTGTTTTTATGATTGTGTATTTTTATAGCTTTTTCACACAAGTGACATGAATTCTGGGCAATTAAAAAGGACATGAATTTCAAGGCATTTAGGAAGAGAATCTGTTTTCTAATAGCTGTGTCTTTTACCAAGTTGTGGTTTTTGAGAAAAGCATTGTCGATTTCAGACCTCCACCTTCAGAAACTGGCCAGTTATTGCCATTTTGTATTGTTTTACAATATTATTGCCATGAGACTACATTAGAGAACTTTGTTTTGGCTGCTAAAGTGCAATATGTGGATATAACAATCTAATAAAGAAGCAGAGAAAGATTCCTTTACACTGCATGTGTATTATCTTTTTGAGTTTCTTCTGACCAAGGGTTCTTAGACTGTAGCTTTGAGTCTTATTAGTGAGGTCTCAACCCTTCCTACTGTTGAGGGAGGCATGGGCCCCAGGAGCGTGTGAGCCTTGGACAGTCACAGAGACAATTCGTTTACAAATGGGAGGGGAGCCCAACGTGGATGGCTTTCCACATGATGAATTTATGACAACTCATGTTGTCACAAATTTCAGTAAACTAACAGTAGCAGATCCTATGCTGCTGGGCTAACTTCTCTATCCCCTTCTCTCAGTCCTTCTTAGATCATTAGTGTTATTTTTTTATCAACTTTTTGTTGCATTATATAAATTACTCAAGTATTACTTAAATTACTCAAGTAATACATAAATATCAGCAACTTGAAAAAATTAAAACATTATAGATAAGTTAAAAATCACCTTGGACCTCTACCACCATACAAGTTCCTATTCCCCCTCCTCTCCTCAATACCCTCCACCTTCCCAGTAACAATTACCAGTTTAGTCTGAATCCTCTGAAATATTTTTTGTATATTTAAGCACAGTGCTGTGAATCTATAGCACTAAGCAACTAGATAGCATTGTTTTTTAAAGGCTTTTTCCCCTATATAGGCATAACATTGAATGTGTCTGCAGCTGGCTTTTTACTAATATTTCTTTAAGATCTTTCCATGTTAATTCATATAGATCTACCTCATTGTTTCATAATATTTCATGTTGTGCCTATGCTGTAATTTATGTAGCTTTTCTCCTATTCAGGGGCATTTGTGTTCCAATTTTTCTCTATTAAAAATGCCACTGTGGTGCGTGACTTCTTATGCACATGAGTGCCTCTCTAGGTTTATACCTACAGATGGAATTTCTGGGTTACAGAATGTGCACATTTTAGATAGGGTCAAATCGCTCTCCAAAATGGAGTTAATGTACATTTCTCTTATTACTAATGAGATCGAACCACTTGTCATATGTTTATTGGCTATTGGTATTTCCTCCCTATTATTTGCTTATTCAAACACTTTGACCATTTTTCTATTGGGTTATTAATTTGTCTAATTACTTTGTAGGAGTTATGTGTGTATGCATGTGTATATATACATACACACATATATATATACACATATACACACTGTATTGTGATCCTGTATCTGTTACATATGTCAGTCTCCCAGACTTTGGCCTGTCTTTTCAATTTGTTTATGGTGTCTTTTGTCACCATTGTTTTTGACCTAGATTTATATTTTTCAATCTTATTCTTTTTTTCTCCGAATTTCCTTGTAAATATGCTGTAATTATCATTGTAAACTTATTATACATTGCTTATTAGAGAAATAACCAGATTCATTTGGGGTTTGAAGCTGAGACTCTGTGCTGACTCCTTGCTGTCCATCCCTCAGTTGTAGGGGAGCCTCATGTGGGGAGGGTGTGGTCATAGCTACTGAAATCCATTTCCAGCAAACTAGGATGATAAAGCAGCTTTGGTGTGAATGTTTTCTTTCACAAATGTATGTGGATTGAAGGTTTGAAGTTTGAGGCAACATATATGTGGAGAGGGTGAGCGCATTCATTATATGTGGGAGGGTTTTTTCATTTTTATTTTTTGGGTTTTTTTTTTTTTCTGGTGTAATTGGGAAGGAAAAGAAACAGCTCAGCACTTTCCCTGCCATCTACTTTTCAGAAACTATGGGCCCACAACTCCCAAGGCTGTATTCTAGGTTTTATTGTATACTTCAAATTGGGATATATCTCAAAACAGTTGCATTTAATTGGGAGATTATTAAAAAGCATGAGCAAATTCAGAGTTTCTTGCCCAGAAAATGCTGCCAATGTCCAACCTAAATGAGGACATTCTTCCCTTCCTGTTTCACAGTCCTGCCAGGAGCCATATGAAGAAGGCAAGCCAGTACAGATGATGGGTACACCGGGGCTCAGACTTCACCACTATGCAATATACACACATAAGCAATCTGCACTTGCACCCCCTAAATATACACATATAAAATAAATAAAAACAAATTTTGATAAAGGTAAACCAGGTCAGGGCTTTTACCAGACTGCTGTTCCCCAAACTTCAGTTATTTGCAAACCATCTTGACAAATGTTGCCATAACAACTTTCCTCCTATTAATATGCTTAATATTCTTCTAATATTAATATCCTCCTAAGAATATGCTTAATATTCTTCTTAAACTACCTACTTATTGTTTGTAAATTTATTTAAAAGGATAAATTTAACCTTTGTCACTGGCCACAGATGGAAAACCAGTTTCACTTTTCATATATAAAATAGACAGTAACCATGAAAACAAACACAAATACAACAATCAAATATTAGTGAAATACTCTGAGCCGGAGGTCTGAGAATGAAATCTTTTAACAAGAGTTCTTGTTTAAAAGGCTACCAAACCAACATTTTTCTCCTTGACATAAATAGGATTGAAAGAGAATTGAAAAAGGAACAACTTTTCCCACGAGACTTGGGGTCATACCGATTAAAATCTTGCATCAACTTAGAATGAATCAATCATACAGAATTTTGGGTGTCTGCATGTTCTTGTTGGTGTGAGGTCATCATCTGTGTATCCAGAGCACATACTTTGCCCGACTACCTTGTCCCCACACCATTTGGCTTCACACATAAGCATTGTTCCGTCAGAGTCAAAGAGCAACAAGGCTCTTTGTCACCATGAGAGACAGAGAGAGACAGGGCGAGGTGGGGGGCAGGAGGGAGAGAGCACAATAAATTCAGTCGAATTGAAGCTTATATTGGGAAGAAAACAGCCGGCTACTAGCTGTAATATAGACGTTCATGGCCATATGTAAAGTGCAGCCATGTTACTCAAGGATCCATTTAATTTGTTCTGGGCTCTGATGTCACCATGCACCCACTGAGGTGTTTTTAAAACACATTGAGATCATACATATAGTTAAAAACAATCAAGTAATACCAATAGGGTTATTAAATGATTCCCTATTAAATTTATTTCCTACCCCATCTTTTTCTTCTCTCATCGTACTTCCAAAGGCAGCCAGTTTTAACCCATTCTATTGATAGGCCTTCTGGTGGTTAGCTCCACATTTATAAATAATATGCTTACACCTTTATTTAGTAGTTTGCCACCTTAAACCAATATCTATCAAATTTTTGCTATGTCAGATGAGAATTTAATTAATATTATTATCCTAACCTTTTCCTCTAACTTCATTATGTTTTGACCATTGAGAAGGCTCTTGTCAGTCTGATTCTTAGTTCTTTATAGGTGATCTGTTTACTCCCGTGGAAATTTTCAGGATTTTTATTTTTGTGCTTCTGAAATTTCACAATAATACATAAGATTTTATGCCCAAGTATTTTGGATTTCTAAAAAGATGCCAACTCAGTTATTTTCTGTAGTTTCTTAGTATTTCATATATTTTGATACTGTTGTAAATGGTATCTTTTTTCAAATATCATTTTCTGATTATTCATTTTAGCATAGAGAAATGCAACTCATCTTTGTAGAACGATCTTGTATTCTACACCTTGATCAACTCACTTATTACAGCATTTTTGTACACTTCATTGGATTTTCTAGTTGACAATCATGTCATATGTAAATAAACAAAACTTTACTTCTTCTTTTACAATCTGGTCTTTTATTTATTTTACTTAACTTATTCCACTGGCTAGGAATTCTGGTGCAATATTGAATAGAAGTGGTGAGAGCAGACATCCTTGTCTTATTTCTGTCTTATTCTAGGGAGGGAAATTCAGGTTTAAGTAATAAATATTCAGTCTTGAATATTACACCATTAAGTGTGATATTAGCTGTATGGTTTTTTGTATATGCCCTTTATAATATTGAGGATGTTCCCTTTAATTCCTACTTTATTGAGAGCCTTTCCAGGAAGATATGTTAGATTTTTTCTGATGCCTTTTCTGCATCTATTAAGATGATCATATGGTTTTTCTTTATAGTTTAGCAATATAGTGGATTATATTGATCATTGATTGATTTTTGAGTGTTAAACCTATTTTGCATTCCTGAGATAAACTCTGCTTTACCATGATATTCTTTTTGGCGTATTGCTGGATTCAATTTGCTAAAATTTTGTTTAGAATTTTTCTAGGTTCATGAGGATATTGGTCTGTCTTCTTTGCTTGTAATGTCTTTGTCCAGTTTTAGTATTAAGGCATTGCTGACCTCATAGAATAAATTGGAAAATATTTCTTCCTTTCCAATTTCATGGAAGAGTTGTGTAGAGTTGGTATTATTTCTTCTTTAATACTTGATATAATTCACCTCTGAAGCCATTTGGCCCAGAGTTTTCTTTGTGAAAGAGTTTTTTTTAAATTACAAATTCAATTTCTTTTATAGATAAAGGGCTACAAGGTTATCTAATTCTTCTTGAGTAAGCTTTGGTAATTTATGTCTTTCAAGGAATTTGTTCATTTGAGTTGTTGAATTTGTCGGCATAAAGTTCTTCACAACATCCTCGTTTTTATATTTTCAGCATCTGGGGACTGAACAGTCATGCCACTTCTCTCAATTCTCCTGTCAGCAATTTCCGTCTTCTTTTTTTTTCCTAATAAGTCTGGCTAAAGGTTTATCAGTTTTATTGATCTTCTCAAAGAACCAGCTTTTTGTTTCATTAACTTTTTTCTATTGTTTTTCTTTTTTCTATGTCATTGTTTTCTGTTCCTTTGTTATTTCCTTCTACTTAAAGTTTGATTTGCTCTTTTTTTTTTTTTAGTTTTTTAAGGGAAAAACTAATACTTTTTTTCTTTTCTAATATAAGCTGGTACTATAAAATTTTCCCTAAAAACTGTTTTAATGGCATCCTCCAAATTCTGATATATTGTATTTTAATTTTCATTCAGTTAAAAATACTTTCTAAATTCCCTTTTGAGTTCATCTTTGACCCATGAGTTATCTAAAAGTATGTTGTTTTGTTTCCAAATATTTGAAGATTTCCCAGAGATCTTTCTGTTGCCATTTTTTTATTTAATTCCACTGTGGTCAGATAATGTACTTTGTGTGACTTTAATTATTTTCAGTTTAATAAGACTTATGGACCACTGTATGATCTATTGTTATAGCTGTCCATGTGTTATTGAAAAGAATGTGTATTCTGCTGTTTTGGGAGTGAAATGTTCTATAAATGTTCATTTTAAAAGTTACTTGATAATGTTGGTCAGATCTTCTATTTTCTTATGGATTTTCATTCTGTTTGTTCTATATATTATTGAGACAGAAGTATTAAAATGTCTGACTATATTTTTGGATTTGCATGTTTCTTCTTGCAGTTATACCAGTTTCTATTTCGTGTCTACTGAAGCTTTGTTAGTAGGTGCATAGACATGATTTGTGATTATTTATGTCTTTTTGATGAAATGACTCCTTATCATTATGAAATGACATTTTTCATCCCAGGTAATACTCTTTGATCTGAAACATCTTTTGCTTGATATTACTGTAGCTTTCCTTGATTGGTGTCACACATGATATTTTTTTTTATCCTTTTACTTTTAACCTGTTTGTGCCATCACACTTGAAATGTGTTTCGTGTAGGCAACGTGTGGTTGGGTCTTCTTTTTTAATCTAATTTGACAATCTCTTCTTTTTAATTGGGGCATTTAGACCATTTATATTTAATGTGATATGTGATGTGATAAGGTTTATATGCTAATTTTGTGGGAGGGTTTTGTCCCATCTCTTCTTTTTTTTTTTCTCTTTTCCTGCCTGATTTTAGATTAAATGAATAATTTTTACAATTTCTTTTTGTGTCCTTTGTTGGCTTATAAGTTATAATTTTTGTTTTGTTATTTTAATTGTTACTTTAGGACTTATAGTACATACATTTAGTTTATCACAGTTTACCTTCAAGTGATTTTATGCTCACATATAGTGTAATAATCTTGGAATAGTATATTTTGATTTTTCCCCTCCCAATCTTTTTTGAAATTATTGGAAAACATTTAACCTCTACAGATTTTATAAACTCTACATTATGTTATTATTTTTATTTAAATAGTTAATTGTGTTTTAAAGAGATTTTTAAGTTAGAAGTAAAACATGCACACACATATGTGTATATATATATGTATATGTGTATACATACACATAAGTACACACACACCCATTTCCAATACTCTTCATCCTTTGTAGAGATTCCTGTTACCATCTGGTGTTATTTTCATAACCCTTAAAGGACTTTTTTTAAATTTTGTGGTGAAATCTGCCAGTGATGAATTCTTCTAAGTTTTGTGTGTCTGAAAAAGTCTTTGTTTCCTCTTCACTTTTAAAAGCTATTTTACTAAATATAAAATTCTAGTTTGACAGTTTTTTTCCTTTTAGTACTTTAAAAATGTTGCATCACTATCTTCTCACATGCATTATTTCTGTCTAGAAATATATTATACAATAATCCCTGCCTTGATTCTCTCCATATAACGTGCCTTCTTATCTGAAGCTGCTTTTAAGATTTTTTGTTCGTCACTTCTTTTGAGAAAGTTGATTATGATGTACCTTGCTGTAATTTTCTTCGTATTTCTTTCGCTTGGGGTTTATTGAATTTCATGGATCTCTGGTTTTATTTTTTCTATCACATTTGGACATTTTATATCCATTATATCTTCTAATTTTTTTCTATCCTGTCCTCTTTTTATTTCAGGGACTCCAGTTTCTTAAGTACAGGCTACTTGAAGTTAGCCCACAACTCACTGATGCTCTACTCATTTTATAAATTATCTTTTCCTTTGTCTTCCATTTTAAATATTTTTGTAGCTATGTCTTCAAGTTCACTAATCTTTTCTTCTGCAGTCTCTAATTTTCCATTATTCCCATCCAATGTAATTCTTATCTTAGACATTGTTTTTTATCTGTAGAAATTTGATTTTGGCCTTTAAAAAATATCTTCCATGTATCTACTTAACTTTTTAAGCATTTGAAATGCAGTTATAGCAACCGCTAATTCTGTGTTAATTTGGGGTCTATTTTGATTGATTGATTTGATATCCTCTTATGGTCCTATTTTCCTGCTTTTTGTGTGCTGGTTAATTGTTGACTGGGTACCAGATATTGTATATTTTACTGTATTGGTACTGGACATTTTTTTATTCCTATCAATATTCTTAAGCTTTAATCTGAGACACAGTTTCATTGCTTAGAAGCAGTTTTATCCTTTGTCCTCACTTTTAAGGTTTGTTAGGTGATACCAAAGCAGTGGTTGGTTTAGGTGTTGCTATTCCCTACAATAGAGGCAAACTGCTCTATGTCAGAGAATCTTAAGGTTTCCCAGTCTGACTAGCAGGAATAGACTCTATTTCCAGGTCTGTGTAAGTAGCGGGCACTGTTCTTCAATCTTTTTGTGTGGATTTCCACCTAACCTTAGGTAGTTTCCTCACATGCATACACTTCTCAGCAGTCAGCTGAATACTCAAGAAGGACTATCCTTATTTTTTTAAATTGTTATTTATTTATTTATTTATTTATTTATTTTGAGATGGAGTCTCACTCTGTCACCCAGGCTGGAGTGCAGTGGTATGATCTCAACTCACTGCAACCTCCTCCTCCCAGGTTCAAGCAATTCTTCTGCCTCAGCCTCCCAAGTAGCTGGGCTATAGGTGCAAGCCACCATGCCTAGCTAATTTTTGGTATTTTTTAAATAGAGGTTTCTCCATGTTGGCCCAGGCTGATCTTGAACTCCTGACCTCAAGTGATCCACCTGCCTCGGCCTCCCAAAGTGCTGAGATTACAGTTGTGAGCCACCATGCCCAGCCAGAAGGACTATCTTTAGATCTTTGGCATTTTCTCTATGTGAAGCCTTCTCTCCAGTACTCTTCTCTGTAAACTCTAGCTGCCTAGGTGTCCTCAGACTCAGCTTCATCTACTCAATGTGAGGAGCCCACCAGGCTCTGCCTGGATTTGCCCTCTCATGCTGTAGCCTGGAACTTCTCTCCAGGCAGTAAGCTTAAAAATCACTGGGCCCGTGTCATTTGCTTCCCTTCTCTCAAGGATCACTGATTGTTGGCTGAAGTCCAGTGTCTTGCATATTATTTAATATATTTTGTACTGGGATGGGGGGAGTGAGGTTAGGTGGGAGGATAAAGCAAGTTCCTATTACTCCATTTTGGCTAGAAGTGGAAATTTGGGATTTACTCTCATTTTAGTGGGGTTTTAGTTAGGACAAGAAATAATGCATGTGCTTATTCCACCATATTGAGCCAGGAGCACATTGCACATTTTTAAAAAGATCTTGCTGCTTGTGTTATTGGAGCCTCTATAACACTTAGCTCATGGTTTTGTTAATTAATTGTCCAAGTTCATATTCTCTAAATGGACTTGTTGAGAAGTGGAAACTGTGTCTCATTCACTTTGGGATAGTCTCAGTGCTAAATTGGAGCTCCATAAATGCTTGTTGAATGAATTAGTGAATTAATACTGTTGTCTTATTGGTAAAATTGCAAGTTTAAAGAGTCAGGACTGAAGGTAAGAGTGCTTTTTAATTAAAACCTTTGTAGGGAAATGCAATTTACCTTTCAGGACATTATTCTTTTCAGGCTACAGCTTTTTAAGAGCTGTTAACATTAGCACCCACTTCTGCCTTTGTGGCAGGAAACACTTCTTAAAAATGTTGTCACATATTTTCTGGTAGAATGTATACGCAACACTTGGGGGAATTTTATTCTTGGCCATTTATCCTGGTCATTTTCTAATCTGATCTCAATGTAAAAGTTATTGTGGAATAACAGAAAAATACATCTTTCCAATCCATCTAGTCTCTTTTGTGTGTGTTTGTATGAAATACCAATTTACTCTTTTAAAGAATTCTTAAGGTTCCATGTATAATTTTAAAGACAAATGGATATATTTTAAGATCAAATTTCCTCAAATTTTTTCCTGTTCTAAAGAGTGTAGAATTGTATTATATATTCACTTAATCTTTCAAAGGTTCAGAAGCTAAGAAATTAGAGCAAGATCATCAAAATATGTCACTTTTTAATTCCTCTGCTTGTAAAGGCAACATAGCTTAGTGATTGCAAGTACTGTAGAGCCCGGTGGCCTGTGTACAGCTCCACCTTTTTTTTTTTTTAAATGCAGAGTCTCGCTCTGTCACCCAGGCTGGAGTGCAGAGGTGTAATCTCGACTCACTGCAAGCTCCCCCTCCCGGGTTCAAGCGATTCTCCTGCCTCAGCCTCCTGTGTAGCTGGGATTCAGGCATCTGCCACCACACCTGGCTAATTTTTGTATTTTTAGTACAGACGGGGTTTCACCATATTGGCCAGACTGGTCTCAAACTCCTGACCTTGTGATCCACCCACCTCGGCATCCCAAAGTGCTGGGATTACAGGCGTGAGCTACCGCACACGGCCACAGCTCCACCTTTTACTAGCTGTGTGGCCTTGGGCAAGTCACTGAATCTCTCCAAGCCTGTTTTCTCACGTGTAAAAGGGTTTAATAATAGTACATTCTAGGGTTGTTAAGAAGATTAAATCGGTTAATGTTTACAAAGTATTTTAAATGGTGCCTGATATACACAGTAAGTGTAATATAAGCATTAGTTTAAGCAAAATAAAATAGTGAAATTAAAGTAAAAATAAAACTTTATTTTATAAATATTTCTGCATTTTATTCTTCTGACTTTCCCAAGAAGTAAAAATTACCCTCTTTTATGAAGTTATGTCATACTTTAATAGCTTGCATTTTTGGAAATCAGTTGAATATTGAGGGGACAAAGAACCCTTCTAATTTTCCTTCAACATCTTCTATATAACAGTGATGCCTATCTCCCTATTTATCTCACAGTGTTGTATTTAGCAAGGTTTTGCGCTTGGTACCTCTGTTTTTCTTTTAGTCTAAACCTTCGGTTGTCCATGATTCAACTTTAAATTATATCTCTGAACGGCCCCCTCCTCACCACGAAGTTGATTCTAGAGATTTTCCCATCATAATATTTAAGATCTCCTTTTTTTTTTTTTTTTTTTTTTTTTTTTTTTTTGAGACAGAGTCTTGCTCTGTCACCCAGGCTGGGCTGCAGCGGTGCGATCTCGGCTCACTGCAACCTCCACCTCCCAGGTTCAAATGATTCTCCTGCCTCAACCTCCCAAGTAGATGGGATTACAGGCACCCACCACCATGCCCAGCTAATTTTTGTATTTTTTTAGTAGAGACGTGATTTGTCCATGTTGGCCAGGCTGGTCACGAACTCCTGAGCGCAGGTGATCCACCTGCCTCGGCCTCCCAAAGTGCTGGGATTACAGGCACGAGCCACCATGCCCAGCCCAAGATCTCCTCTTCTCTCTGTTATGTTGCTATTACCCGGGACACTTTAATACCATAAATATGTTTTCTAACCTTACTGAGTTATTTGCTAATTTAACATCCTTATTTTATTTAGTGTTCCAATTATGAGCATCTGTGGCTTGCAGAATTGTGTCAACTTGCTAGAGACAGACTTTTGATTTAGCATTCGTTTCCATTTTTATGCTTATCTGTCTTTTTTATTTGTGTTTGCAGAATTTTCAATTTCTCATCAATCTCTCTGGGTCATTATTATTGTCTTAGCATCTCATTGTCCAGATTTTCAAGAAGTTAAGAAAGCTTAGTCAGATGGTTGACTATATTTTGTAAATATATGACTCAGCTAATGGCTCTTTGAAATTTACATGGACTTTTTTTACTTAGTAGTCTTAGTCTGTGTAATGCCATCTTTGAGGGACTTCCATGCACAATCTCATATCATCTCCGTATATTTGTTTCTAGCTGGGTATTTGAGGCTAGATAGACTCACAAGATGTTTACAGAAACAAAGATGAGTCAAAAATCCAAATCTCCTAATTAGTGTAATTTTCAATATAGCCCAGTCCTGTCCAGCATCAGGAGACTTGACAGCCCCCAAACCAAAAGGGCATCTGAAATACATATTGCTCATCCCTCCGCCTGCCTCCCCCATGCCGAGACAGGAGCTGTGGTGAGCGTGTGGATGGCACAGGCTCTGCGGGTGTCTGACTAGAGAGCCTCAGTTACGCGCTCTCCACCTCATCACACAGCAGCCCCGTGTAATAGAAATCGCTTATTATGAGGGTTGGCTAAATAAAGGCACATTGTGACCAGTCACAATTTCTAAATGAATCCTCCTGACTGATCTGGTCCTGACACTTTCAAAGCTGCCGTTATTACTGAACCTGAACATGTGGAAAGGACAAGTCAAGACAGAATGATAAAATTCTTGAATGCTTTTGCTTAAAATTATTCATTCTCTTGTGTGTGTGTAAATGGGGACACACACACACACATACACACACTCCATAGACACTCTCGCATACTTAAACGGTTCCCTAGGTGCACTTTTATCATTTTATCTCATCTCACTTTGGTAGTTTCCATTGTAGTCCTTCTGTAGACTAATTCTCTAAATATTTAGAAAAATAAGAGGGTCTTTTATCTGTGTGTAGTCGTGGATTTTGCTGCCTCTTAAAGCATTATCTTTTCTAAGTCCTTAAGTGTTAGAAGTGGGAAAACCATCTTTCTTTTAAATTTAGCAAATGGCACTTATGTGCATATGTACTGATGCCATATACACACTTACACTGTAATAGAAACATCGTGGAAAAGCAAACCATAGGCTTTTATCATAGGCATGAGCTTTTTCCCTCTCATCTCCGCCTGGAAAGATGGTTAGGAGAATGAGAGGCCTCTCTGGATCTGTATTTATAAGCCTTACTGGAAAAAAAAAGTCAATTATTTTTTAGACTCAGCTCACACCATAATAAATGTGAATCTAAACAATCGCTCAAGTGCTTTCTAAGCAATGGTTCTATCTATGATCACTCAGACTTCCTTCTTTTATTTAGTAAAAAGGTAACAAATAAGAATGGAGTGCCATTTGCATGTTTCTTATTTTTACTCAATATGGAGTCCAGTGGTTGAGTAGGCTCATCCAGTAGCAAAGAGAAGCAAACAAAATTGATTTCCTGTAGCCCACAGTGATTTTCCCTAGATTTAGAGAGCATGTGATTCCAAGATGGGTGTGGGGTAAAACTCTCAAGGCTTTCCTGGCGAGAGACCCGGGCATGCTGGTGGAGAAACCAGACATCATGCTTGGGAGGTTGGGGCCTCTCTCCTCCTTGAATGAGCTCTGTTTTAGGATGTTGTTCATGTGAAAGTATTGCACTTACCTCAGCATAAAATGTCAAGCCATCACATCCTTGGGATAGAAACAATTAAGGAAGGATTTATGTTTGTAAAAACATGTGCCTATTAAGGTAAGTAATTAGGGCACATGAAAGAAAGATAATATGGAGATGTAAAAATTGGGGGTTCTGCAGTCAGACCCCCTGGATTTAAATCCTAGCTCCACTTGCTGAGTGACCTTGGGCTAGTCATTGAACCTCTCTGAGCCTCAGCTTCTTTCCCTGTGAAATGGGGAAACTAATGGGTTTATTGTGAGTATTAAATGAGTTAATACATGCAAAACAATTCACACATAGTAAGCATGAAATAAATACTAATTATTATCATTGTTACGCACTAAGAAAGGATTTTTGCAACTAAAGTGTCAAAAGAAATGGAGATGCTAAAGAATTATTTGGCTTTAAAAGATGAATTCCAGTACAAAATGAGGCTGTTTAACAACCAGATTCCATATTACAATCAGAAAGTTCCAGCAGAGTACCTCAGGCTTCATCTGGGGAACATGTTTAAAGGTACCAATAATTTTTGGGTTTTTTTTTCCAATTTTAATAAATGAAATTCTCATTCCTTTCTGTCTGTCTCTCTGTTAGCGCTATTGCTTTATCTTACTCTGTAGTCTGTATTTCTCTTCCTAGTTTCTTTTTTTTTTAGAACTAGTTGTGAATTCTTTATTCTCTCACATAGACATATGACAGTGGGGAAGGAGGGCATGTGTGTTTCCTAAATGTTAGCAAGAAGTCTGTCTTGCCATCTCCATAGAGTGGAAAATTCAGCAAGTAGAGTCTGTTAATGTCATTCCCCTTCAAATCACATTCAAAAGTGTGCTTAATGCACTGTGTACATTAATCAGACATTTTGATCATGAGTAATGGTGATGCCTTCAGAAGTTTGGGGTGGGGGTGTGGGTTTTGTATATCTTGGAAGGAATCCTAAGTCCTTGGGTGACTTCGAAGCAGTCTGTATGGGCGCTCCTCCCACATCCATTGCATCTTTGTCAGACACATGGCCCCTAGGCTCCACTTTGTCCATAGGCATGGAAAGGTGAAAGTGCCTGGGAATTAATATCTCTGGGGACACTCTGAAGCAATGACTGCTGGTTATATGGGTATAAATACTCCAGCTCCCTCACCCCTTGGCTAAAGTAATTCCAAGGCACGTACTTTGCAGTTTTCCAGAGTTACCCTGTGAGATTCAACTGCCATCACCCACTGTGGTAGCTGACTTAATAATGCATCCTATATTGTGTGGCCGCCTTCCCTTCCCTGTCTAACTTCTCCCTCACTACCCAGACTCTCTGTATCTCCCAATACACCACTCACTTGTTCGGGGTCACTTCTGGAGTTTCCAACCCCAGATGATGTGCACACTTTCAGAGGTAGAAGTGAATCTACTAAGCCTAGACTAGGTATCATCAAAACCACTCTGGGCTGCAAACTGGCAGGGTGCAGGCCGCAAATTTGGCAGAGCTCTGCTTTCCCTGGGTTTGGAATTCCACTGACTCAGAGCCTGAATAATCGTGGAGGCAGACCTGTCAAGGTGTTATCTGAAGAGCTGTTGGGGAAGTGGACCAAGACCACAGCTGCCCATTCTCTCACCCCACCTTCTTTCTGCAGAGTGGCCCATTTGTGATTCAGGAGAAAGAGTGCAGGAGCAGTGGTCAGCATGCTGTGATCGATGATTTCTGAGCGTGGGTGGGCCTTGACAAATGCTCCTATCCACTTCATTCCCTCTTAATAGACCCATCAGACAGGTGCTTGTTGTTTTCCAGTGCCAACCTGGGTAAACCAGTCATCATGTGCCCCAGTGTGTCAAAGAAAATGCCTGCTTCCCAGAAGGTTTCCCACTAATGGGGAAAAGAAGGTTGATTCACACAGCCTTTTATTGCAAACCAATTCATTCTTTGGCAATCTGAAACCAAAACTGCACATTTAGCCAGGCAGGTCTTTTAAAAGCATGTCCTTTACCGTACTGTCCATTGCAGACTCCCATCCATATCTTCTTTCTTGTTTTGTGTTATCATTTTTGTGATGCTTTAATACTCAATACATGAACTGAAGCTATGTGGCTTCTGTATCGCAGTGTATTAGGATTCCAGAAAGACATGCAATCCCTGAGCAGACAATAAATTTGATTTTGCACAAGTGGCATCCTTTATACTTTGCTCATAAGGCGATCTCTCAAGTGTATTTTTTTTTCTGAAACACAACACAAATAGTCTGATGAAGTAAAAATGGGTTGCATGATGGGTTTTGTGCTCAGCAAAAAGAACTTGGACAAAGCAGCCATGCTGATGTTCTTATTTACAAAGGTTGCCGTCTGGGAAATTAATCTCTGCTGTTGCTCAGTAATTAGGAAAATTTAGGACCCCTAGTGCTCCAGCATCTTGCATTAAAGGTTGTATGTCATTGGTGTTTTCATGAGAGTTTGCTGGATTTCTGTCATTAATAACAGGCATAAGCCCAGCAAGCAGTAGAATATGCATTGCATTTAATCAATTTGCTATTTGTATTCATTATGCATGTCATCCGTTTTGAGTCATGAAAAATTGAAAGGCCATTACGAATAGAAAGAGCATCATGGATTACAAATGATGTAACAAGAGCATAAGCGCTATTAATTGGTCAATTGTGCTTGTCGGTACATTTAAAGTGATTAAGGCAGAAAGATTAGAAAGGACACGAATGTGCTTGGGAAACAGAAGCATAGCAACACAAGGGCTCTCCCAAGTCCTTTGTGCCCAAATAAATGCAGCAAAATCCAATGGCATTTATTCCAACTAATTCATTAAACAGATATTAGTTGAGCACTTACCATGTGCTGAGTACAAGGATTGTACTGAGTACAGCAGAAAACAAAATAAGTGAAGCCCTTGACCTCAGGGATTTACCTTCCAGAGGGGAGGGGGAAGTATGAAATGAACAAATAGATATACAATATAATATATTGTAGTAGCAGAGACCATGAAGACCACCAGAAGCAGAGAGGAAGCCCTCTTTGGGGAAATGACATTTGAACAGAGGTTTAAATGAAGAAAATAAAAAGACAGGGGGTCCGAGCACAGTGGCTCATGCCTGTAATCCCAGCACTTTGGGAGGCTGAGGTGGGAAAATCACTTGAGCCCAGGAGTTTGAGACCTGGGCAACATGGTGAAACTATCTCTACAAAAATACAAAAATTAGCCAGGCGTGGCAGTGCACACCTGTAGTCCCAGCTACTCAGGAGACTGAGGTGGGAGGATCGCTTGAGTCCAGGAAGTCGAGGCTGCAGTGAGTCCAGATCACGCCACTGCACTCCAGCCTAGGTGATAGAGCGAAACCCTGTCTAATAAAAGAAAAATAAAATTAAAAGGCTACATGGATATCTGGGGGAAGAATAGACTCAATATCCCCCACTCCCATTCCAACACTCAAGAAGAAAAGAAAATTCTTGCAATTATTTTTTTACTCAAGTGATTTTGTGAGGCTTGACCCAATAATGGAATGGCTTTGCCAAGGCTAGAGAACTCACTCAGCCGGTTTTCCCATTACAGACCTCTTGGGTGATAGCAATTCTGTTAAAGTGGAAACTGATGGCATCATTTGCCATTTTTACTGTCCCCATACATAGTCCTTACCATGGCATGCAGACCCCTACGCTATCCAGCTCCTGCCTCCCATTTCATACCACTCCTCCTTCTCCTGCCAAGTTCTAGCCCCTGGACTTTCTGTTGCTCACATTTCCAGTTCGTTCCTGCCTCTGCACCCATGCATTTGCTGTCTCCTGCCCTCAGAAATCCAGACCTGAGCTCCCAGGCCACATCCTCAGAGACACCCTCCATGACCACCAGGGTTGCACCTGCTCCCTGGCCCCTGTGATTTGATCCCACTACACTCATTACTGCCTGAGTTCTGTGCTATCTGCTTACTCGTTTCTTACCTACCTCCCATGTTTGATATAAGTTCCATGAGACTAGGCCCAGGTCACTTGAGTTCACTGCGGTATCCCATCACCTGGAACAGTGCCCGGTACAAAGAGGCTCAGTACGCCCAAATCAAATGAATGAATGAGTGGATCAATCAATCAGCCAACCAGCCAAAAATAAAATGAAAAATTGACAGTTGGGTTTCTGCTTTTGTATTCGGTAACTATTTTAAAATTTTGTATTTAGGTAGCTATTTTTTTAAACCACATGAAAGAAAGGGATGTTTGTTCTGCACAGCATTCTCTGGAGTGATTAGGTAGCATTGGTATTTGTGCTTCATGTGTCTACAATCTATTGCCATGCATTTCTAATAACATAATATTCCTTTTCAATATACTGACTTGTTTTTCTTTTTCTTTTCTTTTTTGTTTTTACTGGCTAAATGCTATAGCATTGTCTTTGAATATTAGCAAATAATGGAACATGGGCCAAGGGTGAACCATGACGAATTTGTGTTCCAGCAGCCCTGCTTCTTTAGAATTGACAGTCTGGCTTCGTGGTTAATTCACAGCATCTGAGGAATACATCCAAAGAGGGTGATACTGTGGCATGATGGTACCAGGATTCCAAGTTCATTCCAGGTACAGTCGATGCATCATTCACAGCAGACTCGTGAGTGTCCATCCTGTGCCAGACTCCATCGCAGGTGCTGGGGATACCAGGCAGAGGATGCAGTGTTGCCAGCTATCAGGAAGACCTGACGGTCAACAATCGTGCTTCCAAAGCCACCTGCATATTATACTCCCTTGGGGGTCAGCTGTAATATACCTGTGCCTAGGCCCCATCCTAGGCCAATGGAATCAGAATCTCTGGGCCTAGGGCTGGCACACCCATCTTTTTTAAGCCTCAAGTGCTGTTCATGGGCAGTCAGGGCTGAGACCCCCTGCTGGAGTAGAAGGATGGTGCATAGGTAGCAAAACCACAAAGCAATGGGCAAAGGCCAAGTCGCAGATGGCAGTTGCGTAAGCTGGAAGTGGTGACATTTCTCTTCAGTGCATAACCACAGCTCAGAATGAATATTTGTATGGATCAGGAGGCCAAGTGACCTGGTATTGAGCAGTAGATAAACGTTGCATCTATTTATCACCACCCCCAAAAAACCTTTTTAAAATGGCAAATACCATTCATTAAATGTTTATTTTTCCTGCATGAGGTCAAACAAATAATCTCAATTTTCTGGGTGTTGGGGATTCAAACAACACCCAAAATGGGATGTTGTATACTAAGTCAAATAAAGAATTTTAATAGAGACATAATGTCTTTCCTAACCAGCAGGTATGAGAGAAGGGAAAATAAGAGAATCTGCCTGGTAACCATCAGGGGGAATGAATTAACATGTTCTCTAAGACTATGTTAGAAGGTCAGAGCCCAGCACAGTGGTACATGCTGTAATCCTAGCACTTTGGGAGGCTGAGGCAGGAGGATCACTTGAGCCCAGGAGATCAAGGCTGCAGTGAGACATGATCACGCCACTGTACTCCAGCCTGAGCAACAGAGCGAGACCCTTTCTGAAAAATAAATAAAAAATAAATAAATAAAAGGTCAGAATTTCATGAAGTGGGATGGTAAAGTTGTTGTGAAATTCTCTCCCTCAGATACCCTCTGCCTTTGATGGTGGGCATTAAAATGCTTAGACTGGAAAAAAAAAAAGCAAATCTTTCTGGGTAATTAAGTAAAGTTTATGTTATTCATTTGAAGATCAAGCTTTGCTTCTCCCCTTGAACACAGGTGAAAATAACAGGAAAATGATAATAACTTTATAAGGGCCAAATTACCACTCACAGTGGTACTTCTGAGTGTGTGTTGGAAAATTACATCTTTTGTCAAGTGATAAACTCTGATTTTTTTTAAAAAAAAAGCAATGTTCGTGATCTAGTAAGCACTTTACAAAAGCTAACATGCTTTATGAAGGTGTGTACACAGACTGCCTAACCTCACACTGCAGCCTCACTTACTCTAACACACTCTATGGCCCTCCATGGAGGAGCAGAAGCTTCCACCCACGGGATGACTTCAGATGAACGCTTTTGATGCTGGGAGCAGCAGCCACCCATGTCTCCAGATACCTGTTCCTCTGACTCTGCCTCCTTGGATTTTACAGTTACCAACAGTTCATGATGATCTTCAGAAATGTTCACAGTTTCAGAGGAGCCACATATTTGAATGTTTAAAGAAAGCAATATTTTGCAAAACGCAAGGATGATCCAAGAGAGCCACAGGAGGATCTAGCAGCCCTTTGTCGGGAAATGAAAGTAACCAACAAGATCAGGCCTGGAAAGACCTTCCTGGATCCCCCAGGACATGCTCCCTTCTGTGAAGCAGCGGTTCTCAGCCCTTGCTGCTCATTGAAGTCAACTGGGGTGCTAGAATAATACTGATGCCTGATGTGCCCAGGCTGGAGTACAGTGGTGTGGTCATGGCTCACTGCAGCCTTGATCTCCTGGGCTCAAGTGATCCTTCTGCTTCAGCCTCCAAAGCGCTAGGATTACAAGCATGCACCACTGTGGTGGGCTCTGACCTTTTAACATAGTTTTAGATAATATGTTAATTCCTTGCCTCTGATGGTTACCAGGCAGATTCTCTTATTTTCCTTTCTCTCATACCTGCCAGGATCTCATACCTGTGCCAGAGATTCCTGAGGAAGGAGGGGCAGTGTATTTTGGAAAAGCTCCCAGGTGAATCTGAAGTGCAGCCTGGGTTGGGAACCACTGATGTAGTCCCAGATTAGTGACTGAAATGGGTAATAAGGGAAGCAGTGTTGGCAGCACATTCTACCAAGCTCAAAGTCTTGACATGTCCTGGAGCCAGCAGAGGGCAAAGACTTCATTGCTAAGAGAGAAGCTTTAGTGGGAGAAGATAAATAAGTCTGTTTCCAGGCAAATGTCCCCTTTCTGCTGTCAGCTTCCTGGCTATTTCTGCCCTGCCTGAGCCTGAGGATTTAGACATCACTTTCACGTAAATGCCATAAATGCCAGCTTCCAGGTCTCTCCACACATTAATGACATTGTGGTGAGAAAAGCCACTTGCAAATGAAGTAAATCCTTGAAAGAGTCAGACAATAGTGGGCTTTGTAAGCTCTGCCTTACAGGAGAGCCTGCAGGGGGATTTTCGGTGATCTATGCAGGGATCAAGCTGCCATGGCCAAGGCTCTCAGGACAAAGGCCTCATGGAGTCTTTTGTTTGCCACCGCATGTGACTTTACTCCTGCATCTCCTGCAGAGCTCTCCCAGGACAGTTGAGTAAGAGTGGAGAAGCAATTGGGGTGAACCCCAAGACTCAGCCTGATCCGTTGAGGGGCTTTGCAGCATAAATTACACCTCAGAGCCTGGGGCAAAGGAGCTGTGAGGCATTTTTCTCTACATGGGTTAGTCATTGGCTACCTGGGCTCTCGGTAAGAGTGATGTGGCTCCAGAGCCCAAGAAAAGCGGCCCCTGCGGTCCTGGGGTGGGGAGCTCTTAGCAGCACAGCACTCAGAAGCTGCGAGATGGGTGCGCAGAGCTGTGCTAGGGATCCTGGAGTCTGGGCAAACAGCACTGCATGTGCTCCACAGGTGAAGCCTTGCCTCCTCCATCCGTCAGCTCAGCACCCTGTATGGAAATGCAAACTGTGACGTGTGCTTCTGCGTTTCCCACCTCTGATATGATAGATGGCACCGCAATGCTTTTCTCTTCCTCAGGGCCCATTTCCAGGCTGGACTGCAGTGGTGTGATCTCCCCTCACTGCAGCCTCCACCTAAAGTAATCCTCCCAGGCTAAAGCGATCCTCCCACTTCCCACCTCAGCCTCCCAAGTAGCTAGGACTACAGGTGCATGCCACCACACTGGCTAATTTTTATATTTTTTGTAGACAGTTTTGACATGTTGCGCAGGCTGGTCTTGAACTCCTGGACTCAAGCGATCCGATCTGCCCGCCTTGGCCTCCCAAAGTGCTGGTATTACAGGCATGTGCCACCATGTCTGGCTCCCATTTCCTTGTCTTCATTGTTGTTGGTTTTTTTCTTGTTACTATCACAGTAGAAAATCTAGCATGTTGGGGAAAGGGTGTGACTAAGGGAAAAGAGACCGGGAGGTCACTTCGACTATGACCTGTGCATCAGTTAAGATGTTAGTGGCAGCAAGAGACAAGATGCCCAACCACAAGGGAACCCCAACACTGGAGACTTTTTCTCATGTGTTGGGAAGTCTGGCAGCAGGTGGTCCAGACTGTGTTGCTCAACAATGTCAGGGCTCTTGGTGGCTGCTCTGCCATCCTCTTGGTGGCAGGGTGGCTGCCGCAGCTCCTGGCATCATATCCTCACACAATAATATCCAAAATCAGGGAAGGAGGGACAGCTTCTTGTCACTCATTGTTCTCTAGTTAGAAAGGAAAAGACTTCCCAGCTCCAGCCACAGACTTTACTTTGCAGGAGAAAGTTCGGCCAGGTTTGCATCTGGAGGCTGGGAAAATGATTATCTGGCATTTGAGCTTCTGTCTGCCATGCCCTGCAAAAGAAGAGGTGCTGGTTTTTCTCCAGTCATCCCTTTGGGTCCATTCTCTGTCCCACTCTATCCTCTTCCTGGCTCCGTGCCCTTGGAGGCCAATCCTGGATTTCATCACTAGGCTCTGCCCTTGGACTTATCATTTACTTCAGCCTAAGGAAGGCACCAGGAGGAGATAGGAAAGCCAGGGAGAGAGGCTGGGTGTTTCCTCCCTACCAAATGCCACCTTTACCCAAGGCCATGAAGATACTGCCCTTTGTCACCTTCTGAGGCATTGTTTTCCCTCCCTATTTACACCTGCTGTCCACCTGGAAATGATTTCCCCTCTGATTTTTATTATGAAAGTTTTCAAGTCTACCGAAACATTAAAAATAGCTTAATGAACACTAATATCCTTCCACTAAATTCACCAATAGTTAATGTTTTGCCACATTTTTTCAAAATATAGATGTAAATAGGTAGACAGATCGTACATTGAGCTGTACAATTTTGTTTTATTCCGAACCATGTGAATGTTTTAAACATTTTGACATTTCCCTCCTAAATATTTCAGTGTGCTTCTCCTAAGGATAAAGACATTATCCTAACAATGCAAAATAACATCAATTCAATAATATCACCCAATTACACTTTTTTGCTTAAAATATACTTTCTTAATAATCTCCAATATTTGATATTTCTTTGCAGCTGACAAAGCACTTTCTCTATCATTATTTCCTTTTATTTCCACAGTAGCCTCTGAAGCAACTGTGATCAGCTCCCTTTTCTAGATGAGGAAAAGAATCAGAGAGGCTAAGTGACCAGCCAAGGTCACACAGCTAATGTATAGCAGTCTGGGATTCAAAGGCAGGCCTTCCAAATCCAAATGCCACACACTTTCTGTGGCATTATAGCCCCTTCTCACAAGTGTGTTAGTTTTCCTAGAACTTAGACCCCTAAGCAATTCTTATATTTGCTCCCCACCAACCTTCCCATCCACCAAAATTGAGGATCCCCTTTCCAGCTTCAAATAACAATACTCTAGTGATGCTGGTGATTCACCTGGGCCTCTGTTTGATGTGGGAAAATGCTAGGCAATGCGTTTGGACATTGCATTTTATTTAAGCTAGTGTGATTGATTACATAGTATTTCTTAACTGCATTATGCCTGATTCTCCTCTCATTCTCTGGGCTCAGAGTGAAAGAAAGCGTCCCTCTGCAAACCCTTGGGTTTATCCTCCTTGATGGGGAGGACCTGGTTTATACTTTTCAGTAAGCAGGTGAGAACGAGTGTCCTTGAAGCCAACAAGGGCAGGATCTCTGACTCTCCTTCGCTTACCAGATCTGCCTCCCAGCATCTCTCGAATCAGCCCATGCCTCTCCTTCACCGTTGCCGCTGCACCAGTTCAAGCCACCTTGACTCTTGCTGGGAAAACACAGCAGCCCCTCACCTGGTCCCACGTGGCTGAGCATCTCCTCCAATTGACAGCTGAATCTCATCAGGCTGCCATTCCACCCAGATCCCTTCTGTGGGGCCCACTACATGTAGTAAATTACAGTGCCAGGTGTGATGTGTGCACCTGTGTAGTCCCAGCACCTCGGGAGGCAGAGGTGAGAGGATCACTGGAACCCAGGAGTTCAAGGCTGCAGTGAGCTAGGATCGTGCCACTGCACTTCAGCCTGCGTAACAGAGCAAGACCTTATCTAAAACATAAAATAAAATAATAAAATAAATTAAATTAAATATAAGAAAATAAAACACACAGTAGAAGGTGTGCTGTGGCCTCCGCAGCCTCCTTGGTCTGGCCTCAGCTGGCCTCACTGCCTCCTCTCATACCATGCCCCCCTCCTTACCCCAAGCTTAGGCCTCATTTTCCTCAAAGAAGCCTGGGTCCTGTCTCAGAGCCTCGGGGCATGCTTTCTTCCCTGCCCCTCGTTTCCACCCCAGTCACCTCCTGATCCCTGTGCATCCTTCAGATCTCAGCTTGAGCACCAACCCTGAAGCCTGCAGCTGGATCCCATAAGTATTTCCACAACACCCTGTACTTTTCCTACATGCACCCCAGCATCTTCATACAATAGGTGCTTAATAAATTGTCCAATGACTGAATCCTCACAATATCTCTAGAGAAGATGGCAAGATGCAGAGAGGAGGAGTCACGCCTGAAGCCACACAGCTGACATCAGAGCCAAAGCATGAGCCTCAGTCTCTCTGACCCAGAGCTACCACCCTTGCTGCCTTGGGAAGAAGGAAGCCCCCTCCTATTCTATCCTTGAGCTGCCTTGGCAAGGAGGGGCCCCTTGCTGCCGCCATCCTCACAGGACACCATCCACATGAGGGGATGGTGAGCTCCACTTCCACCTTTTCTACATGTCTGCTCTTTAAACTGCACACGTTGATTCATTCATTCATTCATTCATTCATTCCCTTGATATTACCATTCATTTATTCATCAAGTATTTATTGAGCATATTTATCTGCATGGCATTGTGCTAATCGTAATCATCATATTCACCACTGCTGAGCAGAACAGTCAGGGTGCTGCCCTCAGGGAGTTACCATGTAGTAAAGGAGACAGATGGAATCACACAGAGGAATGCACGTCTGATTGTAGCCTGACTGGAGTGCCATGAAGGAGACCAAGAGGGCAGGGTGATGGAGAAAGCACAGGATGAAGTTCTCGTCTTCCTTCCAACAGAATCTCAGTTGCACTCAGTTGTTGCCCCCCTCGAACCTCCCTTGAGCCTCAGGAGAAACCACCCTGATTCAGAGGTCCAGAGAAGACCTGACTAGCCCAAGGTAATTCCGTCCCCTTGCCAGAGTGGCTTGGGCAGGGACACGGGACCTATTTCAATGAGGCCAATGAGACAAAGGTATTTCTGCTGGGGAGGCAGGGGCTTCAAGCAAAGGGTCTTGCTTGAAAGAGCCACCGGAAGAGGGCTCTCTCCTTCCTTAGGGTGTCACCGTGTCTGGATGCGATGCCTGGAAGTGCTACAGCCACTCGCGCCCAGCCTGAAGATGAAACCAACCCCAAACACAGCCAAGCAGAGAGATGGAAAGAACTAGGACCCTAATTACACCACTGAGCAGCTATAGCAACCAGTTCCAGAGCCCTCTGACTTCCCGCCAAAGTGAGATGATAAGATACTGTTTAATTTCTCTCTTTTATAGCCAAACACACCAAAATTGACACAGAGATGTGAGCCATACCTACTACTGTTACTGCTCCATCCCTAGCTCCAACCACAGTGCATGGTACATGGTAGAGAGCCAACAAACACTTGAAGAATGAATGGTGCATATTGAGTGGGATTTTCCAGAGGCAGACCTGGAGACAAGGCTTCAAGTGCGTGTGTTGTATTAAGGAAATGCTCCCAGGGGACAATAGCAGAGTGGCAGAAATGGGACAAGGGGGCCAGGGAGCCAAGAACAGAGAATCAATCGTCTAAACAGAGCCCCCTGTTTTTTGTTTCACCTGGGAGTAGCTTCTACCTGATCCCCAGGGGAACTCTGGGATGTCAGTGACGGCTCAGCATTGCCCCTGAGGCAAGGGAGCTGGGCTTTCCTAATCCCCCACTCCTCAGTCTCTGGCTAAGCGCTGTCCCCAGGGGACTTAATCACCC
This sequence comes from Homo sapiens, assembly GCF_000001405.40. NCBI lineage: Eukaryota > Metazoa > Chordata > Mammalia > Primates > Hominidae > Homo > Homo sapiens. The sequence continues at coordinate 49,338,157 of NC_000016.10, forward strand.
AAACACTTCCCCAAGAGTGGCATCTGCTGACCACTGGAGGCACTGGTACAGTGAAGCGACAGAAGGGATCAGAGAGGGTCCAGGTGGAGCACAGCAATGTGGCTGAATAATAACTATATTAATTCATATAGTTAATTCTCAAGCAATGGCAAAGTGTAGGCAGCTTCTTGTCTGCAAACGTTTCCATGATATCTCTCCTGCAGCCAGACGGGTCTTTTCCTGCCGCCTACACAGAATGGCCATGGAGCATCCCCAACTCTTATTAAAATGGAAAAAAAAAAAGCCTTTGCATTTCAATCTATTATTGCACTTTATGACTCATCTTCAGGTTCTCTCTGCAAAACATTGAAAGCCAGATCATAATTTGATGATGAAATATTGATTATGCATTTGTATGCAGAGGTCTATACTATATAGATAGAATTCCCACCCTGTAGTATCTTCTATTTTAAGTCAGTATGAAGATGGATGTTCCCCCCAGGCAAATTTTGATAAGATACTTGTGTCAATACAAAAAGAGATTAATGCCAATGTGAATCAATACCCGCTTATTGGTTTGGGTTGCTTCTTCTCCACGCAGCAGCTGGCACCAAGAGGGGTTTCCAAACACCAGCGGCTCCCAGCCAATCTGCATATTTCTTTATTTAAATCATGAGAGTGGGAAGTGGCAAGGGAATGGTGGGTTGGCAGGGGGCTGCCCACGCCCACTCCCAAATTGAGAAGGGAATGAAAATAAAACAAACGCAACTTGTCAACAAATCTGGGAGAAGCTTTATTACCATCATTAGCAGTGTGCTTGTCCTCTGCTGCTTCCAAAAAGAATAAACTTCAAATGACAGAAGAAGAGCGGTCTCCATCCTTGCTGGGTTCTCAGCGTACAGCAGGGACTGGGCTTATCTTGACTGTGCATCTGCTGTGTTTCCTGCCCAGCCCCCACTGCCACCTGCAATGCCCTATATTTAGTGCTTCTTTAAAATCTCATTTATCATCTCCCATCCCCACCAAAAAGTAAGGTCCAAAACCACGGAGGATTTTTTTTTTTTGCGGGGGCGGGGGTGGTATTTTTTGTTCACTGCTGAATTTCCAATGTCTGGATGTTGAATTAATTTCTTTCTGCTTCATTCATTCATCTAACAAATTGAGCGACTACTATGTGACAGGGCCCTCCAGGTTCTTGGGATATATCAGTGAACACAACAGACATTCTAGTGGGTGATAGGGCAATAGAGATAATTAATAAGTGCCGTATGGAAAACATTAGAAGGCAATAATTGCGGCTGGGTGCGGTGGCTCATGCCTGTAATCCCAGCACTTTGGGAGGCTGAGGTGGCCGGATCACCTGAGGTTAGGAGTTCGAGACCAGCCTGACAACACGGTGAAACACCGTCTCTACTAAAAATACAAAAAATTAGCCAGGCGTAGCCCAGCTACTCGGGAGGCTGAAGCAGGAGAATCACTCGCACCATTGCACTCCAACTTGGGCAATAAGAGCGAGACTCCGTCTCAAAGAAAAAAATGCCAGTAATTGCTATGAGGGAGTGGAAAGCGATCATGGTAAGAAGGATTGGGTGGGCTGAGGAGAGGAGTTCTAATTTTAAATAGGGGGGTCAGGATCAGCCTCACTGAGAAGGTAAGTGTGAGCAAAGCTGTGCAGGAGGTCAGGGAATGAGGTATGTAGCTATGCAGGGGTGGGCGCTAGGAATTTCCAGACACATAGACTGGCTAGTGCAAACATCCTAAGGTAGGAGTGTGCCTGCTTTATTTGAGGACCAGAAATAAAAGGAATGGCTGGAGGCCGGGTGCGGCGGCTCACGCCTGTAACCCCAGCCCTTTGGGAGGTCGAGGTGGACAGATCATCTGAGGTCAGGAGTTCAAGACCAACCTGGCCAACATGGCAAAACCCCGTATCTACCAAAAATACAAAAATTAGCTGGGCGTGCTGGTACATGCCTGTAGTCCCAGCTACTTGGGAGGCTGAGGCAGGAGAATCGCTTGAACCCAGGAGGTGGAGGTCGCAGTGAGCCAAGATCACACCACTGCACTCCAGCCTGGGTGACAGAGTGAGACTCCATCTCGGGGGAAAAAAAAAAAAAAAAGGAATGACTGGAATGGAATGAGTGGATGATGATTGGACAATTAAATTAAACAAGTGAGTCTGAGGCTTCCAGGGGCCATCTTGCCCCCCAACCTGCCTCTCCCCATAAGAAGAATAAACTAAGTACAGACAGATCCAGTCTCTTGCTCTGATCCAGCTATGCCTCAAGCAACTTCTACCCAACATTTTTTCAGTGCTTAAGGTAATATAATCCCTTTTTAAAACCACTTGTAACTGAAATAATCCTGATAAAACACTGAGACTCGAGTGCCTAGGACACCTGAGCTTCTGTGCCCACTGTGGGATCTTAACAATGTCTGCTGGCTGGTCCTGGGCAGCGGGACGCTCAGCCTCGGAGGGTGAGGCCTGGAATCCATCTGTTCGGGGAGGCCTGGACAGCTGACAAGTGAGAAGGAACCTTTCAAATTTGCAATTTTCAAGTGTCAGAAGGATATTATGCCGCTCCTCTGACACCTGGCATCTTAGGCAGATGTGCCCCGTTTTCTATCAACACGTCTGCTGTGTAAGGTGTGGCCTTTGCACTCACAGGATCCGGAACCCACACCTGAGAATGAGAACTCCAGGTGTTAGCTTCTCCAACAAGTCACATTGGAAGGACCAGGCAGACCCCTTTCCTTCAATTACCAAAGTTGGTGACACAACAGTTTCAAAGGATTCTATTCAATTCAACAAGCGCTTTAAGCAGTGGCTCAAGATGCTAGAGGGTTGGAGAAACACATGATTTGGTCTGTCCCCTTAAAAAGAAGATAAGCCAGTGGGCAAGTGACTTAATTCATTTCATTCACTATGTGTTCCATGCTAGAGGCAAGATACTAGGGGCTAGGATGGAGACTCCCCAAACAGGCGAAAGAGATTTGCATGTGAGTACTTTGTGTGTGACCACTTGTTATTCATTGAGCAAACATGAAGAACTTCCTAAATGCCCTGCACTCTTTGAGACTCTAAGGACACAGCAGCCAGCAAGATGGGCAAGATCCCAGTCCATGTAGAGCTTATGTCCTGCTGGAGGATAAAGGTAATAGGCCAGGTAAGGTGGCTCACGCCTATAATCCTAGCACTTTGGGAGGCCAAGGCAGGAGGATCTCTTGAGCTCAGAAGTTCGAGGCGAGCCTGGGCCTCCTGAGCCCAGGAGTTCGAGGCCAGCCTGGGCAACATAGCAAGACCTGTCTCTACACACACATACAAAAAAATTAGAAATAAATTAGCCAGGCGTGGTGATGTGCACCTATAGTCCCAGCTATTCTGGAGGCTGAGGTGGGAGGACAACTTGAACCCAGAAACTGGAGGATGCAGTGAGCTATGATCATGCCACTGCACTTAGCCTGGGAGAAAGAATGAGACCCTATCTCTAAAGGAAAAAAAAAGATAATAAAGTGAAACTCATTTTTGAAGGAGTGATTTCTGAAATTGTTTAGTGCAGTGAGGAAAAGACAGTGGGATATTACAATGGAGAGACGCTGGGCATTGTGCAGCAAGACGGAGAAGTCAGGGAGGGCTGAGCTGGATGGAAGTGGTGGGAAGGAGCCAGCCTGCAGAGAAGCAGAGCGTGTGCTCTGGCAGAGGGAGTGGCAGGGCAAAGGCCCTGGGCAGGAGCAGGGTCAGGGTCACAGCTGTGTGGCTGGAGTTCAGTGGGCCAGGGGGAGAGTGATGGAAGGCAAGGTCAAGGTGGGCTGGGGCCAAACCCTGCAGTGCTTTGTCAGCCATGGCAAGGATTTGGGGTTTTATTCTAAGTGCATCTCAGAGTGCCGGCATCTTTATCTTGGGGTGATGTTGGCATATTCCCACCAGGATAAATTAACATTCTCACCTTAACAGATCATTGGGTAGAGACTAGAAATGTACCGAGCAGTGCGCAAAGAAGATGAGGAGGGTTCTACAGTTTCTCCAGATACATACCATGACAATTTGTTTTTTTAAAAAAGAAGAAAGCCTGCAGGTAAGTACAGCCGAAAGTAAAGAGGGCCACAGTAGAGGAGGGAACAATGCCACACAACATGAACAGCAAGGAGGGAGCATTCCATTCTGAGCAGAGGGACGCGAGGAGGTGGGGCCTGAAAGGACACAGGAGGCACTGACCCCCCGAGGCAAGGGAGATGTGCCTTCTCTGGGAGACAGCGGCTTGGGATGGTGGTGGGGCAGGTTCCCCGGGGAAGACCTGGACCAGGGGCTGGGGGTGGGAGTTGGAGAGGAGAGTGCAGTCTTGGGAGCAGATTTAAAGTTAAGTGGCCTCCATGGACCCCACATGGCCCAGTCAGTTTGGACCCTCCTGGGAGATCCTGAGTTCTGAGCCTAGGCGGTCTTGTCCTGCCTCTGCTGAGCACCCGGGCCATGGCAGCCATCAGGATGCAGGAAGGTGGGGTCCCCTCCCAGCAGCTGGGAAAGCATGAAGGAAGTTCATTTCTCTGCAGCAGCTATAGTGATCGTGAGGAGAAGTAACTGAAAAGGTCAGACACACACTTCACTTACACAGCTCATAAGTCAGTAAAGAAGCAAAGCCTGAGACTTCCTCAGGAGGTGAGTAAATCCTCTGCCTTGCCAAGGCCTGCAAAGCTAGGCTTGGGGCCGGCCAGCCTAGGGGAGTGGCTTCTCCTGCTCTAGCTCCCAGTGCCCTCTGGCTTGGCTTTCTGAAGAGAGGGCTAGAGGAGCTGTGCCTCTAGAGTTCAAAAGAAAAGTACCTTAGGGAGGGAGTATAGGGTTGCAGTCAAAAGAATGGGCTCTGGACTCATAAAAACATCAGTTCAAATTCAGACTCATACCACTTATTTGCTGTGTGATTTTGGGCCACTCACACAACCTCTCTGAGCTGTCGTTTCCCCTCCATACTGTAGGGCTGATAATAGTACCCAAACCATAAGTCATTGAGAGGATTCAATGAAGATCATACAAGTAAAAGAGTTAGATCAATGCCTAGGTTCCCACTGCATATTGGCTGTGGTTGTTATCTTTATCATTTAAATCATTTATTATTATTAACACTTTAATTGTACAGCCTCCAAAATGACCCCTGTGATCCCTTCCCCCTGGTATTCATGCCTGCTATTTAACCAGAATAGGGTTGATCTGTGTACTAATAGGAGATTGTGGGGACAGCAGAATGTGACTTCCAAGGCTAGGTCCTGAAAGATGCTGTGACTTTCGCCTGAGTCTCTTGGATCACTCGCTCTGGGGGAGGACTGCTGTCATGTCATGAGGACACTCAGGCATCCCCATGGAAAAGTCTGCATGGTGAGCACCCGAGACCTCCTACCCACAGCCAGCATTAACTTACCTGCTCTGTGAGTGAGGCAGCTTGGAGGAAGATCCCCCCACCCCAGATAACCCCTAAATGACAGCAGCTCCCACCAACATCTTCTCTCCAAGCTCATGAGGGAGTGTGAGTCAGAACCACCTAGCTAAGCTCGTGAATTCCTGACCTGCAAAAACCGTGCGAGATCACAAATGTTCATTTTTTTTATTGAAGCCATTAAGTTTTGGGGTGATTTGTAATGCATAAATAATTAATACAATTATTATACTGAAAATTTCTCACTAGGAAGTGGCCACTCATTAGGCAGCCCCAGCCTTCAGGCTCTGTCCAGCCCAGTAAAAGTCAGTCATTTTTGTGCCAAAGATCCCTGAAAGAGACAGCATCATGTTTGGGTATCACCTCCTCCAGAGAGCCTTCTTGGCCAAGTCAAGAGCTTTTCTCCATGTGCCCACAGAAAGGCTCTTTGTAATCCTCTACCACACTGCATTGTCATTCTGGGACCAATCATGTTTTCATCTAGGCTTTGGCTACTAGGAGGCTCAGACCCAAATTTTCAGGCCACTGCGAAGACTCTCAATTTATTCTTGCCCTAGTTTACTCATCTATTTGCTTTGTCCTGTTTTGTGTGTCCCTTGTGTAAATTATCACACATCCTTTGTGAAATGAGGCGGCATGAAGCAAGTCCTTGCTGAAGGTCCAGGGCATGGCAAGAGAACCTGAGTTTAAGAAGCAGACATCACCTGCTGGCAGCAGGCAGTATCCTCTCAGTCAGCCTTGATGTCCCCTTCCCTGGATCCTCACTTCTCATGGCAATCTCCCCGTCTCCTCAGGTGGGGATGGGATGAACAGGTTTGATTAGCCCTTCACTGTAAATGCCTGTCCTCTGTCACTGCACCAGGACTGATATGGTTTAGTTGTCCATGGCTATCATCCAAACTTGAAGGTGGCACTTGTAAGGAAAAAACAAACCAACAAGCTATCCTAAAAGGAGGCTGGCAGCATGAGGAAGGGGCTTGCCATCCCCTGTGCCAGTGCGGGAAGACCAGCCCAAGTGCCCACCCCACTGCGGGAGCAGACTCAGCTGTCCCCAAACCTGAATGCAGGTAACAAGGGCAGCAGCCTGAGCATCTCAGAGCCCAGAGGCAGAGCGTTAGCCGATTGCTTCCAGCATCATCTGGGGCACAGTGGGGTCTTGGTTCCTCAATGGGCCTGAGTGGATCTAACTCTGCGAAGTTAGATCCCAACAGCCATCACAGTTTGCAGACAATGTCATTAAGACCATCCAGATAACTTCCTAACTCCAGTTTTGTGCCCACCAAGCATCCTTCTGATTTCAAATTGGCCTCGCATGCCATGTGCAACTGGGAGAGAGTGTGTGGACAGAAATGGGGCCAATTGACTATTTCCCTTGGCTGTCATATTTTTCATTAATAAACTAACTCTCCAGCCACAAATACACACTCAGAATGCCTCTTGCTACTCCAGATCCTCCATTCACTGTGAAGGCAATCATGGGGATTATGAATTCCATCTCCCAGGTGTGGATTAAACTGCATGCCAGGGGAGGTTTCTGTGGTTCCAATCTACCCCGCTTAGTACATCAGAGCTCAACAGGATCAGGTCAAAGCTGGAAGGATCCTGAGAGCCCACAGAAATAATGACTCCTGTGCTGAGGTTCACAGGAGTAGCACTGGGGTCTGTGAATTCTTGGCAAAAATTCAGAAAACCTAAGGGAATCCATGCATTAGCTGATAATGAGGCCATACAGACTAACTAAAGCATCAGCCACCTCATTAAACTGGGAAGCTTAATACTGTTTTTATTGCACAATCATTTCTAAATGTCTTTTATTAATAAAATTGGGGAAATGAATTTGTTATTCTTTAATAAGTGCAGTGTGTTTAGCTGACAAAATTTTTACAAAGATGGGGATCAATGGGTTGCAAGAATACTAAAAGATGTTCTTGTTCTGCAGGGTTGGAAGCCCCTAAGCCACCATGCACTACCCATCATTTTACAAAAGAAGGAGAAACTGAGGAACAAAGAAACACATATTTTCCCTCAAGCTTCAGATTCCCTTTAAACTCTTAGGATATCCCATAACCCCCTGTAGCTTATGGCAGCTAGATTCATGACAGACAATCTCTCTAGAGTCAATTTGGTTTTTCTCTTAACTCACTCAAGCCTCTGGGAATGAAAGGTCTAGCCCTTGAAGGCTACTTTTGGTAGAAGACGAGGTTCAGTATTAAAAAGGAGGACAGAGGATGGAAAAGAACACAACTACATCAATAGTTTCTCCACATTATTTGATGTTCAGAACAGTCCCATGAAGAAGATATAATATTCCCTTTCTACAGACCAAAAAATTAATATTTGGAGAGGTAGAAAGACCACCCAAGGGAACACATATTTAGACGGAAAGCCCAGTTCTGTCTAGTGTTTAAGTCCTGGCCCATTCAGCTACTCTGCTCTGTAACTATCACCCATTTCAGCACCGCGGACAGAGGCAGAGCCCTCAGTCTTCCCTGTAGGTGGGATGGAGGCAGAGGGTGGTAAGATGGGTGCTAAGTCCCAGGGAAGATATGTATCCACCAAAGTGCCTGAATGATGAGAGGGAAGTCAGAGCTAAGGAAGGACACATCATGGACATCTCTTTACATGTGTATCAAATTGCGTTCTGTTTAGAACCATTTTCTAGCCTCCCACCAAGGACGTAAACAGGACAAGCACTGTCATCTGTAAAGTGCCACTCCCAGACTGCCACCCAGAGTTCATAAAAGGCTCAGATGAATCAATAGGTGGGAAAGTTATCTGGAATTTATAAAAATTCACTGTTAAGGAGACGACTATCACAGACAAACCCCAAAATCAGCGGTTTAACACAATAGACATTTTTTCTGACTTGTGTAAAGCCCCAGACAGGGATTGCTGCCTGTCAAAAGGCCTGACTGGCACTTGTCTTGAGGCACACTCTGGTGCCCAGGCCCCTTGCTCCTTGTTGCTCTGCCACCTCTGAAGTGGCTTCTAAGGTCACTGTATTTATCTGTGTCAAGACAGAGGAAAAAATCATGAATAAATAAACCCAGGGAGATTTGTATGAGCCAAGCCTGAAATTGGCACACATCACTTTGGCTCATACGTGGAGGACTGGGAGTGCAGAAAGATGAGGAAATGGGTCTTACTGAACACAGAACCACAGAACTCTGTCTCCCTCCTCTCCAAAGCTGAGAAATTGCCACAATCAGAAAGTGTGATTCCCATCTGAGAGTTTAAGAGCAGGAATAGATTAAAGACAAATCATGTAAAATACCTTGACTCCTAGACTTGCCGAAGCATTCAGCCTGAGCCATCTTTACATGTGGATAATCTTGGATTTCCCAACTGGGCTTCTTGCACACTCCATGGTAGAACGTCAGAGGAAATTTTTTTCAAGCAAGAGCTGTTAGATCATGAGATTCCCCAGAAAGATACAGATACAGGTATATGTCATATTACTGGAGATTCTAATTCAGCTACCTTCACAGGCCTGGGAATGTGTTTTTGACACAGGGGCATTAGGATTGTTTCAGCTGCAAGTGACAGAAGTCTAGCTCACACGGTCTTAAGCAAGAAAGGAAATGTATTGATTCCTATAAGTGCACCAGGATCTAGATACACTGTCAGGCACAGCTGGATGCAGACTCCAACAGTCTCATTGGGATACCCACCCTCTCCTCCCATCTCTGACCATCCCAGGTGGCTCCCTTCATGGGTCAAAGTGGCCACCAGAAGCTCCAGATACATCTTTTTATCAACAGCCCCAGGAGAACTTCTCTTTCTCAGTAAAATCCCACAAGGTATTTTTTGGCACTAATTGTCTTGGCTTGGTCCCATTCTTATCCCTGAACCAACCACTGTGACCAAAAACGTGGTATTCTCTGATTATCCAAGCCTGATTCACGAGCCCACCCATGAGTCTGATATGAGGTCCAGTCCATACAATCTACACAAGCTAGGTCTGGGGCATGGTGGTGCCCCAAGGACAGCTGGGGTGCCTTTCCTAGAAGAAAGGGGGCAGGGAATGGGTGCTGGACCAGCATCAGCAGCAGAATTCTTAGGCACTAGACTGTGGGGGGCTCAGAGAGGCATGGGAGCCCTGAGGTCCCCACAAGGTGTGGGATAGTCTTTCAGACCTTCAGGGGGGGTCTCTGCTCACTAACCTGCTCAAAGCACCCTGGCCCACACCGTGGGCAGCTGGAAGGTGCCAGTCCACTGAACATGTGTGATTGGCATGAATCTCCTGCTTTCCTTTGTCAGAAGGCTAGGAGTGGATTTGACCCGTTTACTCAGACCCTCTCAGTGGCCCTGCTCCCACAGGCTCACCCCAGCAGGGCCCAGTGCTTGGCTGCCAATGACGCCAAGGATATTAGCTGACAGTGACTTAAAACAGGGGTTCATGACCTCAGGGTAACCGAGGAACCCCTGAATCTGAATTCATCAGTCTGTGTATATGAATGTGAGTGCCTCTCCTTTCCCCACAGGAAAAAATCTACAACTTTCATCAAATTACTCAGGGAGACTTTATTCTAAAGAGACTGAAAACGACCAACATCAATTTTGACTCCTATGGGCATCTGTAAATAGCTTCAAGGTTTTAAGGTGAAATGTCATGTACCAAAATACACATTCTGGAGAAGCAGGAAGCTACAGACCAACTTGAGATGAAAGTCTCATATCAATGTTTTCCCAAGTGTGCTCCTTGGAATACAGGTTGACATGATATGATGCCCAGCAAGGGAAACAAAACATATTCATGTTCAAATTAGTTGGGGAAATGCTGGACTAAATAAGGTTTGATGGGATTCTTTTTTCTGCAGGACTTCTCAGAAGGGGCTAGAGTAGGCAAAGTTTCCCAGATTTACCTAATAAAAGCATTGTTTCTGTGGGAGTTTCATTTGTTATTACATGTTTCCTGAATGCAGATTCATAGACTATCCTTTGGGGAACCCTCGTCCTCACGGGATGTATGTTCATGGTGGTGTCTTCGAGTTTGTGCCCTTGTGAAGCATTCTGGCAGCAAGCATCTGAACACTTCCAAAAGGGGGCGATATTTAGGAGAAATCGCTCAGCCTGAGTTAGAACAAATGCAGCTGCTGGTGTCTCTTGGTGCCTGGGAGCCCTAGAGTGTCAGAGGGAGGAGCGTGCACACTGGAACCAGCAGCCTGGTGCTGCGTCTCAGCTCTGTCGCTAACTGGCTATGCACCTCTGGGCATGGCACTTAACCCTTCTGAGCCCCAGCCCGCCATCTGTAAAAAGGGCTTGATGTGAGGATTGAATGAGATCATGCAGGGAACACAATGTCTGGCACTTGGAAGCGTCCACCATAAAGAGCCAAGGCAGTAGATGGCCCAGCTGGGTTTGGTCCAGGCAGAGTTTACCCTCTGCCCTGGAGGCTCCAGGAAATGCTGCCACGTGGCTCCTATTGCCTTAACCACATCCGACCTGTTCCTGACAGCTCCCCACATCTCCAGCTCCTTTGCTGGTGCTCCAGGCACCTCCAAACGTGGCGAGCCCCTCTCCCCTGCCCTCTTGTGGCAGCTGACCTGGCAGGAGTGGGACCAAGACATCCAAGGCAGCTCCTTTCCACCTGCATGGGCACTTTCCTCAGGACATCCTTGCCCCTGGCACCACCTTGGGCCAGCAAGCCACATGGAAATGGATGCAGAGGCACCACTGTTTGCTGACAATTATACACTGTCCTTAAGGTCACCCTTGGCGATCTGTCACCAGGAGCAGACAAACCCACACCTCAACCATCCCATCAGAGCTTGTTTCTATCTGCATCTGTCATCGCTGATCGCATTTGAATGGGTTTAGTCTCTATTTTAAATAAAAGATTTATGCCTTAGCTGTCAGAGCCTGCCTTTATTTGAAAATTTAATCTTGTTTCTAGGAGTCTAGATTAACTTATTAGATTTAGGCGTCCCTCGTGGGTCTCTGAGAGAGGAGGAGTAGATTCTCCTCCCTGCATTCGGCCCTGCACACCCGACAGTGAGAGCCAAGAGCTGGATGGGCTTCTCCATCCAGCACGCCCAGGCTGGACAGAGGCCCCCAACTCAGGCAACTTTGTCGGGTAACCGTGTGTCCAGGGAGTGCTTTCTTGCACGCTCCGTCTCCGGGCCAGCTTCCAGGACCTGTGCTCACTGCAAGGGACACCCATCAAGCCGGCCCTTTCTCAGAGGTTTTGGGGAGGCTTCAGGAAGGACCCCCAGTGGGGGCCCAGCTTGTCAACATGGGCTGTGCCAAGGAGTTCTGAGTTTCCTTCAGGTCTGTATTGTATCTTCCACCCCCTCAGAGCTCCCTCCCTACTGCTTAGACCACACGAAGCTGTGGGGCTGTGGGCAGCCAGTTCACTTCCCTGACCTTGTCTGCAGGTGGAGACAGTGGCAGTGCCCCTCCCGGGCTGCTGCGTCACTCAGTGTAAAAGCAGGGAGGCACTGGAGAGCTGCTGTCTGCAAGTTTGTTGCTACTTCAAAAGGTGCAGGTGGGCCCTCACCTCCTTTAGAGGTGAGGATGAGCTACCCAAAGTGAAAAGGAGCTTCTCAGCGTCGCAATGGAGTCACGGCCAGGCTGCCCACACCAGCCGTCCGGACCTGCACCAGTGCCACGGGGTCTGCCCCATCTTCTCTTCCCTCTCCTTCCCCTCTCCCTCTCTCTCCCTGTCTCTTTCTCCTCTCTCCATGCTATTGACTGAATGTTTGAATTCCCTGCAAATGCATTCCTAACCCCCAATGTGACTGTGTTTGGAGACAGGGTCTTTAGGAGGTAACTGAGGTTAAATGAGGTTGTAAAGATGGGGCCCTGAACCGATGGGACTGGGGTCCTTATGAGAAGAGGAAAAGGGGTCCCTCCCCATGGAGGGACGACCACAGCGAGGCAGCAGCCGCCCACACGCCAGAGAAGGGGACTCAGACGGAAGCCTTGCTTCACCGGCACCTTGATCTTGACTCCTAGCCTCCAGAATTGTGATAAATAAATTTCTGTTGCTTAAGCCCCCAAGTCTATGGTATTTTGTCACGGCAGCTCCAACAGATTCAGATGCTCTCCCTCCTCCCTCTCATTCCTTCCCTCCTCCGACTCCCCAGCACCAGAGGTCCCGGACTTTCCCGTTGCAATTCCGCCATCTGCTGGTCGGTCTCAAGATAGCAGGCAAGGTCCGTGCCTCGGAGCCGGTGTCTCCTCTAGGGTAGCCCAAGGCAAGGGTGGCCCTTCCACAGCCAGCACCCCACCCCCCTCCCAACGCACACACTCATACACACAAGCACACATGCAAGAGCACAAATGCGCATACTCATACATGCACACAGGCGCACACACACACACAATGCACACATGCACGTTTACACACACACAGACACACACACGTGCACGCGCACACTCACACTCATACACATGCCCACACACATTTACACTCACACACACATGCACATTCTGGCATATGTGAACACACAATCACACTCGCACACAGACACATGCACATTCTCACACACACATTCACACATGCAAACACACTCATACATGTGCGCACAAACTAATATACATGCATTACACAAACACCTATCACCCACTCCACTCACATATCACACACACACATCCCCAGCCAAGGATGAGCCAAGCTGGCTTCTCACCACCCCCTGGTTTGCCCTCCGTATACATTTCCCCAGACATCTCAATTCCTGACGAATGGGCAAAACTTTTATTGAGCCACGCGCTTCTTAAAGTCAGGACCACGGCCAACTCCTCTCCTTATCAACCCTCATTGCCCGCCCCACTCAGTGCCTGGCACGCAGTAGGAGTGCACCAAGTGTTCAATGACTAAAGGAGGCAGTTCTCTTTGGGGGACTGAATTGGTTTTCAACTCTTTGGGGCTGTGAGCTCAGAAGCAGGCATCTTCCTCCTGGTTGGAGCTCAGGCTCACAGGCAGGTGTCCCCACACTTGAGCCCCTGCACACAGCCCCAGGCCACCTAAGGGGTAACTGACGAGAGCATCATCACCTGTCTCATTAGAATGGCCCCAAACCAATCTCTGCAAACCAACTCTGAGTGGGGACACACATCTCTTGCTTTGTCACTTGGCAAAGCAACTCAAAGGGAAGGAAGACACAGTGGCTGTCTCCACAGTTCAGCTGCCTGGGAGGTGCTGTTATCTGATGGGCTAATGAAGATGGATCTATCCAAGGGGAGAGGGAACCCCAGCTTCACTGTGCAACCTTGAACCTCCTCTGTGGCCCTAGTTTCTAAATCGGCCCAGTGAGGCTGGGGAAGATGAGGCTCCCAGGCCTGGCATACTCAGCGCAGGCTCACTTCAATCTCTGGAGGGAGGGCCAGGCTGAGGGTAAGGAGAAGATGGCCCACCTCAGGCTCAGCCTCAAAAGGGGAGTAATGACAGGATCATGCACAGCAAGCACTGCCCATCTTCCACTGCCTGTGCTCTGATATGGCTCAGTACAGTGACCACGGTTACTGATGTTGTCTTTATTTAAAATTTTGAGGCCAGGCACAGTGGCTTACGTCTGTAATGCCAGCATTTTGCGAGGCTGAGGCCAGCAGATCACTTGAGCCCAGGGGTTCAAGACGACCTTCCTGAGCAACATAATGAAATCACATTTCTACAAAAAAAAAAAAAATACAAAAATTAGCTGGGTGTGGTGGCACACACTTGTAGTCCCAGCTACTTGGGAGGCTGAGGCGGGAGAATCACTTGAACCTGGGAGGTTGAGGCTACAGTGAGCCACATTTGTGCCACTGCACTGTAGCCTGGGTGACAAAGCAATACCCTTTTTTAAAAAAAATGATATTTTATTCATTGTGGATTTTTTGCATAAATTTTGATTTTTTACAAAATATTACATCAATGAAAGTGAGTACTCAAACAGGTACACGTTCACCTATGTTCCTGGCAGTGTTATTCACAATAGCCGAGAGGTGTCAGCAACCTAAGTGCCCATGATCAGATGAAAGGATCAACAAAATGTGGTCTATCCACACAATGGAATAATAAGCAGCTTCAAAAGGAAGGACGTCCTGACTCAGGCTACAACACTGCTGGACAAATCCTGTATGATTCCACTGCTATGAGATACCTAAAGTCGTAAAATTCATAGCAACAGAAAGTAGAATGGTGGTTGCTGGGGAGGAGGGGGAATGCGGAGTTTTTGTTTAATGGGGGAGAGAAAGAGCTGGGAAGATGGGTGGTAGTGATGGCTGCAGAATGGAAATGCACTTACTGCCACTCAGCTGTTCACTTTAAAATGGTTACAATGGCTAATTTTATGTTATGTGTACTTTACCACAATAAAAAATGCTGCATGATTTCTTCATCTTGATTATTTATCTCCATTACTGAGGTTTTTTTTGGTACCCTCTTGAATTTTATGCATGAGTTGGGAGCTTCCTGTCTCGCCCATGTCCGGCCTTGAATTCCCCATATCGTCTTCATTTTACAGAGGATGGGGCTGAGCCTGAGGAATGTGAGAAGTTAAGAGGCCTGCCCAAGGCCATCTGGCAAACCAGAGGTGAACCAGGAATTCAAAAGCCAAGCTCCCAGCTGAGGGCTTAGTCCAGTACAGCTCCCCCTGCTGCCCACCCCCAAGAAGCTTCCAGGGAGCTCTGTCTACACCACCAACCTTTGCTGCTCCTAGAGGGGAGACTGACTCCACAGGATAGGGCCTCACTGGACCCAGAACTCCTAGAGTCCAGCTGCGCCCACCCCTTTAGAAGATAGGCTCCACATCGACCCCACAGAGAAAGTTCTGGGCAGATGTGGGGCTGCTGGGCAAATGGGGAAATCAAACTTGGCCAAGTCCAATTTTTGCATTCTCTGGCTGTGACAATGGCTGCAACTTGTGCCCCTTCATCCTTCTCTTTTCCTCCTTCACTAACAGAATCCACATTTTCTAGCTAGACACAGGCTGCTGGGAACAAAGCCCTCATTTCCTTGCTTCCTTTGCTGGCTGTGGCTGCCTGCGACCTTAGATCTGGCCAAAAACCCAGAGTCAAAGCATCATGTACAGCTTCAGAGAAGTGTCCTTATAAAGAGCAGTGCCCCCTTTCCTCTCCCTCCCTCATTCCTGCTGTCTGGGAAAGCAGGCATGATGGCCAGTGCACATACCGCCACATAGGAAGAAGCCATGAACTGAGGACAGTGGAGCCCAGGATAAAGGGGGCTTGGGCCAGCCCTGGCCCACCGATCTGCTCTCTTCTGTTTGAGTCTTGGGTCTCAGCAGGACACAAGGCCATATGCCCCGTAACAGCAGCCACCGTGGCTTCCGTTTCCACAGAGCAAGGCCTGTCTCTCACGTAGATAATTCTCTAGTCCCTGCTGGTCTTTCCTGGAACACTTCCCAGTGAATCACTTTCACACAAGTCCTCCCTGGGTGGATTTCTGGAAGCCCAACATAAAGACTTCCCTCCCCTTCCCAGCTGGTCTTTCATAGGCCACATAGTGTCCAGTATAGCTGAGGGCCAGCTCTGGATCACCTCACCCTTAAGTGAAGACAGAAACTTTTACCAAGAGTAAGTCACTGCCATGTGCACTTGGGCAAGCCTCCTGGCCTTGGTGGCTTTAAGTTTCTCACCTGTGAAATGCAGATAAAGCCAAATAAGAAAGCAGGCATGAACACGTTATGTAAAGTGTAGAGTCATGTCACAGACTGAATGTTTGTCCTCCCAAAAATCCATGTTGAAATCCTAACCCCATAATGCGATTAGGAAGTGGGGCCTGTGGGAGGGGATGAGGTCATGAGTGTGGAGCCCTTGTGAGTGGGATTAGTGTCCTTATAAAAAGAGACAAAGAGGCTGGGCGCGGTGGCTCATACTTGTAATCCTAGCACTTTGGGAGGCTAAGGCAGGTGGATCACAAAGTCAGGAGATCGAGACCATCCTTGCCAACATGGTGAAACCCTGTCTCTACTAAAAATACAAAAATTAACTGGTCGTGGTCACGTGCACCTGTAGTGCCACTACTCAGGAGGCTGAGGCAGGAGAATCACTTGAACCCAGGAGGAAAAGGTTGCAGTGAGCCGAGATCACGCCACTGCATTCCAGCCTGGGCGACAGAGCAAGACTTCATCTCAAAAAAAAAAAAACAGACCCAGAGAGCATTCATCCTCTCTCTGCCAGGTGAGGACACAGGGAGAAGATGGCCGTCTGCACCCCAGGAAGACAGCCCTTACCAGAACCGACCACACTGGAACACTGATCTCAGACTTCCAGCCTTCAGAGCTGTGAGAAATATGTTGTGTAAGCCACCTTGCCTGTGGCATTTTTGTTGCAGCAGCCCAAAGTGATTAAGACGAGGTACTTATTTGTATGATCCGGTGAGTGACCAATCTTTAAAACCAACAGCTCTCCACCAAATCAGTGATGGTCTCTGAGCCCAGGATGTGTATTTATTTCCAGCAATTCTGGCTGAGAGATCCATCCCTCAGACTCTTCTATAGGGAACGTGCCCTGAATGTCCTCTGTGCAGCACCAAGACTGTGGGGACCAGCTTGTCCAAGGTGCCGAGGACCTGCCTGCCCTCCACAGCCGTCATCACATTAGCCATTCCCCAGATGACCCCACACCCTCACCCATGGCCACCTGGCCTCTGCCTGCAGGCACCCTGCATGCCGCCAGTTCTGCTGCCTTCTCAGCCAGGTCTCCTCGCTGGGCGAGGAAGTGACAAGGTGCTGGGGCAGCTCCCAGAGCAGCCTCCTCAGCAGGAATGCAGGGAGAGGGTCCTGCCCCCAGGGTGAAGGGCTGGGAAGGAAGGAGAGGGAGGACACTGTGGGGAGTGGGGCTGACATGAGCAACTCCCTGCTAAGGTGTCCCCAAACCCACACACTTCACACTTTTCAAAGCACTCCCTGTCTACACAGTCTCCTTATCCCCAGTGAGGAGACAAGAGTTCAGAGACTTCAGAGGGCGTGCCAAGGTCACACAGCAGTGAGAGCGGTGGTGTCCCTCCTCGTCTTCTGATTGCAGGATACTGTGTCCGCCCACCTTCAACATTCCTCAGAATGTGGAAAATGGCCCAGATACTCAGGCCCTTGGTGGTAGATGTAGGAAGGACAAGAAAGGACACGTACCTGCTGACCATTGCCCTGCTGTGACCCAGCCCCTTAAAGAAGGGCCTGGACAGATGTAAAGGCAGAGGGAGGGCATCTTCCTGGGGCTCCGGGCCCCACAATGTGCCCCTCCCAGAAACCTGGACCTAGCTTAGTTGAGGGGATGCCTCAGTATCGACTTTCCTCTTCTGATGCTAGCACCCCAATCCTGATTTGGGGAACCATCCCTCCTCATGGGATACATTCTGAGTCCCTTGTCAAGGGTCCTGCCCTCCCCTGACAGAGGATTGTCCTGTGACCAGCAACCAAGCTGGTCAGCTATGTCCCCACCAAAATTCGAGCAGAGGGACACACAGATGCCACAGCCAGTGGAGGCAGATGACACATGGCTCTGCCCCCAGCTCGGGCTTCCCAAGACCCAGATTTCCACACTTTCCTGCTGCTCTGAGAGCTACTCCAGCTCCTTCCAACAAATGTGTTTGGTCCAAGTGAGTCAGGGCCAGTGGCTGCGGCTTGCAACCCCAGTGCCTGCCCAATGGCCCAGCCAGCCCCAGCAAAGAGAGACTTGGAGGAGTTCAGACCCAGCTGGCCACAGGCCCACAAGCCTTGTATAAACTTTTCCTGTTGGACCATGGGGAATTGGAGGGGGGTGGCGGGGGGGCAGCATTCATGACACTGAAGTCACAGCTATTCCCAATCATGTAGGGTGGCACTTAATCAGAATCAGGAACCAGGGAACTGGGTTAGAAGGCAGGACAGAGTGGGAAAGGGGCAGCCAGCTACCCAACCCGCACAGCTCCAGGGGTGCCAGCCCAGGGTCCTCCATGGAGACGCAGAGCCTGAGCTGCTCCCTGCAGCTCTGCCTGGAATGCAACATGGGGGCAGCTCCCACCTGCCTTTCAGGACCCCCAGCCCTCCCTGCCTCAAGGTCTCATGGCTCTCAGTCCCCACCTTCCTTCATCTGGAAGGAGCCCCTGGGACATTGGAGCCAAAATCACAGCTCAGGCTTATGGCCCTTCCTTTCCTTCCTGGGCAGAAGTGCCTCTCTGCTTTGCAAGCTAATAGCGTCTTTACTATTTCCCACATGCTTACTGTGTTGAAAACTTTATGTGGATTAATCCTCACCACCACCTGGGAGCTAGGTGTTATTATTAACCCAAATGTTGCAGGTAAGGAAACTGAGGAAGAGAGGTTAAAAATTGTGTCCATGGTCATACAGGAAGTAAGAGGCAGAGCCGTATGGTGCACTCTGGCAGCCTGGTTCTAGCACACCCTTAACCTTTGGACCGCACCGCCCTAAGATGAAGAGGGCTCTGTCCTCTCTTCCAACCCTGAACTCAACCCGAGACTCCACCCAGGACCTATGGCCAACTCCCTCCCTTCTTGCCACCTTCCTGACGTCTCATCAGGCTCAGCCTCTGCCTGCACAGTGGTCCCCAAATGCTGACAGCACCCCCTCCCTTCCTCTGCAGCCCCACCCTGCCCAGCCCTTGCAGTGATGGCCACCCCTTCCTCCTCCCACCAGGGTCCTCTTTCACTCTCTCTCCTGTAAGCTTTAAACAAGAGGCACAGCTGGGAATCTGCTAGGCAAACTGCTGGGACGCCTACACTGGGGCTCCCAAAGCCCCCTGCCGGGGCCGGCCGCCGGAAGGCAGACATTTGGAGCTTCTCAGCTGACTCCAGCAGAGAAGTCACCGCCTCATCACCGACTGCCACCATGCTGTGATTAGTTAATCACTAAGTGCGTGGGGCTTTTAATTAACTGCCAGCCCTGCACGGGCAGCTGTTCCACGAACCACATCTGATCATGGCGTCCCCAGTCCGGGCTGATGGAACAGTTCAATCGCGCAATTGACGCTTGGATATTTTGATGCTGCAGGGATGGCAGCTGCCACTTCTGCAGCCCTAATGGAAGCCACCAACCATAGGATAAATAAAATACCATAGGAAGGAGGAAGAGAGCAGATATGAGGTGGGGGGCCATCAGGTGCTTAGGGGAGAAGCAAACTCTGCCCAAGATATGTGAGTGTGTTACCAGCATAATGTTTATCTATTTATTAGAACTAAACTCGAACAAGTCTAAGGAATAAAGAAACCTAGAGGTGCCACATGACCAGAGAGTACAAGAATTCAGGCATGGCTGGATCCAGGAGTACAAATGAAATTACCAGAGCAGATGGGGCTTCAACTGTCAGAAGGGCTGTATTTGCAGGCTCTACAAAATCAACTGAAGCTCGGGAACATATTTGAGACACAGAGGAGACAGGATGTTGTCACGTCCCCCCCTCCATGGGCGCTGCCTTTGCTTCCCTCTGATGCGGTCCACTTCTGGACCTCGAAATAATTCTGTCCCTACTTCTGCCGTAGGCTTCTCACATTTAATTTAACCATTCAGCCACATGTCTGTGTTGTCCAAAAGACTAGAATTTCCCAACTTCAGCACTATGGGCAATTTTGGCTGAAAAATTTTTTGTCATAGAGGCTGCCCCGTGCCTGGCAGGGTGTTTAGCCGCATCCCTGGCTGGAGTGCACACCACAGCTCCCTTATTGCCTGTGTGACCAGAGACACATTTTTTAACTTCTCTTCCTCAATTACCTTACCTGCAAAATTTGGGTTAATCATAACACCTACCTCCTAGGGTGGTGGTGAGGATTAATCCACATAAAGATTTTGAACACAATAAGCATATGGGAACTATTAACAACACTATTAGCTTGCAAAGCAGAGAGACACTTCTTCACAGGGAAGAAAGGAAGGGCCATAAACGTGAGCTGTGACTTAGGCTCCCATATCTCAGGTGATCTTTCTAGGTGAAGAAAGCTGGGGACTGAAAGCCACAGAGCCTTGGGGTAGGGAGGGCCGGGGCAGCACGAAAAGACAGGTAGGAGCTCCCTCCAGGTCGCATTCTAAGCAGAGCTCCACAGGTGCCAGTAGCACCCACCAAACCAAAAATGTTTCCAGACATTGCTAACTGTCTGCTGGAGGTTGGAGGGGGCAAAATCACCCCCGAATGAGAGCTCCTGCAGGGCAGCGTCTATCTCTGGTGCAGGGCCTGGCACCCACGGGGTCTCAGTGATGCTTTGTGGGAACAGGTGAGAGGGAAGAGGTGAAATAAGTGCAGCCATGGAATACCAGGGGGAGCTGAACACGTGGGCTCACACGCTACAGAGGGAGACCCGTGTGATGCTATGTGTCCCATGCACTGAAAAGATGAATGCTTGTGCTGGGTCACTGAGAAACTCCTCTGGCACAGCAAAATCGCAGATTCGGAATTGGAGGCGAGTGGGTGCTAAGAAACTGAGCAGCAGCAGGGAAACTCAGACTCAGGGAGTGGAGGGGCTTGGGGGTGGGAACCCAGCCCCCCATGTTCTCTCTGCAGCTCCACACCACTGTTCACCTGCACCAAAACAATGGCGGCTGGCAATTTCATATGCCAGGTACTGCTGTAAGCACTTCACACCTGTGGCCCGATTTCAGAACTCTAAACAGTGATCTATGAGATTTGTCATATCGTTTTATCCCATTTTACAGAGGAGGAGAGGGAGGCAGAAAGGGTTTTATTGCTGTTGTTTCTGTACTTGTCAAAGATGCCCAGTGGCAGAGCTGGGATTCAAATCTTAGTGACTTGGCCCCAGAGTTCATGCACATGCCTGTTACACTCCATTAGCCCCTGTCAGAGGACAGAAAAGCTGGCCTCTTTTTTTGCAGGACTGCATAGACAAGATGCCTCTGGGGACAAGAACTGGCAAAACACCTATGTGAAGCTTTTCAAAGGAGCTGGCAGTTCCATCATGAGGGCCTTCCCCATTGGGCTAACTAGAAAGGGCTGTGGATTCGAGACCTGGGGAGTTGCTTCAATTCTCGACCCTCCACTGATTGGCTGTGGCACCATTGCTTCCCTTCCCGGGCTGCAGTCTCTTCAGCTATGCAATGAGGAAAAGAATTCCAGTTTCCTGAGAAGCAAGAGAAATGGGGACTCTGTTCCCTGCCACTGATGGGACCTCAGTCAGCAACTTCACCTCCTTGACACTTGATTTCTCCAGCTATCATGTGGGGATTATAATACCTCTTTTGCCAGTTCGTTGGGAGGATTAAATGAGAAAATACATAGAAACGTCTAGCATAGTGCCTGGTTGGCAGTGGGTGAGACCACAGCGCCCAAAAACCAGTATCAGCCTCGTATCACACCCCAGATGTTTCCTCCAGGGCCTGGCAGCCTTAATCCCAGCCCCAACCCTCACTCTCAACCTAACTCTCATATCCTAGGGTCAAACAACAAGAAAGCTGGGACACCTATGAGCAGGGGTCAGCTCAGCCTCCTCTCCCCACTTCTATGCACAAAGACTTCACAGCCAGGGCTTTTTTTTCAAGGAGAGAATTGCAAGGCTGGTTCCGCAGGATGGCTTCCTATAAAACAGAAAGGCAGCCTCCGGCATCCCTTCCTGCAGTGTGCACCGCCATAAGAGGCCACTCCCCTGAGGGCAGCGGAGGGTTGGGGGTTATTAGTACTTAAATTACAATGATTATAACCAGACTGGGACTTGTCAACCAGGCCACCAGTATGGAGCAGGACTAGCTTAAGGTGGCCAGACTAAACCACCCCCGCTTGATCAAGTTGCCCAGAATCTGGGGTCAGTCACCCTCTGTCTACCCACTGGGCCAGACTTCTAGCCTACCAGGCTGGGCTTTCTCTAGGAGACTGGTAAAAGAAGGAAATGAGCCCTGAGTTATCATCCTGGAGCAGGACAAACCCTCTGAGAGCCTATGCCCAGCCCCAAAGCACCTCCTCATGGATTCTTGCCTCCCTGCTCCAGCTGTGGTGATGATGACCTGCGGGAGGAGGAACCAGGGTGAGGACATTGCCTGGACTTTGCTGAAGTTGTTTCTGTGCTTATCCCCCTGCACTGGTCCCCCTGGTCTGGCCTTCCCAGGGCCTTCATTCTGTGCATTTCAGCATCACTCCCACCCTTGGTCATCATAGGCCCATGTGTTTGTCCATGTTCTGTATGAAGCACCTACTGTGTGCCTGGCACTTGGTAGAGACATCTCATTGGATGCCCACAGTTGCTCGGCATAGGGATTATTATTGACTTTATTTTACAGAACACAAAACTTAGACCAGAAAGGTTAAGCATCCTGCCTGAGGGCACACAGCTGGCACATGGTGGATTTGCCTACAGAGGCTGTGCTCTTAACTCTGATGCTCTGTCATCATGCCTTGAGTTTCTGCAACTTTGCAAAGCCCTCGGTTGTCTCACGAGCACCTCCACAAGAGAAGCAAGGGTGATGTCAATGCCATTTTGCAGATGAGGAAAATGAGGTCTATGAAAAACTGGCCTCCCTATAGTCATGAGATCAGGAGGCCCCAAGGAAAGGAACAGAGTCAGTGAATCCCCTGGTGCCCAGCCCTGCACTCTGCCCACTGCCCTGCCTAGCCTCTCTGTAAATCCCTTATCCCAAAGGCCTCCCTCTCCCTTCTAGTCCCCTTGTGGAATGCAAGAACAGGTGCACCAGAGAACTTTCCAGGTGTTCCCAACCCCTTAGCCTTTTCCTCTGTCCTGCAAGTGGCAAGCAGTGAAGTGTCAGGGTTTCACTAGCAATGAGACCTAGAAGGACCCTTAGCCTCAGTCAGCTCAGGTATGCACTGGAGATAAACCCCCCACGTAATGAGAGCCTAGAAGGAGATGGGGCTTGAGCTCAGAAAGGTGTGAGTTCAGC
Organism: Homo sapiens; assembly: GCF_000001405.40. NCBI lineage: Eukaryota > Metazoa > Chordata > Mammalia > Primates > Hominidae > Homo > Homo sapiens. Next base: position 49,361,328 of record NC_000016.10, read on the forward strand.
TGCGCCTCATAGTAACTGACAGCCTGGGTGAACATGTGTCTTGGAGCCTTGGGCTCCAAACCTATAAAATGGGGTAAGAATCTCTACTTCTCCAGATTAAAGATAGGGAGATACAACTTTGTCCTTGTAACAGTAAAGTGGGTGGGATTATTACCTAATCCAGGGGTCACAAACACAAATGTCTTCAAGGGACAAGCAGATTCCATAAATGGGTGAAGCTGGCCAGGTGGCATTATAGCAACAGGTAGCATCCCCACTGTTCAAGGGGGCCAGTGCTATCTAGGCCCAGTCATATCAGACTGTTTATTTACTTAAACAAATCAGAAATCTGAATGTGTGTGTGTGTGTGTGTGTGTGTGTGTGTGTGTAATTCCCTGATTTCTAAAACACTTTGCAGGTTGAATAAAATACATGTGTGAGCTAAATATCACTTTAATATGGTTTGGCTGTGTCCCCACCCAAATCTCAGCTTGAATTGTAATAATCCCCATGTGTCAAGGGTGGGGCCAGGTGGAGATAATTGAATTATGGGGGTGGTTTCCCCCGTACTATTCTCGTGGTAGTGACTAAGTCTCACAAGTTCTGATGTTTTTGCACGTGGGAGTTGCCCCCACCAGCTCTCTTGCCTGCCACCATCCATGTAAGACGTGACTTTGCTCCTCATTCATGTTCTGCCATGACTGTGAGACCTCCCCAGCTATGCGGAACTGTGAGTCAATTAAACCTCTTTCCTTTCTAAATTACCCAGTCTTGGGCATGTCTTCATAAGCAGCGTGAGAACAAACTAATACAACTTGCACCAGTTTGCAACCCCTAATCGAATCCTTTTCACTTCATAGCAGAAGGGCAAGACTAAAGAGGGAACATAGCAAGCCCAAGGTCATCCAGTGAATGGACACAGAGCCCAATAGGCCTCATAGAATATCCCTGGCTCCTGGATCAGCCTGATTTCCACAGTTCCACATTGCTATTTGCCTGGTCTTTAACATCACCCTCGCAGGCATCCAGCCCCAAGGCATGTGCCCCCTGGGAAGCCAGTAGTCTCCTCAAGGGCCCTGCAGAGCCAAGGAAGGACATTTCTAGGGCAAAAGAGACTGCAGGGCTCTGAATATGTAAATCACAGCACACTCCACAGCACATCCATCCTGCGGCCTAATTGAGACATTTGCTTGGAATGTCCTAGAAAATAGGGCAGATGTGGCATTCCAAGAGTCAGAGCCACTCGCCTGAGATGCCCTGCTGAGACAGGGGGACCAATGGCTTTTCTCTGGAACTTAGACCAGCCACAGGGAAGCCAGTTCTCACTAATAAGATTATATATTCTTTAGATGGTTTTTGTTTATTGCAATGATACTGGATATTAAAACAGCAGAAAGTAGGACAAAATAAAAACAAGACATCTGCCCCATCTCTTCAGGAATTGTGCAGCACCAAGGTGAAAAATCCTGTGGATTTCACTGCCATGAACACCCCAGGGCTGGAGATGTGTTCAGACCTTTCTCCACTTTCAAGGCCCTCTCATCCTTGAGGGATGACTGCTGCCTGAGCCCTGTTTCTCAGACTCTTCTCTTGTGGAACCCCACTGGACTGGGGGCCAGGAGAACTGGGTTCAAGTCCTGAGTGTTCTTATTCCCAGCTGAGTAGACTTGAATAAGTAGCCTCCCCATCTCTGTGCTTCAATTTCATCTGCAGTCACTTGGCCTGATGTGCCTCCTAGCTGTGGTGAGGGTTGAACGAGGCATAGATTGCAGATCGGCCTGAGCAGGATCACATGAGTTTTGTCCAAATAATAATAAAAAAAAATTAGCATGTCTTTTTTTTTTTTGCAACAAGTTCTCACCATTGCCCAGGCTGATGTGCAGTGTCACAATCATAGCTCACTATAACCTTGAACTCCTGGGTTCAGCCTCCTGCTTCAGCCTCCTGAGTAGCTGGGACTATCGGTGCACACCATCACACCCAGCTAATTTTTAATTTCTTGTATTTTTTTTTTGTAGCTATAAGGGTTTCATTATGTTGCCCAGGCTGGCCTCAAAACTCCTGGCCTCAAGCAATTCTCCCACCTCAGCCTCCCAAAGTGCTGCTACAATAGGCATGTGTCATCGCTCTCAGCCAACATTTCTTTTCAAATTTGTTCCTGTTACAGTTTGGACATTTGTCCCCGCCAAATCTCAGGTTGAAATGTGATTTCCAATGTTTCACCTGGTGAAAGGTGTTTGGGTCATGGGGGTGGATCCCTCACGAATGGTTTGGTGCCACCCCTGAGTTAATGAGTGTGTTCTCGCTCTATTAATTCACATGAGAGCTGGGTGTTTAAAAGAGCCTGACCCCTCCTCCTCTCTGACTCTCCTTCTCTCATCACGGGACACACTGGTTTCCCCTTCTCCTTCTACCATGAATACAAGCTTCCTGAGGACTTACCAGAAGCCAAGCAGATGCCAGTGCCATGCTTCTTGTACAGCCTGCAGAACTGTGAGCCAAATAAACCTCTTCATAAGTTACTCCACCTCAGGTATCCTTCATAACAACACAAAATGAACTAAGACAGTTTCCGACTAGTGTCACATATAAATCAAAATTTCTAGCTTCTCAAAAAAAAAATCAGAAGATCTAGCCACACTGGGCTCACCTTCCCACATGGCCACAACAACCTGACACCAAGTGACAGCCACCCTTTTAGGAAGGGCATGTAATTGACAGTTCACTCCACTCCACACACTCCCTACTGCCTTATACTCAGCCAGCTTCACTCCTGTATGTCACATGCCTGACACTTGAATTTGAGACCCATGGCCTAGCACAATAGATATGAAAAGTCTTCATATTGCCAACCTCCAGCATCTTGCACCCCTTTCCCATGATTCTTTTCTTAGTGTGGGCTGCCCATGTGCACTGTGCCCTCTTTACCCTTGGGAGGTGAGCACACGTAGTGTGTCTAGGAAGTTGTATGCATGCCCATCTGAGGCTTTTTTCCCTTTTCCTGTGGTGTGCCCCTGGAAGGTTATACTCCACCATTTTATCTCTTAATGCATGTGCCCAGGAAGTTGCTTCTCCCTGGTACCTGCATTCAGTTAACACTTTACTGCAACAGAGGTGGGCCATCAAGAAATGGCCTCTCCCTAGTGCTAGCTGCCAATTTATCACTTTTAGAGATGCAATGTGATGATTGCCAAACCATCACCCAACATCCCTAGTGCGTTGGGGAGAGTCTGCTCCTTCCCCACTCATGCCTGTCTAACTATGTCTAACAGTACCAGATGACCATCTGGGGCATGGTGGGCCTGGCCTTTGGTATCTTTTAAAATAACAAAGAAAGCCCAAGTACAGTGGCTCATGTACTCCCAGCACTTTGGGAGGCTGAGGTGGGTGGATCAGTGAATCACTTGAGGCCAGGAGTAAACAAATTAGCCGAGCATGGTAGCGCATGCTTGTAGACCCAGCTACTCAGGAGGCTGAGGTGGGAAGATCTCCTGAGCCCAGAAGTTCAAGGATGCAGTGAGTTATCATTGCACCACTGAATTCCAACCTGGGTGACCAGAGCAAGATTCTGTCTCTAAAAGATGAAAGAGAGCTAATACTTTGTATTTGCAAGAGTAGAATTCTGGTAACCCAATCCGCACCCCAGCCCCTGACAAGGCCTCCAGCTGCCTTCTGTGGAGACAGGGGCAAGGCTTCCAAAACATGTAGCTGCTGGTCTCTATTGCAGATTTGGGAAAGAGCAACCTCGGGTGAAGAAGCCTGAGAGTCACCCCCACGTCTTGTTCATTCACTCATTCATTCACTCGCTGGCTGTATTTGTGCCTGTTTATCATTGTCTCCCCTACCTACAGGCCTGCTAAATGGGAACAGACCATGTGACTGTGCCCTGCTGGCCTGAGCCCACCCCCACCACCCTTGATAAGATTGGGATAACAGCTGCCCCAAGGAAAATCAGGTCTGAGCCAAAGAGAGTGGACTGAGTCCTTGAGATTTCTTTCTTTTCAGGGAGTATTGGGGGAGGATTTGAACCAAGAAAAAATGCAATTTTTGGTGTCATCAAGTCCAAAGCTCATACCACTCACAGCACAATAGCCAATAAGTCAAGAGACAAGGTCTTGGGGCAAGGAAAGTGACTTTATTTTAGAGAGCCAGCAAACCAAGATGACGGACTTAAGATTAAAGACATCTTAAGCTCATATGAATTTGGGGTTCCTTTAATGTTATGGGAAGAGGTGAAGGAGAGGGTGGTGGTCAAAAGGTTACTGATGACCACAGATATCTGTGCACCAGCAAGGGTAACTTTCACTGTCCTCGGTTAGGTCACGATGCTCCTGTAAATCTTTAACACAACAGTATTAACCATGTGTACACCCTCCTTATCTACTCAGGGGTTAGTTTTGGGAAGGGGCTATTGTCATCCTTGCTTTAAAGGTAAACTATGAGCTAAAATTCCTCCCTTACTTGGCTTGGCCTACATACAGAAGTAAGCAAAAGCAGGTAACCTAAAAGATAATCATCACCTAAGGAGGGAGATTAGAAGCAAAATAGAGTTAGTCATGCTAGACCTCCTTTTCACTGTTACAGTGGCAGGCGCCTACGCTGAAATGTCTTGTAAAGAAAGGATGTAGGTAAAATGATCTAGAAGACACTGATTGTGATACAGACAAAAGCAGAGAGCCAGAATACAAGGAGAGAAGGCACAACAGCTAGACAGACAGATGGACAGGAATGAGAGGGATGTGGAGCCCTCAGCCTTGGCTCCCATCTGTTTTGTTTCTGGTTCTAGTACCCTGAGGCCCAGCTGTGTACCCTGGAGCCTTGAGTTGTAAGATTATCAGTAAAATTTTCCAGTAGACATTTTGGGTGTGGGCTTTCCAGCCCAGTTCACACGGTATCATTACTTCTATGTCCTTGTGGAAACTTCCTTCCTTCTCAACAGAGAAACACTGTGTTGAGTTGTTAAGCAATAGCCTGCCCTCTCCTAGTGCTATTTTTACTTGGGCTAGTCTGAGTAGGTTTCTGTTCTCGGCATCTAAAAATGCTTTGACTAGTACAGATATTGATACAGTGATTCATTCTAACCTTAACTCAATGATTGATGCCCTCACTGGTTTTATCTACTCAATGTTTCATTTGAATAATTCAGTCATTCATTTACACATTGATTTGCTATTTGTTTATTATAGCAAAAAATAGTTGTCAAGCACCTTCTATGTGGCAGACCCTGTGCTTGACACCCCAGGTGATGTGGAAATGAACCAGGTGTGGTCTTTACTCTCAAAGCCTCATGAATAATAGCATGAATGGAATGCAATTAAGTATAAGGTAGACATTAATAAATATCAATGTTGTTAAGTCAAGTTTAGCCTAAAGCTCCCTCCTTACATATTTTAAGTTTTGGCCTAAACGTTTTTCTGTACATCATGAACTGTAACAAATGGAAGTGTAAACAGACCGTAGCCTACACTTGTGCCAATTACTGAGTTTTGGCAATCAAATGTAGCCAACTGTTCAAACCATATTCAAATAAGGCAAATGCCAACCTATAACCAACCCAGCTGTTTCTGTATTTCACTTCTGTTTTCTGTATGTTGCTTTCCTTTATCTGTTCATAAATCTTCTTCTGCCATGTGGCTGTGCTGGAGTCTTAGAGCCTACTCTGGCTTGGGAGGCCGCCTGATTCACAAATCCTTCATTGCTCAATTAAACTCTTTTAAATTTAATTCAGCTGAAGTTTTTATTCTATCAATGTGCATTGTACATTCAGTAGAAGGATTTCAGGATAAAAATTAGAAAATGTTTCTTGGAGAGACTAGGCCATAAAAGAGCTTCTACTTCAGTTTGAATTTGGAAATTAGAAAGAAGGAAAAATAAGAAAAGCCAGGGATATTTCTCAAGTTTAATAATAGCAGCCATTTGTGAAATGGGAGGGTATCTGAGAGATTAAAGAACCCAGATCATTGGAAGAAAGTTTCTACTCTTGGAGACATAACTAACATCATGGTTTGACTTTGATGCCTTCTAAATACACCCTTATCCCACAAGGCCAGGAGCCCAGCAAAAGTGCCTTCTAGTCCCTGGGCCAAGCCACTCCAGACCCACTCTGCCTCTCCTTCCCCTTGGGAAACTAACCTGGGCTTCTGTTTCCCTTCCACCACCAGTGTCTCTGAGGTGTTCTAGTCAGAAAAAATGTAATAAAGCTTTTCAGCCCAAGTTTAATATCCTTTGAGGAAAGTGCATTTCTCTTTCAAAGTTGATTTGTTTGCATGAATGTTCAGGGAAAAAATAGACCTTGGAAGATAAACTTTCAGCCATGGAAAACTTTCAAAACAGAACTTGCCCCCCACAAGAACTGCAGAAATAGAGTCTAGACAGTTTTGATTATGCTGTTAGTTTTCAGTGGGGTTGTACCATTCCCGAAAAGACATTTAGGAAATTTGGGGGATTACCTTTGTAAGCCAAAAATAAAATCCTAAGTCCCCCTAATTGACTGTACAGACCTCTCTGGGACAAGAGAAACCTGAAAAATTGAATTCCTGGCCTTGGTAAGAAGGAAGATTGAATACGCCTCAGTATAGTCCCTCCTTTATGGAGTTTAGGCACAACTGACCAGAATTAACATTAAAATAGAGATCCCAAGTTTCACAAAACAGATTCTTTGGCAATAAGATACCAAATTCCAGCCTGACGCTGGTATAGCATCACATGACAGATAGAAGACCCTGAAGGAAATGAAACTATTTTATCCCAAGAGATTTTTCTTTGACATATTTTGAAATGGCCCTGCAAAGCCATCTTTTGTAGGGGAACGCTTGCATCTGTAAAGAACCTCCGTTAATGCAGCCAGGCCTATCCCTGATCTAGAAGAAATTAGCTAAGAGTCAGATACCTTTTAAGGTCTACAAGAGACATTTACCATCTATTCTCTCTGAAGCCTGCTACCTGGAGACTTCATCTACATAACAAGAAACTTGGCTTCCACAACCCCCTATATCTTAACTCAAGCATTTCTTTCTACTGACTTCAAGTCTTTAGCTTAACTCTTTCAACCTATTGCTAATTAGAAAATCCACCTGTGACCTGTAAGCACCACCCCACTCCACTTCAAGATGTCCCACCTGCCTGGTGAAACCCCGTCTCTACTAAAAATAAAAAAAATTAGCCGGGCGTGGTGGTGGGTGCCTGTAGTCCCAGCTACTCAGGAGGCTGAGGCAGGAGAATGGCGTGAACCCAGGAGGTGGAGCTTGCAGTGAGCCAAGATCGTGCCACTGCACACCAGCCTGGGCGACAGAGCAAGACTCCACCTCAAAAAAAAAAAGATATCCCACCTGCCAGGTGCGGTGGCTCACACCTGTAATCTCAGCACTATAGCTGTAATCTCAGCACTATGGGAGGCCGAGGTGGGCAGATCACGAGGTCAGAAGTTCAAGACCAGCCTGGCCAGCATGGTGAAACCCTGTCTCTACTAAAAATAAGGAAAATTAGCCAGGCATGGTGGCACACACCTGTAGTCCCAGCTATTCAGGAGGCTGAGGCAGGATAATTGCTTGAACCCAGGAGGCAGAGGTTGCAGTGAGCCAAGATCACACCACTTTACTCCAGCCTGGGTGACCGAGTGAGGCTCTGTCTCAAACAAAACAAACAAACAAACAAATATATGTATATATATGTCCCACCTTTCTGGGCTGAACCATTATATATCTTACATATATTGATTTATGCCTTTGCCTATAACTTCTATCTTCCTAAAATGTATAAAACCAAACTGTAACCCAACCACCGCAGGCACATGTTCTGAGGATCTTTCGAGACTGTTTCCTGGGCCATGGTCACTCATATTGGCTCAGAATAAAACTCTTTAAATATACTACAGAGTTTTCTTTTTTTGGTCAACACAACTGACCAGGATTAACATTAAAATAGAGATCCTAAGACTCTATTTAGGGGAAAATCATAATCCAAATTTGCTACAATATTTTTAAATTGGCAAATAAAGTTGTATACATTAATAATAAACAACGTGATGATATATTGTGGAATGACTAAATTATTATCAATTATTTTATTTGTGACCAGACATTATAATATTGAAATATACCCAAAAAGAGACTGTATTGTTAAAATTTTCTTTTTTATATTAGTTTAGAGGATTATAGCAATTTTTTAAAATGTATGTATGCAGATAAGTTAAGTTTTATATGGATTTCATTTCCAAATAGCAAACAAGGTATTACAAAATGTATTAAAAGGGCATTAGCAAGGGACAGTGTCTATGGCCAAGCTCTCCCCGAAAAGCAACTATAAAGCTCCAAAAAATTGATCAAAACCATCATACAGCACTCCAGAAATCAACTGAAGGCATACAACAGTTGGAGCAACATTTATGCTTGAGAACTGCAGAAATCTGGGTAACAACAGTGAGAATCTGTGGCATTCTAGCCTAAGGCTGCTCCCATCTCCGGCTGCTAGCTAAGTCAGTAGGGAGGCTCCTCCAGGGTGGGGCACACTGGGAGGCGAGGCAGTTTCTCTGCTGCAGTTAAAGGGAGCTTATTTGACTTAGAGCACTGGCCAACATCCACTCTTGGCAGCCATGTTGGTTTAAGTAAAAGTTGCCAAGGCAGAAAAGCAGGAGGGCCAAAAGGTCCTTTAGACTGAGGTTGCAGTCATGACTGGGGTAAATGTTTCTGGCTAAAGCTGCATAGTTGCATAGCAGAAACCAGAAAGGGCCCAGTCTAGCCAGACTCTGCTGGCCAACTCTGAGGCTGCACAGATATGCAGAGGAGATGAGAAAGAGCCCAGTAGAAAGCAAAAAATAGAGAAAGCATGAAAATGAACTGAAGTTTGAATGTGTTCCTATGGTAGGCTGCTTCTAAAATGGCTCCTATAAATGCTGTCCTCGGTATTAGCACCCTGTGTAATCCCCTCATGTTGGGTGAAGCTGACATAGTGACTTGCTTCCAAAAAATCACATGCTAATATGGCAAAAATGGTGGATGTCATTTCCAAGGTTAGACTGACTTCTGCCTTGCTCTCACTCTCTCTCTGGTTCTTCCCCCTTCCTGTGCTGATGAAGCAAGCTGCATGTCATGAGCTATCCTATGAAGAGGCACATGTTACAAGGAACAAAGGGTGTAACATGTGACAAAGAAGGGATGTTCTCTGTTCAATGGCCTGCAAGGAACCCAATCCTGCCATCAATCACATGAGGGGTGTGGAGGCAGATCCTTCCCCTGTCAAACCTTCAGATGACTGCAACCTGGCCACCACCTTGATTGTTGCCTGGGCCAGAGAACCCAGCTAATGCACACCCAGATTCCCGACCCACAAAAACTGTAAAATCTTTCTCTTGTTTTAAGCCACCAAACTTAAACATTAAACAGCAATAAGATAACTGATACAGCTCCCATACTCACATGTAGATTCATCAGCAGATGTCAGATGACTTTACTTGTTTAAGGTGGTTCAGCACAATCTCTGTCCAATTAGATATGCAGACACAGAGATAATGCTTAGGAAGCTAGCCTTAAATATTTTTAAAAAGCAAGAATGTAAGAAATTTCATCAGAAATTTCAGCAGCTTCACACAACAGAGAAGACAAGATTCCCAGATAGCAATTTCATGATTCACAATAAACCATGGAGTGGGGGAAATCAGAATCCAAAGTTGCTGTAATTTTTTTAATTGGCAAATAAAACTGTATATATTAGTGGTGTACAACATAATGATACATTATGGAACAGCTACATCAAGATAATTAACATATTCATGACATATCAATTAACATATCCATTGCAATATTTTCAATGCCCAGTTTTCAACAGAAAATTACAAGATATGCAAAGAAACAGGAAAGTGTGACATATACTGAGGAAAATAGCAGATAGTAGAACTTGTCTCTGAGTTTTCCTAGATTCTGTATTTAGCAAAGATTTCAAATAGCTACTCTAAATATGCTCAAAGAACTGTTTAAATTTGTAAATAAAATTATGATAATAAACAATCAACAGAGAAAGATTCTAAATAAGGAGATAGAAATTATAAAGAAAGAAATGGAAATTCTGGTGTTGAAAAGCATAAATTACAATTTTACTGTGAAGATCTATTACAACAGATTATATATGGCAGAGGAAGAGATCAATGAACTCGAAGATAGAGTGATAGAAAGTATCTATCTGAGGAAGACAGAGAAAAAAAATGTTTGAAGTAAAAGGAACAGAACCATAGGGGCCAGTGGGACAACATCAAGCCAACAGATGTATAATGAGAAAACCAGAAGTAGAAAATAAAAAGGAAGGAGCAGAAAACATATGGAAAAACCAGTGGCCAAAAACTTTCAGAATTTGACTTAAAAAAAAATTAAATACACATCCAAAATGTTCAATAAACCTCAAGTAGGATAAATATGTAGAGATCCACACCTAGACAAATCATAGGCAAGCAGTCAGAAGACAGAAAGAAATAGAAAAACAAGCAAGAGAAAAATGACTTATTACTACAAGAGGCAAAAATGCAGTTAACAGCTGGCTTCCCATATAAAACAATAGAGGGCAAAAAGCAATCAAATGAAAAAACTGTTAACCAAGAGTTCCATTATCCAGAAAATCTTTCTTCAAGAATGAAGGTAAAATAAAGACATTACCATATAAACAAAGACAAAATAATTCATTATTTCTAAAATCTTACAAATATATTGCAAAATTAATAAATCCAGATGTAAAATATCACATGCATATTATTTGGTTTATATTTAACTCAATAACAGGAAGAAAAAGTTTGATATTGGATAATAAGGCCGGACACGGTGGCTCACGCCTGTAATCCCAGCACTTTGTGAGGCCGAGACAGGTGGATCACGAGGTCAGGAGTTCAAGACCAGCCTGGCCAACATGGTGAAACCCCGTCTCTACTAAAAATACAAAAATTACAGTGCGCCTGTAATCCCAGCTACTCAGGAGGCTGAGGCAGGAGAATCGCTTGAACCTGGGGGACGGAGGTTGCAGTAAGCCGACTCTAGCCTGGGTGACAGAGCGAGACTCTGTCTCAAAAAAAAAAAAAAAGAAATTGGATGATAAGATGATGTTTACCCTTGGAGGGTGGTAATAACTACCAGGGGCTGTATGGAAGATTCTGGGGTACTGGTTACATAGATGTCTTCATTTGTGATTCTGGCACATTTTTGTATATATAATTTCCTTCAATAGAAGTTTACTAGAGCAAAAAAGGGAAGCCTGACCATGCCACTCCCTCCCCTTTTTTTGAATTCCTTTATTGTTTTCCTTTGCTCCCTTTCCCTTCCCAGTCTGAGCAGAACCTGTGGCTACCAAGTTCCTGGATGGCCTGGCCTCTGGCCACCTCTGTACCATTGCCTCTTTGCCTCTGGTACTCTAGTCACCCTTGCCTTCTGTTGTTAGTGCCATGCCTCCCGCTTGTCACAGGGCCTTTGCACAGGCATATTTCTCTGGTCCAAAGCCCTTATCTTAATCCATTTGGGCCTATGACAAAATACCACAAAGTGGGTAGCTTATAAACAACAAACATTCATTTATCACATTTTTGAAGCCTAGGAAATCCAAAATTAAGGCTCTGACAGATTCCGTTGTCTGCTGAACCCATTTCCTGGTGACACCTTCTCACTACATCTTCACATGGTGGAGCTCTCTCTAGTCTCTTCTGCAAGGGCACCAATTCCAATCATGAGAGAACTGCTCTCATGACCTAATTACCTCCCAAGACCCCACCTTTTAATGCCATCACCTTGGGGGTTAGGATTTCAGCACATGAATTTTGGAGGGACAGAAATGTCCAGACCATAACAGCCCTGTTGAAGTCTATTTATCCTTTAGCTCAGAGCTCAAAGGTGGCCTACCCACCACCCCATCCAAGTCTAGTACCATTGATATGGCCTTTCATAGAACTACATTCCTTTCTTTGAAAGCACTCATCTTCACTTGTCATTATGAATTCATACGGTAATTATCTGCCCTGTCTTTTCCACTAGCCCATATGTCTTAGGAGGTTTGCCTATGTTTTTTTCCTGCATTGTATCCCCAGCACCATTCCCAATACTTAGTAGGTGCCTGATAACCACATGTTGGATGAATAAATGAATATAGACGAATTGGGCTTATAAAAAGCTTTCTTCTAATTAGAGTACACTACAGAAAGATAGGATGCCAAACTAAAGAATTCAGATTTCTTTTAGATAGGCAACAAGGAGCCATTGAAGGTTTTTGAGAAAGGAAGATGCGTGGACAGACCTTTATTTTATTAAGATCTCTGTGGAGGTAGAGGTGGAGAGGCTGCAAGGAGGCTGTGGCAGAGTCCAGAGGAGACATAGCGCCTGAAGAGGGGTAGTGGCCACATGGAGAACAGTGGGAGGTGGCCAATGTCCCACCTCCACTCTGACCTCAGGGCCAGCTACCAAGACGGGCAATGACTTCACAATCACTGCCCAGGCCTTCCACCTTTTAAGGCCAATATCCCAGGGTCTTGGCTCACTCTGCCCTTTATGTTCACATCTGGAGGCCACACCCTACCTTCTAAGTCACCAGGCCATCAAGTCCAGACAAAGGGATCGAAAGAGTGAGACAGTGCCAGCCACCTCCCACCCAAGCCACTAGCAAGACTCCACAATGTCAGAGCAACAAATGGACCTGAAGGATTTAATGCCCACAAAGAGGAAATACATGTGGAAGACTGCTGAAGATAGGCGCATGTCTGACCTCACCTGTGTGCTGGAGTGGCTGGAGCGGAGGCAGGGGAAGAAGAAACAAGCTCCCGAGGTGGGTACCATCCAAGAGAAATGGCAGGAAGACTTTACTCAAGGTAGTTGCAGTAGGGGAGAGAGATTGAACTTAACTCTCCTGAAACAAAAGGCGGGATGGTTTTGAAGTGCTGGGATAAGCTAGTGAGAACTACCCAAGGACATTAAGGGGGTGGGGGAATTAGTTAATATGATTAGGCTGTCTGTGTTGCTAATTCGCACTTATAAATGTTAGGCTCCCATCCTCTCACAGAGACTGAGAGACAAGGTACAATCTTTCTTGATGATTACATTTCAAAGGGTCCTCCCAGGTCCTTGAGAAAAACATTCCTGGATTGTAAAACTAGCAAGAGACTGAGAGATTTACATCTCAAAGGGGCAGAGAAAAAATTTACAAATCCAAGTTTTCTAGAGGAAATGCTCTAAGGAAAAGGAGGCCAAGGGCCTATCATCAGGAAGAAACCTGTCTAAAGTTTAGTCAAGCTGGGCAAATGTTAGTATTGGTCAGAATTCTAGAAGGGCCAAGGGGCAGTGGCTTCTGGGTCTCCATATTGCAGGATGGGATCCTCCTACTGCCCTCAGCTCTTCTCTCCTTGTGATGCCTTCAGAATCAAAGAACATTCATTCCTCACTGCCATTACTGCAACTGCAACTCCAGCTAACATACCTCCTCTTTTCTACCCTACATCGAGCTAGTTCTAACCCACCCTTTCCTCTTTCTCCAAGAAATGTAGCAACCAAGTTTGCCTTAGTTTTTCCCAGAGCTCCCCCAAGACCTATCATCTATGAAGAACCAAGCCATGTCTTTGGAAAGTGGTGTCCTCTGCAGAAGATGCCACCTGGTCTTGAATCTCCTGACCCTAGAGCAAAATGAGTAAAAAATGCCATTACTAATAACAATGCTCAACACATCACTAACTTTTAATGTTTACTGTGGTCAAGGCCCTGTGCTTAGATTTGTACCTGGGTTATGTGGTCAATTGCTCCCAGTCAGGCTACCAGGGAGGCACCATTTTTACCCCTAGTTGAAGGATAAGGAAAGTGAAAATAAGTCATTTTATTGAAGTCACAGAAGTAATAAAGGGCAGAGCCAGGGCTCAAACTGAGGTTTTCCAATTCCCAAATGCATAGACTCCTCTGCTTTATCCAGGTCAGCACCTGCCTTTGGGGAAAGCTTCCATTATGTTTGTGTGCTTACTTACTGTATTAGTCCATTCTCATACTGCTACAAAGAAATACCTGAGACTGGGTCATTTATTTAAAAAAAAAATAAAAAAAAATGTTTAATTGGCTCATGGCTGTACAAGAAGCATAGGAGATTCCACTTCTGGGGAGGTCTCAGGAAGCTTACAATCATGGCAGAAGGCAAAAGAGGAGCAGGCACTTCACATGGCAAGAGCAAGAAGTGGGAGGACGAGGTGCCACACACACTTTTAAATGACTGGATCTCACGAGAACTCTCGCCTTCATGACAGTACCAAGGGGAATCGTGTTAAACCATGAGAAAGTGCCCCTATGATCTAATCACCTCCCACCAGGCCCCACCTCCAACACTGGAGATTACAACTTGACATGAGATTTGGGGAGAGACGCAGATCCAAACCATACCACTTACCATTTATAGTCAGAAAGATCTCGAGTGCCAATTCCATCAGACACATCTGACAAACATATTTTACTCTAAGGTGCTAATGATTTACAGATAGCCTACCCACTGCCTTGATTTGGGGGCGAAGGGGAAGCTTGACTTCTGGGTCTCTCCAAACTCAATTTAATATCATCACAGGAATTACATTCACTTCCCTGGTTAATATGTTCAGGTCTATCTCCTTTTACCAGGATAAGATTCTAATAATCACATTTTAACAACTTTACCTTAAATGTGGCTTTTATTGTAAATAACTTTGGACCTAGAGAGGGAGCAAGTTTACATGGGAAATATAATTAAGTCTTCAAGCATCATTACCTTTCCCAGAAGCATCTGGGCTTTTAAAGAAGCTTCTAAGAGGAAGATGATGTGTGCTGGCAGGTCTCCGACAGCAGCAGGTGATGGGGGACCCTCTGGTGAGATGGTTGGGGTCTATCTTCACCACTCAGGGCCCTCTGTGACCTCCTCTGTTCTCTCCTGGGGTCTGACCTGGCCATCCAGGCTCTTCCCCCAACAGACTGCTCATGGTATTTCCCCCTTGTGATCCATTTGGCATCAGCGAAGACCCCTGAGGTCTGAAGTCTCAGCCATGGAGGATGCTGAATCCTTGAATGTTGCAGTTTCCTTGAGTCTAAAGCATCGCCATGTCAATTCCGCTCAGCTTCCCCAAAATGGGGGCTGTGTGGGGAGCTACTCAGGTGACTCTTTGAGGGAGGCTGAGGATTGAGTGGGGGATGGTGGAAGGGGCTGCCCTGGAGGAGATGGGTCATCCTAGCTCCTCACAGCCTGAAAATGCAGCCTTGGCTCTGAGTTGCACTGTTTCTCCACTAAACCAAACAAAACCCTAAAGCTAACCAGCGTTACCTTCCTTAGAAGGCAACTTGCAACATGGAGCAGGCCCTTGGACAGCTTCCTTCCATACTCCCAAATGGCTTATCGAAACTTCCCTTCCACCCACCCCGCATAATAACCTGCCTCCCATAATTCATGGAGGGCATTGCACATGCATGTCGTAATTCAGTTATTGCTCTCAGTAACCTTATGAAGTAGGTCCTACTATTATCCCCACCTTTCAGACAAGGAAACTAAGCCACAGAGAGAGCAGAAACTTGCCGAGGTCACTCAGCCCTCAGCCGTGGATAGAGCAGGAATCCAGGCAGTCTGACCTGGACACTGCAGTCCAGGCCACCGTCTCCCTGTAACCATAAGCAGCATATTCCCAGAGGAGATCCAGTCTATTTAGTTTCTGCCATGATGCTCTGGCACCCACCCCTAACCCTTATAGACTAGGCAGAATGCTTCCTGGGTGGCCCACCCTTTAAGTGCTTCTGCTGGGCTCCTGGACTGTGGGACCCTGGAGATCCCTAATGACCCTGCCCTCCCTGCCTCCCCTGCGAGAGCAGGAGGGCCAGGAATGTGCCATGCACAGGGAACTCCATTCAGGGCAGGGTGTGCTCAGCTCTTGGGCAGGTGGTAAGGAATACCTGGGGAAATAGAAAGGCAAGGTCAGTGGTGACCACCACTCCAGGAAGACAGGATGGGGTGGGCCTGGGGTGCTCCGGGACCAAGGGAGAGGCCGGGGTGAGCAAAGGCCCAGAGGTCTGGATCAGCAGCACCTGTTCAAAGTCAGGGCAGCCTTCCTGTGACTCCACACTGGAGGCAGGGGCAGGGAAGTCTGAGCTGGTAAGGCCACAAGGGGGCTGGAGGGGCTTCCTACCAGGCTAGGGAGTGAGGCCCTTATGTGGGGGGTGATGGGGAGCCCCTGATGGATTCTGAGGTGGAGAGGAACAGGACCAGGCCTGAGGCTCAGAAAGTCGCTCTGGGGGCGGCGACATGTATACCAGGGCGCATCTGGAAGCAGAGGAACAGTGACGACAGGCCCTAGAGTGTGTGTGCTGAAGCCTGTGGAGGGGAGGGACAGCCCCTCACCTGGGAGCCTTCTCCTTGGGGAAAGGGAGGGGATGCTGTCCCCACAGCAGTGGCTGCAGGGCTCTCTTCCCTTGTCTTTTCAGAAGCAAAAGCCCAAAGTGGTGACAGTCCTTAAACGAAATAAGAAGAAGGAAGAGAAGAAAGGCAAAGGCCTCATGACAGCACGGGGAGGGAACCGCAGGGACACGGAGACTTCCCAGCAGGTAATGCAGCCCCTCTTCCCCCACTCACCCCCACTGGGTCTCCAAATGGAGGAGGGGTCCCTGCTTCTCTCCTGCATAATGCCTGCCTACTTTCTAAATTTCAAGGCTCCGAAATTCACTCTGGCCCCACATTAACACTCAAATAAAATCTCCACCCCTCCCTACCCTGTCCAGCCGTGCTACCCAATTGCTGCCTCCCTGTAGTTTCATTCTTCACACGTGTCACATCCTCCCTTGCCCACATTTATCCCTGAAACCATTCAAGAAGGCCACTTGGAAGATGAGAACACCGTGGTTCAGTGAGGGACAAGAGCCTCCTGGCCACACAGCTAACAGGGCAGAACCACCCAGACCTAATGGCCTCCGAGGGCCTGTGTTTCCAAGGCCCCCAGGGACCCCTCCGATATATGGTGGGGAGAAGAGGGAGGCGTTGGTGAGCAAGCACCCGTGGGCAGACCCTGCCCCTCCGACCTCTCCCAGGGCCCGGGGAAGCTCTCTCCTTGGTTGCCTTTGCCTGCCTTTTGGCAAACCCTTGAAATTGCTGTTTGCTTGGGATGGAGCGGGGAGGGCGAGCCAGGTCCTGTAACTGGGGTGTGACTTCTCACCTGCTCCCTCCAAGGCCTTAGGAAAGAGATTCAGGAAGGACGCCGCCTCCTACCGAAGCCTCTATGGAGTGGAGCAAAAGGGGAAACACCTCAGCATGGTCCCTGGCAGCTACATCAAGGATGGCCCCAAGAAATCTGGTAAGGGAAAAACCTTGGCCCCGGCCACCAGAATCCTGCTCCATAATCTCCTCCTCTAGAAGAAACCGAAAGCTCACGCCATTCTTAGAGCAGTAGCGTCCACGTCAATCCAACCATTGTGCACACAGGAGTCAGAAGCCCACATGGAGGCTCAGTAGGGACCACTCCTGGGGTCGCTCTTGGCAAGCAGGGTGTGACATGAACAGGAGGCAAGTGTCTGTCAAGGCCCTGCCCCATCTCGAGTGTTCCCTTCTCAGGAAACCAGCCTCATGTGTCCAGGTTCCTGAAGCTATTTTGGTGACATCAACT
The DNA here is from genome assembly GCF_000001405.40 of Homo sapiens. Lineage (NCBI taxonomy): Eukaryota > Metazoa > Chordata > Mammalia > Primates > Hominidae > Homo > Homo sapiens. Next base: position 49,378,903 of record NC_000016.10, read on the forward strand.
TCATGAGTTACAAATCATCTAATTAATTTAGATACTGTGACAATATCAACTACAGAAGGTACCACTCCTGCTGGCCTGAAACCTGCCAGGGGTTGCTCACCTCTAGGAAGGGATGAGCTTAGGCTGTGCCAGATCCCCAATTTCAAAGACTGCCTGGGTCCTGACCCTGGCTCTACCACTTTATAAGGAGCTCAGAGTTGTATAATCCTGGACAACTTATTCCATCTCTGGAGTCTGGTTTTTCATCTATAAAATGGGACAACAACAATACCTGCCTCATAGTATGGTTGTGAGGTTTAAGCAAGATGATGCATGAAAAGTAATTAGCCTGACCAAGAGGAGGTGCTGAATAAATATTAGTGGTTTTTTTCTAAGTAAAAATTTTGCTAAAATTTCAGGTGGTCTTTACTGTGGTGTTGGAAAAACAGATACATTTGTTATGTCTGGCCCCTTGGGACAAAGGTGTAGGGTAAAAGAGAAATCTGGAAGGGATTCCAATTAGCCCAGGAGAAAAGTGCACAGGAGTCTTCAAGCAGAGGCGGTCAATTCTCATATATAAAATTGCCCCCATTGTACCCAACAACAGCAACAAAATCTTTTTTTCCCCTTTTCATTTAATATACCAAAGCCATTGTGACCAAATTGCAGTCACTTCCCTTTAAGATTTAAATGCAGTCGGCTTTCAGTGCAGTTTAGGATCCTAGATTAAATCCTAGAATAGCACTTTAGGGGCATTACTGGCGAAATCTGAAAAAGTTCTATAATATACAAAAAAATGTTAATTTCTTAGTCGTGACAAACATGCCATGGACGTAAGATGTTAACATTAAGGGAAAATGGATGAAGGATATACAGGAATCCTCCTTATTTTCTTTGCAACATTTCTGTAAATCCATATGTGATGGTTAATATTGAGTGTCAACTTGATTGGATTGAAGAATGCAAAGTATTGTTCCTAGGTGTGTCTGTGAGGGTGTTGCCAAAGCAGATTAATATTTGAGTCAGTGGACTGGGAGAGGCAGACCCACCCTCAACCTGAGTGGGCACCATCTAATCAGCTGCCAGCACAGCTAGAATAAAGCAGGCAGAAGTTGGAAGGATCAGACTTGCTGAGTCCTCTGGCCTTCGTCTTTCTCCTGTGCTGGATGCTTCCTGCCCTTGAACATCAGACTCCAAATTCTTCAGCTTTTGGACACTTGACTCTATATCAGTGGTTTGCCAGGGGCTCTCGGGCTTTTGGCCACAGACTGAAGGCTGCACTGTCGGCTTCCCTACTTTTGAGGTTTTGGGACGCAGACTGGCTTCCTTGCTCCTCAGCTTGCAGATGGCCTACTGTGGGACCTCACCTTGTGATCATGTGAGTCAATACTCCTTAATAAACTCCCCTTCATATATACATCTATCCTGTTAGTTCTGACCCTCGATGGAACCTTGATTAATACACCACAATTATTCCAAAATATTTAAGGTTTATTTAAAAAATAATCTAGATTGCCTTATGCCTTATGGGAAGCCCCATACCTTCCCCGAATTTTCTGTGACTACCAGTGTAATGTCTGGCTCCAAAATCCTGGTCCTGTTGGGCCCTGGAGCTTCTGTAAATCTTGCTTCCAGTGGCTGCTATCTTGTCTCTTTGATTTCTCCTGAAACCTCTCACACGAAGTCATTGTGTGTAAATACATTCTACTGAAGGCTTGGGGTCAACAGAGGGAAAGAATTACATCTTTAGTTTAATTAGATCCCATTTGTCAATTTTGGCTTCTGTTGCCATTGCTTTTGGTGTTTTAGACATGAAGTCCTTGCCCATGCCTATGTCCTGAATGGTAATGCCTAAGTTTTCTTCTAGGGTTTTTATGGTTTTAGGTCTAACGTTTAAGTCTTTAATCCATCTTGAATTGATTTTTGTATAAGGTGTAAGGAAGGGATCCAGTTTCAGCTTTCTACATATGGCAAGCCAGTTTTCCCAGCACCATTTATTAAATAGGGAATCCTTTCCCCATTGCTTGTTTTTCTCAGATTTGTCAAAGATCAGATAGTTGTAGATATGCGGCATTATTTCTGAGGGCTCTGTTCTGTTCCATTGATCTATATCTCTGTTTTGGTACCAGTACCATGCTGTTTTGGTTACTGTAGCCTTGTAGTATAGTTTGAAGTCAGGTAGTGTGATGCCTCCAGCTTTGTTCTTTTGGCTTAGGATTGACTTGGCGATGCGAGCTGTTTTTTGGTTCCATATGAACTTTAAAGTAGTTTTTTCCAATTGTGTGAAGAAAGGCATTGGTAGCTTGATGGGGATGGCATTGAATCTGTAATTTACCTTGGGCAGTATGGCCATTTTCACAATATTGATTCTTCCTACCCATGAGCATGGAATGTTCTTCCATTTGTTTGTATCCTCTTTTATTTCGTTGAGCAGTGGTTTGTAGTTCTCCTTGAAGAGGTCCTTCACATCCTTTGTAAGTTGGATTCCTAGATATTTTATTCTCTTTGAAGCAATTGTGAATGGGAGTTCACTCATGATTTGGCTCTCTGTTTGTCTGTGCACAGCAAAAGAAACTACCATCAGAGTGAACAGGCAACCTACAAAATGGAAGAAAATTTTCGCAACCTACTCATCTGACAAAGGGCTAATATCCAGAATCTACAATGAACTCAAACAAATTTACAAGAAAAAACAAACAACCCCATCAAAAAGTGGGCAAAGGACATGAACAGACACTTCTCAAAAGAAGACATTTATGCAGCCAAAAAACACATGAAAAAATGCTCATCATCACTGGCCATCAGAGAAATGCAAATCAAAACCACAATGAGATACCATCTCACACCAGTTAGAATGGCAATCATTAAAAAGTCAGGAAACAACAGGTGCTGGAGAGGATGTGGAGAAATAGGAACACTTTTACACTGCTGGTGGGACTGTAAACTAGTCCAACCATTGTGGAAGTCAGTGTGGTGATTCCTCAGGGATCTAGAACTAGAAATACCATTTGACCCAGCCATCCCATTACTGGGTATATACCCAAAGGACTATAAATCATGCTGCTATAAAGACACATGCACACATATGTTTATTGCGGCATTATTCACAATAGCAAAGACTTGGAACCAACCCAAATGTCCAACAATGATAGACTGGATTAAGAAAATGTGGCACATACACACAATGGAATACTATGCAGCCATAAAAAATGATGAGTTCATGTCCTTTCTAGGGACATGGATGAAATTGGAAATCATCATTCTCAGTAAACTATCGCAAGAACAAAAAACCAAACACCGCATATTCTCACTCATAGGTGGGAATTGAACAACGAGATCACATGGACACAGGAAGGGGAACGTCACACTCTGGGGACTGTTGTGGGGTGGGGGGAGTGGAGAGGGATAGCATTAGGAGATATACCTAATGCTAGATGACGAGTTAGTAGGTGCAGCGCACCAGCATGGCACATGTATACGTAAGTAACTAACCTGCACAATGTGCACATGTACCCTAAAACTTAAAGTATAATAATAAAATAAATAAATAAATAAATAAATAAATTTAAAAAAAAGAATTACATCACAGAATTATACAGCAAACAAATTAGAGATTGATTATTAGACTCCCTTGTTCTTCAAAGTCCTTTATCCCCTGCCACCACGAGATTTTTCCCTAGTTACATGTCTTTGCAGGAAGTAGCCCCCTGATATTTTTCTCAACTCCAAGACTGGGTAAGGTGAGGCGAACCAGGAGTTCAGGCCACCAAATTTAAGGAAGCACTCACTCTCAGATGCGAATCATGCACTTGTGTGAGTCTGAGAGTGAACACCTCCTTAAATTTTGCATCCTGGACACCTTGCTTTCCTCACCCGAGTCCTGGTACTGCTCAGTTCTCCCTCTTCCTATCTCTTTCCTCTTCTCTTTCCTCCCTCGTCTTCCTTCTCCACCTAACACTTTCCCATTGGCTTTTTACTTGAAGAGAACCATGTTTCATTTGTCTGTTTCACACTCAAAGTAGTCTATTAAGACATTTTCTTAAACAATTCACTCCCTAAAAGAAACCCATACCAGCTGATTAAATAATTATTTACATCTCACTGCACAAGGATGCCAGCAGGTCAGGCTGACTTGACACTCATTTGGTTCCCTGCAGTTCCCTTCTTTCCACCATTCAAGTCGAATCCACTCTATTGGAGAATGAAGAAGCCTTGTCTCTCCTGATGTAATAAGACCAATGGCCAGTGGGTGGTGTGGTTGCAAATGGGCCAGCCCAAGTGCAAAAGGTGCTCAGAGGCATCTAGGAACAGTCTGGGCCTCAAGATGTGGCACCCAGGACCTAGTCAGGGCTGAGCCTGGGCACAGTAAGGAGAGCCTCTCATGTAGACTGGCAAGAGGACTAAAATGAATGGGTATGATCTGAATTGGCAGACAAATTCAAAACAAAGCAGCACCTATGAAGGGCCTAAAGATAGTCACATACACCATGCCCAATGTTAGCTTGGGTTGCCATAGTCAAAGCACATCCCGATTGCATTACATTACATGCACCCTCCCAGGAAATGGTCCTATCTCAATGTGGAAGTTGGATGTCAGAGTCTATCCTACCACTTCTGCCTCACTCTCCCTTCATGACCAGTTACTGGGTCCTGTAGCTTCTGCCTCCTTAATATCTTTAATCTCTTTCTCTTCTCCATTTCCACAACCAGTGTCTTAGCTTAACTGTGATCCTCATCCACTATAAGAATCACCAGTTGCTTTCAACTTCTATGACTGCCACATTGGCCTTCCTCAGTTATTTATGTCTTTATATTTAAAGTGAGCTTTGGATCAGGCAATGTGGCTCATGCTTGTAATCTCAGAACTTTCGGAGGCCAAGGCAAGGGAATCACTTGAGGCCATAAGTTTGAGAACAGCCTAGGCAACATAGTGAGACCCCCATCTACAAATAAACAAATACGTTGAGTTTCTTCATTACACCACTAAAATAAATTAATAAAGCTCCAATAACTGATTCTACAGCAATGCAGCTCTATGAATTGACTGACAAATAATTCAGAATAATCCTCTTAAGGACATTCACCGAGCTACAAGGAAACAAACAACTAAATGAAATAGGAAAACAATATTTGGACAAAATGAATTCAGCAATGGAATATAAACCATTTTTTAAAAGCCAAAAAAGGCCAGGCACGGTGGCTCACACCTTTAATACCAGCACTTTGGGAGGCCAAGGCAGGTGGATCACCTGAGGTAGGGAGTTCGAGACCAGCCTGAACAACGTGGAGAAACCCCATCTTTACTAAAAATACAAAGTTAGCTGGTTGTGGTGGTGCGTGCCTGTAATCCCAGCTACTCAGGAGGCTGAGGCAGGAGAATCACTTGAACCCAGGAGGCAGAGGTTGCAGTGAGCCGAGATAGTGCCATTGCACTCCAGCCTGGGCAACAAGAGCAAAACTCCATCAAAAAAAAAAAAAAAAAAAAAAGCAGAAAACTAATTCCTGGAGCTGAAGAACAAGATGTCTGAATTGAAAAACTCAATAGAGCACTTCAATGGCAGACTCAATCCAACAGAAGAATCAGTGAATTTAAAGACATGTCATTTGAAATTATTCAGTCTGAGGAGTAAAAAAAAAAGGAATGAAAAATAATAAAGAAAGCCAACAGACTTATGGTACACTGGCAAGTGAAACAATACATATTATGGGAGTCTAAGAAGGAGAATAGAGTGATAAAATGTATTGAAAGAAATAATGGCTGCAAAGTTCCCAAATTTGAGGAAAGAGATGTACATTAAGATTCATGAGGCCCAATCATTCCCAAATAGGTTGAACACAAAAAGGTCTGTACCAAGACATATTATAGCTAAATTGTCAAAAGTCAAAGACAATGAAAGAATTTTGAAAGCAGCAGAAGAAAAGCTACTTGTCATATACAAGGAAACCCCCACAAGACTATGAGTAGACTTCTCAGCAGAAACCTTGCACATCAGGAGAAAATGGAATGAATATTTAAAATATTGAAAGAAAACAACTGCCAACCAAGGATATTATACCTGATAAAGCTGTCTTTTAGAAATAAGAGGAAAGGACTTTCCCAAACAAAGAGTGAGAGTTTTCATCACCATTGAACCTGCCTTATAAGAAATCATAAAGTGAGTTCCTCAAGCTGAAATAAAAGGACACTAATTAACAATGTAAAACACATGAATGTATAAAATTAACTAGTAAAGATACATATATAGTCAAATTTCAAATTTTCTAATATGGTAATGGTGATGTATGAATGACTTTCAACTCTAGTATAAAAGCTAAAAAACAAATGTATTAAAATTAACTATAACTATAATAATTTGTTAGTGGATACACAATACAAAATATATGTATATATATTGTTTTATCAATAACCTAAAATGGCATGTGGAGTGTGAAAGTATAGTTTTAGTATATGATCTAAGTTAAGTTGTTACCAGTTTAAAATAGAATGTTATAACTATAAAATGTTTTATGGCCAGGCACAGTGGCTCATGCCTATAATCCCAACACTTTGGGAGGCCGAGTGGTTGGATCACGAGGTCAGGACCAGCCTGGCCAATATGGTGAAACCTCGTCTCTACTAATAATACAAAATCTAGCCAGACTTGGTGGCATGCGCCTCAGCTACTCGGGAGTCTGAGGCAGGAGAATTACTTGAACCTGGGAGGCAGAGGTTGCAGTGAGCCGAGATCATGCCATTGCACTCCAGCCTGGGTGACAGAGTGAGACTCCATCTCAAAAAAAAAAAAAAAATGTTTTGTACAAGCCTTATGGTAACCACAGAAAACAAACCTGTAGCAAATAAATAAAAGGAAAATAAATAAAAACATACCGCTCCAAAAAGTCATTAAATCACAAAAGAAGACATCAAGAGAGAAAAAAAGAAACAAAGAAACTACAAAGCAGTCAAAAAACAATGACCAAAATGACAGTAAGTTTTTACCTATTGATAATTACTTTAAATATAAATGGATTAAATGCTCCAATTGAAAGACATAGACTGGCTGAATGAATTTAATAAAAACAAGATCCAACTATACGCTGCCCATGAGAGACTCACTTTAGCTTTAAGGACACACACAGCCTGAAAGAGAAGGAATTGGAAAAGATATTCCATGCAAATGGTAACCTAAGGAGAGCATCGGTGGCTATACTTATATCAGATTTTAAGTCAGAAACTGTCACAAGAAAAAAAGAAGCTTGTCATATAACAAGGGATTGATTCATCAAGAAGACATAACAACTGAAATATTTATTCACTCAACATCAGAGTATCTAAATATATAAAAAAAATTAACAGAACTGAAAGGAGAAATAAACAGCAATACAATAATAGTAGGGGACTTTAACACTTCACTCTCAACATTGGGTAGGTCATGCAGGCAGAAAATTAATAAGGAAAACAGCAGATTTGAACAAAACTATAGACCAAATGGACCTAACATATGTTTACACATTCCATCAAAATACAGATTCTTCTCAAATGTATGTAGAATATTCTACAGAAGTGATCATATGTGGGACCACAAGTCATTTTTTTTTAAGTGCAGTGGTACATGTGCAGATTTGTTACATAGGTAAATTCATGTCATGGGTGTTTGTTGTAGAGATTATTTCATCACCCAGGTGTTGTTAAACCTAGTACCCATTAGTCATTTTTCCTGATCCTCTTCCTCCTCCCACCCTCCACCCTCAGGTAGGCCCCAGTTTCCTTTGTTCCCCTCTATGTGGCCATGTGTTCTCATCATTTGTCTCCCACTTATTAGTGAGAGCATGCAGTCTTTGGTTTTCTGTTTCTGCATCAATTTTCTAAGGATAATGGCCTCCTGCTCCATCCATGTTCTTGCAAAGAATATGGTCTTGTTCTTTTTATGGCTGCATAGTATTCCATGGTGTATATGTACCATATTTTCTTTATTCAGCCTACCATCAATGGGCGTTTAAGTTGATTCCATGCTTTGCTTTTGTGAATAATGCTGCAGTGAACATATGTGTGCATGTGTCTTTATGGTAAAATGATTTATATTCCCTTGGGTATATACCTAGTCATGGGATTGCTGGGTTGAATGATAGTTCTACTTTTAGTTCTTTGAGGAATCACCACACTGCTTTCCACAATGGTTGAACCAATTTACACTCTGATTAGCAGTGCATAAGTGTTCCCTTTTCTCCACAACCTTACCAGCATCTGTTATTTTTTGACTTTTTAATAATAGCCATTCTGACTGGTGTGAGATGGTATCTCATTGTGGTTTTGATTTGCATTTCTCTAATGATCAGGGCTATTGAGGTTTTTTTTTCCATATGCTTGTTGGCTGCATGTATGTATGTCTTCTTTTGAAAAGTGTCTTTTCATGTCCTTTGCCCACTTTTGTTGTTGTTGTTGTCGTTTCTTTCTTGTAAGTTTAAGTTTTTTATAGGTGCTGGATATTAGACCTTTGTCAGATGCATAGTTTGAAATTTTTTTCTTCTATTCTGTAGGTTGTCTGTTAACTCTGTTGATAGTTTCTTCTCTTGTGCAGATTTGGTTTGTCAGCATTTTGTTGAGGCTTTTTGCATTAATGTTCAAGGAACTGGCCTGACATTTTCTTTTTTTGTTGTGTCCCTGCCATGTTTTGGTATCAGCATGATGCTGACCTCATAGAATGAGTTAGGGAGGAGTCCCTCCTCCTCAATTTGTTGGAATAGTTTTAGTAGGAATGGTACCAGCTCTTCTTTGTACATCTTGTAGAATTTGGCTGTGAATCTGTCTGGTCCTGGGCTTTTGTTGTTGTTGTCGTTGTAGTTGGTAGGTTAATTACTGATTCAATTTTGGAGCTCATTATTAGTCTGTTCAGGGATTCAGTTTCTTCCTGGTTCAGTTCAGTCTTGAGAGGGTGTATGTGTCCAGTAATTTATCCATTTTTTCTAGCTTATGTACAGAGAGGTTTTCATAATATTCTCTGATGGTTATTTGTATTTCTGTGGGGTCAGTGGTAATATCTCCTTTGTAGTTTTTAATTATGTCTATTTGGATCCTGTCTCTTTTCTTCTTTATTAGTCTAGCTAGCAGTCTATTTGTTTTATTAATTCTTTCAAAAAACCAGGCCAGCTGTGGTGGCTCACACCTGTAATCCCAGCAATTTGGGAGGCCGAGACAGGCAGATGCCTTGAGCCTAGGAGTTCAAGACCAGCCTGGACAACATAGTGAGATCCTGTCTCTATTAAGAAAAAAAAATTTTTTTTTAAAAACCCACAACTCCTGGATTCCTTGATCTTGCAAATGGTTTTTTGTGTGTGTCTCAATCTCCTTCAGTTCAGCTCTGATTTTGGTTATTTCTTGTTTTCTGCTAGTTTTGGGGTTGGTTTGCTCTTGGTTCTCTAGTTCTTTTAGTTGTGATGTTAGGTTGGTAAGTTGAGATTTCTCTAACTTTTTGATGTGAGTGTTCAGTGATATAAATTTCCCTCTGAACACTGCCTTAGCTGTGTCCCAGAGATTCTGGTATATTGTATCTTTATTTTCATCTGTTTCAAATAACTTCTTGATTTCTGCCTTAATTTCATTATTTACCCAAAAGTCATTCAGGAGCAGGCTATTTAATTTCCATGAAATCGTATGGGGTTTTTCTTCCTAACACAAGGTCTCACTTTGTTATCCAGGCTGGAGTGCAGTGGCAGGATCATGGCTCACTACAGCCTCGACCTCCCATGCTCAAGCAATCCTCCCACCTCAGCCCCTCAAGTAGCTGGGATTACAGGTGCACGCCACCATGGCCAGCAAATTTTTGTATTTTTTTTGTAGAGACGAGGTTTTGACATGTTATCCAGGCTGGTCTTAAACTCCTGAGCTCAAGCAATGTGCCTAACTTGGCCTTCCAAAGTGCTGGAATTATAGGCACCCCTTGTGCCCAGCAAAATTGTATGGTTTTGAGTGATTTTCTTGGTCTTGATTTCTAATTTTATTGCACTGCACAAAACACATCTTAACAAATTCAAGAGGACTAGAATTATATTAACTATCTTTTCTTACCGCAAAGGTATAAAACAAAAAATCAATAACATGAGAAAAATTAGAAAATCTAAAAATATGTGGAAATTAACACATATCTTCACGTGCGTTTCTAACTTGTTCCATCTATTCTTTGCTTTCTCTTTCTTCTTTTCCTGCCCTCTTTTAGACCAAATATTGTTTATGATTCCATTTCATCTCCTTCATTAGCTTCCTAGTTATAACTCTTTGTTGCAGCCTGGTTCGGTGGCTCACGCCTGTAATCCTAGCACTTTGGGAGACGGAGGTGGGTGGATCACTTGAGGTTAGGAGTTCGAGACCAGCTTGGCCAACATGGCAAAACCCCGTCTCTACTAAAAATACAAAAATTAGCCAGGCATAGTGGCACATGCCTGTAGTCCCAGCTACAGGAGGCTAGGCTGAGGCAGGAGAATCACTTGAACCCAGGAGGCAGAGGTTACAGTGAGCCGAGGTCGTGACATTGTACTCCAGCCTGGGCAACAGAGCAAGACTCCATCTCAAAAAAAAAAAAATACAAAAATTAGCCAAGCGTGGTGACACACACCTGTAATCCCAGCTACTCAGGAGGCTGAGGCAGGAGAATCACTTGGACCTGGGAAGCGGAAGCTGCAGTGAGCCAAGATTGCACCACCGCACTCCAGCCTGGGTGACAGGGCGAGACTCTGTATTAAAAAGTAATAATAATAATTTTAGTGATTCTGTTACAGTGTGTAGTATACCTCTTTAAACTAGCACAGTCTATCTTCATTTTATGTAAACATAAGAGCCTTATCAGAGTATACTTCCATTTCTCCTTTCCCCTTCTACATGCTGTTGTTGCCACACATTATATTTTTCCATATTATAAACCCCGCAAGTGTTATGATTTTTGCCCCAAGCAATTATGTTTTCAAGAGACTTTTGTGTTTACTCACATATTTAACATTTCCAGTGCTCTTCATTGGATCCAGATTTCTGTGTGGAATAATTTTCCTTCTACCTGAAGATTTTTCTTTAACGTATCTTGTGGTGTGGCTTTGTTGGTAATAAATTCATATAGCTTTTGTATATCCAGAAAGGTCTTTATTTCACTTTTGTTTCTGAGAGACAGTTTTGCTGAGTGTAGAATTTTAGATTGTCAACCTTTCTTCTTCCAATACTTTAAAGGTTGCTGTACTGTCCTCTAGCTTGTTTGCAATGGGAAGCTGGCTCTCTTCCTAATTTTTGTTCCTCTGTAATGTATCTTTTTCCTCTGGCTTCTAAGATTTTCTTTTAAGAAAGGAGCTTATGATGTGCCTCAGTGTCATTTGCTTAATATTTCTTGGGTTTGTATTTGGGGTTTGTTGAAATTCTTGGTTTACAGTTTTCATCAAATTTGACAAATTTTTGGACATTATTTGTTCACAAATTTATTTCATTTCTCCATTCTCTCCCCTCTCTTTCAGGCACCCTGATTACACATATTTAGAGTCCCAAAATTCATCTTGTGTTTTTCTTCATCTTTCAGTCTTTTCTCTTTGTGTTTCATCTCATATAGTTTCTTGTGGTATAGCTTCAAGTCCACTAATCTTTTCTTCTCCAATACCTAATCTTCTGTTAATCCCATCCAATATAATTTTTATTTCAAATATTGTTATTTTCATCTCGAGAACTTCAATTTGGGTCATTTTAAATCTTCTGTGTCTCTTCTTAATGTGACCCTGCCTTGGAGGGCATAACAAGAGTATGTCATACTAGCTGTTGCCATGTTCTTGTCTACTAATTCTTTCACTAGAGTACTTTCTTTTCCGGCTTGTGCCGATTAGTCCTCAGCTGAGAGGAATCTTTGCATAACTTTGCAGTTCTTGGTGCAGCTTTTTCCTCCTGTTCTACCTCTTATGGTTTAACCTAAATTATCTGGTTTCTCTCCCCAACTCAAGGGGACTGCTAGGCTCTGCCTTTGCCTAGGCTTCCCTGCAACCCCGTGCTGCAACTTGGAAGCATCTTCCAAATGAAGGTTGGGGCAATCATGGGGCTCCTCTCATTTCTTTCCCCTCACTCAAGGATCACTTCCCTGTGTTGTGTGTTGTCCGATGTCTTAAAACCGCTATTTCATATGACATGCCCAATTTTTTAATTGCTTAAGGTGAAAGGATAAATTGAATCCCTGCTACCCCATCTTGGCTGAAGGCAGAAGTCTCAGATTGGCCTTTCCAAAACATAAACCTTATTGAGTGCAATAGCAAGTCACTGAAAAGTTTTATGAAGGAAATTACCAAATTGAATTTAAATTTTAGAAAGGTTGCTCTGGCTATGAGCCAGGAAAAGATCCTGGGAAAACAACTGTAACACCTTGCCAAAGTAAATCTTGGCAAAGTCTGAGTAGTAGACTGGAAAGGGAATTCCCTCCCTGGGCACCTATGTCCAGAATATTGTGTAGATGCCAGGCCAAGGATACATTCCTAATGCACAGGGCTAGAAGGCCATACCCCCTTTTGTCTCCGCGAGCACAGAGTGAGCTTCTGGTGTCCCAAACATGGCTCACTAGAAATATAACCTATCTCTTCAGCCACAAACCCAGGAATGTGGGTCATTTTTGTCCAAAAGAGTGGCCAGGACAGGCTTCCAGAAAAAGGCTCTGACAATGTGGGCTCATGTCCTCGGTTCACCACTAATAATCTGTGGCATCTTGAGCACATTACCTAATCCCTCTGATCCTCAATGTTCTCCTTTGTCAAATGGATATGATGTGGTTGTGAGACTAAAGTGCCCCCACTGCCAGAAAGCCCTTGAACACTGCCTGGTATGTGAGTCACTCAACACATGTTAGCTAATCTGTGTAATTGTCATTACTTTTTATATTGCTATCGCTCCTTCCTTCATGAGACCCACCTTGCATGGAAGAGGATCAGATATTTCAGGAAAGGTGATTGCCCTTTCTCCAAGGAATTTCCTTATTTGTGTCAAAGAGAATGTGCAGCTCATGATCCTCCCAGAGCATAGCGCCAATTTCCTCCACGCACAAACAGGGACTGCTGAGGCCACCTGACCTTATCACCCTGTCAAGGACCAGCTACCATGCCAGAGCACCATGTACCATAAAGAGTCCTAATTCAGCCACTAACTCATTGTGACACCTTGGGCAGGTCACACCCACACCTCAGGCCACTGTCTCTGCATTTATGTAATTGCAGGAGGTCTAGACGCATTTCCACTAGGAATATCCTGATAAAATTCCCAAACTTTGTTGATGAAATCTTACAAGCTTACAGACAGAATAATTTACTTACAAGGGGAAAAAAATCAGCCTGCCATCAACCTGGAAGTGGAATAGCACATATGCATTACTAAGAGTAAAGACCCCCATAATACTGACCCCAACTCACATAAGTCACTATCAAATGAATGACTTATATTTGTAGATTCAGAAATATTTAGGGATTTTTATCAGCCATACATTCCTTCATCTGCAGAAAATTCTCTAGGAGAGACTAGAAGCAACATATTAGGAAGTAATTTAAAATAAAATCTAGATACACATTTAAAACCAGGTGAGATAGAAAAGTTTATGACAAAAGGAAAAGCAAAGAAACAACAAGGAAACGCAAGTAGATGAGTTAGAATTGAGGCTAAAAGAAACACATAGAGTAAAAGAGGGATCTTTTTAAATGTTAAAGAGAATAACTAATAACCATAAACCTACATGCATCAAAAAATGTAGTAGGTAAATAGTAGGTAAATAAATAAAACAAAACATTTAGAAATCTAGGGAGAACCTGCTAAACATACAGTTATAGTGGTACATTTTATTTTATTTCGACTTTTAGGTTCTAGGAGTACATGTGCGGGTTTGTTACATGGGTAAATTCTGTGTCGCTGATGCCTGGTGTATAAATGATGCTATCACCCAAGTAGTGAGCATATGATATGGTTTGACTGTGTCCCCACCCAAACCTCATCTTGAATTGTAGTTCCCACAATTCCCAGGTATTGTGAGAGAAACTGGTGGGAAGTAATTGAATCATGGAGGCAGGTGTTTCCCATGCTGTCCTCATGATAGTGAATAAGTCTCATGAGATCTGATGGTTTTGTAAATGGGAGTTCCCCTGCACAAGTTATTCTTGCGTGCTGCCATGTAAGATGTCCCTTGCTCTTCTGCCATGATTGTGAGGCCTCCCCAGCCATGTGGAACTGTGAGTCAATTAAACCTCTTTCCTTTATAAATTACCCAGTCTCGGGTACATCTTTATTAGCAGCATGAGAACAGACTCATACAGCATAGTAACCCGATACATAGCCTTCCAACCCACATCTCCCTCCCATTCTCCCCACTATAGGGGTAAATTTTAATACACCTCCTTCAGAACCAAATAGAAGATCATATAGACAATAACAGGAAATACATAGAAGAATGTAACAATGCAGTTAACAAACTGTAGCTTTACATCTGAATAGAGAACATGTATCTTTATATATCCAAACAATATTTACAAAAATCACCTGTGTGCTTTGTCATAAAAAAAATTAACATTCAAAAAAGTAAAGATTTTAGGGCTACCTACATCACCCTAAACCAACAATTAGAAATAACCCTCAACTTTAAAAATTGGAAATTAAGAAACACACTTCCAAATTACCCTTGTATCAAAGAAAATAAATAACGAAATAAGCCTGTTTCATACCAAAACCTATGAGACATAGGCAAAACATATGCTCAGAAGAAAATTTACAGTAAAAACTAAAAGTAATAATTCTTTATAAAACACATAATAAAAGAAAATGCCAACACTTTTATTAGTTTAATAAGTAGAAGAAAGAATTACTATGAAAAAGAGAAAATTAATATATTAAATACTGGCTGGGATTAATGAATAATATCAAGATCAAAAGTTGTTAAAAGGCTAAATATAAAGCTAGCTTTTTGAAAAAGCAAGTGACATGAAAGCAATTGCTATGAAGTAATCATAAGCCTTGTTAAAAAGAAGAGTAAAAATACACAAGATTTTATGTGAGAAAGGATGCAAATAAAATAAAAGAATTGTAATAGAATACTATACCTCTATACAATACATTTTAAAACCTAAAGGAAATGGATGATTTTCTATTATACTATATATTATCAAAATTGGTACAATATAGAGCAGAAAAATTGAATAGGGCAATTTCTGCAGTGAAGGTTGAAAAATAATTAACATTTTCCCACTAAAAAATGGCACTAAGACAAATGGTTTCATGCAAGGTTTTAACATTTAAAGAGCAAATAATTCTAATGTTACTTCAACTATTACAGACTGTATAAAATATAGACATTTCTGCATTAATTTAAAAAGCTATTAAATTAATGCAGAACTTTAATATTAAAAGTTATACCAAAAAAGTTGGCCAATAATATAAATGCGAAAATCTAAAAATTTTTAGCAAACATACTCAATGTATGAAAATACATCAAATGTACAATGTCTGAAATGAATTCCACCATGAACAAGTGGGCTTTATTACAGCAGGTGAGAAGTGGTTCATTATCAGGATATCTAAGAACACAATTTATTACATCAACATATTAAAGGAAAAAATGTGATTATATCAGTTGATGGCAAAAAAAAAGCAATGAATAGAATCAAGCAATTATCACCAGTGAAAACTCTATGTCAACCAGGGATAAAACCACTAAAATATTATAAAACATGTATCCCAAATAGGGGCAAATATCATTCTAAATGATGCAATGCCCAAATTACTTAAAATCAGGAAAAAAATGAGGCATAATCCCTATCATCATTATTGGCAATGTTCTAGAGGGTCTGTCAAATGTAATATATATTAAAAATAATATATAATTTTGATAAATATTGGAGAAATGATATGTTCATTTTTTCCCCTAATATGATTGTATATCTGCAAAACTCATGAAATTCTAGTTAAAAAGTAATAAAATTTACTGTGGTTGCTGGTATACTAGACAACTATAGTTTTTTGTTTGCTTGTTTGTTTGTTTGTTTTTGAGACAGGGTCTTACTCTGTCACCCAGGCTGAAGTGCAGTGGTGTGATCATAGCTCACCGCAGCCTTGACCTCCTGGGCTCGAGCAATCCTCCCACCTCAACCTCCCAAGTAGCTAGGATGACAGGCATGTGCCACCAGACCCCTAATTTTTTTTTGTTGTTGTTAGAGATGGAGTCTCACTTTGTTAGTCTTGAACTTCTGGCCTCAATCCATGTTGCCCAGGCTGATCTTGAACTCCTGGGCTCAAATGGTCCACCTGCCTCACCTCTCAAAGTGCTGGGATTATAGACATGAGCCAGCATGCCCAGCTGACAAATATAGTTTTTAAAAAACAGTAGACTTTTCTCTACATACTTGTCATACCAGTTAGAAATGGAAATGAGTAGAGAATATTCCATCCTCCTGAGTAAAAATACATAAAACACTTAGAAGGAAATTTAGCAAGAAAAAAATATTAAGGTGTCCAAGCTCTAGTCCAACCTTCAGGCTGGCCACATGGGACCCAGGACGGATTTGAATGTGGCTCAACATAAATTTGTAAACTTTCTTAAAACATCATGAGATTTTTTTTTGCGATTTTTTTTTTCTCATCAGCTATCATTAGTGTTAGCAGATTTTAGGTGTGGCCCAGTAAAATTCTTCTTCTTCCAATGTGGCCCAGGGAAGCCAAAATATTGGGCACCCCTGCAAGTCCAACAACATTTTGTTTGGTACAAACCCCATATTTGGGTCACATCAGACACTTACCATTACATTTCGTGTATTTGTGCCTTCACACATTCTGTTCCTCTGCCTGCGATCCTTTCCTTCCTTTTCTAACTGATCAACGATTCGCCCTTTTAAACCCAGCTCAAAGCTTTTCTCTTCTGATACCTTCCCTGGGATATCAGAAGATATCCTCTAGGCTACCTCCTCTAGGCTCATTCCACTTAGGGGAATTCCTGCTGGGGAGGATGGAGAGAACAGATTGAAATAAGCAGAAAGGGGGAAGGAGGGAAAGGAAGGGAGTCGGAACAGGGCAGGGAGAAAGGAGGGAGGGGTAAAAGGATTGAACAAATAAAGAAGGAGAACCTGGGCTAGGCACGGTGGCTCATGCCTGTAATCCCAGCACTTTGGGAGGCTGAGGCAGGTGGACCATTTGAGCCCAGGAGTTCAAGACCAGCCTGGGCAACATGGCAAAACCCTAGCTCCACAAAAATATAAAAATTTATCAGGAGTGGAGGCATGTGCCTATAGGCCCAGCTACTCGGGAGGGTGAAGCAGGAGGATCACTTGAACCTGTGAGATAGAGGCTGCAGTGAGGTATGATTGTGTCACTGTGTCCAGCCTGGGCCACAGAGTGAGGAAACTCAGTCTCAAAAAAAGAAAGGGGAGAAGGGGTATAGAGAACCTGTGGAAGCCACGAAAAGACCTCATATCTCAGAACAGGTACGGTTTGAAGTCCATGCATTCCTCCAGCCTTCATCCCCTTCCTGCCTACCCCACCTCTCACGTCTCCCACGGTCTAACTCTTTGATGGCATCTGTCCAATTTCAGATACAGACATCAAGGATGCAGTCGACCCAGAGTCCACTCAGCGGCCAAACCCATTCCGTCGACAAAGCA
The DNA here is from genome assembly GCF_000001405.40 of Homo sapiens. Taxonomy (NCBI): domain Eukaryota; kingdom Metazoa; phylum Chordata; class Mammalia; order Primates; family Hominidae; genus Homo; species Homo sapiens. Next base: position 49,396,492 of record NC_000016.10, read on the forward strand.
TTGTCTTAGATCCCATGTTACAGGAGGGTACCTTTAACAGCCAGAGGGCAACCTTCATAAGAGACTGGTCCAACAAGATGCCTGACATGGCTTACGAACGCAAGCTAAAGAGCCTCATGGAGAAAAGCACCGAACCTAAGATGGAAACCATGAGGATGTTGAAGCCAGAGGAGGTGCTGAGCTGCCGGTGAGAGCTGCCACCCCCTGGGCAGATGGGGTGGGGTCCTGGAACAGGCTTTGCTCACTCTTGTCCCTGGCTCAAACACCTTGGCTTAGCCTGAAGATCTAGGAGTAGGGGCTTGGTGTGGCTGAGCTCCGCCCTTTGGTCCCAAAGGACTGCTCCAGGGCTCAAGCCAGTGGGTTTCCAGCAGCTCACCTGCTGGTAGACCATCCCCTGAATGGGCATGTCATTTAGGTGCTGCCACTTTGATGCCACACCTTTCAACAACCCTCCCAATATTTCCGTTTGTTTCAATATTACTCAAAAAGGAAAGAATGTGGCTTTGTCTTAATAGGAAGATTTCCCTACGATCCTTTGCACTGTGGGGTTGAGTTGCTGGTGATGGTAGCCACCATCCTCAGTGACCTACCTGCTGCATGTTTGGACTTTTAGACTGTCAAAGGGATCATGAACAAAGTGTGAAACCATTTGATATTTACTGCTCTTCCCAAAGAGTCTCCCTTCTCATTTGCTCTCTGTCCTGTTTATCAGGGCTCTCTGGTTTTCAGCAATGGACCCCAGATTCCCCCATCAAAAAACAAGCATCCCTCTCCCTAGCCCAGTGTTTTCCTTTACTGTAAAGTTGTAACTGACAAAGTTCAGAAACTTTAGCAAATAAGGAAACAAAACAACAGAGTAATGTAGTTGTCATCATCCTTGTAAGGTTGACATCAGTAAACTCATCTATAGGTTTAAGATGGCCTCAAATGTCTGGCAATCTAATAACTCCATCACAAAGTCCTGCTCTGCTCACTGACTGGCAGAAGGATGGATGAATAGAATGGTTAACTGGCTTCCAGATGAACAGGGAGAGATCTCAGCAGACTGCCTTTGCTGGCTGGTTCCATGGGTGGATGACTTTGGCCCTGGCTTTCAGATGGGCCATGTGGTTCTAATTGACTCTGGGCAACAGACAGCCTACCCGGGTTCCATGGTGGGGGGAAAGAGATTTGGACAGGACTCCTGCCCTCCAAAGAGAGGGAAAGAATATTTGAAGAGGTAGCATATGAAGCCATTCAAGAAACATCCAAGAAAAGAATGAAGTGGTTCAGAGTGGGATTTATTATTATTATTGAGACAGCCTCTCTCTGTCGCCCAGGCTGGAGTGCAGTGATGTGATCTCGGCTCACTGCAACCTCCACCTCCCAGGTTCAAGCCACTCTCGTGCCTCAGCCTCCTGAGTAGCTGGGATTATAGGCATGCACCACCACACCCAGCTAATGTTTGTATTTTTAGTAGAGATGGGGTTTTGCCATGTTTCCCAGGCTGGTCTTGAACTCCTATTCTCAGGTGGTTCACCTTCCTTGGCCTCCCAAAGTGCTGGATTACAGATGTGAGCCACAGCACTTGGATGAGACCGTAATGGGTGTCCCCATATACATATGCATGAGACCCTCAGAGGCTAGGCTGATCAGGGAAAAAGTAGTCCAAGTGTGGGGATTGGTGAGGGGGTCTGAGCTGGCCATAAGAACAGGTAGGCTCTGGGAAGATCTTAAAGAACAGTGGCCATTCCTAACAGGCAGAAAATCACATTATATCAACACACAGCTCCTCTCCCATAGTCTGTGGCAAAGTAAGCAACCAGCAGGCAGCCTGAGTAGGGGGCCTACACCCTATACTAAAGCTGGGACCAAGGTCAGAGTTGCTGGTAGAACAAGGAGCTCTCTGGATCACACAGTACAAATGGGATTGATCCCATTCTTCAGTATCAGAATTATGGGGCTCTAGCTAATATTCTAAATCAATGGTCTGATTTTTAAATTGTGTGGATATTATTAAAAACAAATGCTCACCGCTATGCCTGCAACATTGCTCAGCGATTATTTCCACTGTCTGTATCTTTCCCGGCCCATGACCTCTCTCAGTGTATGTGCGCATGACAGTGACAAATCACGTAACAATTCACATTCTGTCTTTTCTCCCCACTTGGTATTGTCACAGCCACGTGGCACCATCTTCTTCCTAATGCCATTCTAACTGTGGCCTTTTAATTAAGATCCTTGACATGAGGTAGTCCATTATCAGATTGACCAATTCTCTGTTGGTGGATTTACTCATTTTCCTGTTGTTGACAATCCCAAAATGAACATCTTTTATTTATATAGCTTTTCTTTCCATTGACTCCTCTTCTTGGGATATATCGAGGACCTGAGTGGGGTTACTGAGTCAAAGATAATGAATGTTTTTTCTCTGGAGTCAACCGACTGCCAAAAGAGTTACACAAACGCAAACTCCCGCCGCCTTTGTGGGGTGTCCCACTGTCTTATAAGGTCTCTATCAGCTCCATGGATGACTGGGAGAGACAGCCCCTTGCAGAGCACCCACACTTACTGCTGCTCAAATCTAAGCTCTTTTCAATAAAGTTAGAAGCTGCTGTGACTCCACCTTCAACTGACCTCTTTTGCCTTCTCTTGAACAGATACCTGAGGTTATCCAAGGAGAACATTCGGACCTTGCTCAAGTTGTGCAAGGATGCAGGAATGAATGTGGATATCCACCCCCACATGGTCGAAGAGGACATAGATGCTAAAAAGGTGTTCACCGGAATACCCAGCATGGCCCTCTAAATAGCTCCTCTCGCCACCACCTTCAGGCTCCTTCTGTCATGGGACCCTTCACCTCCAGATGCCATCCTCTGGCACACTACAAGTGGTCCTTCCAACTTAGTGCATCCCTTTAGAAAGTAAGCAATCAGAAAACAAGCCTCGGCTGTGTGATCATTGTGCTTCCGTAAGACTGGTCCTTGACATCCGAGTCAGAACCAGCATAGGAGAAACTGGTTTTTCTCCTGACCAAAAGAAGAGTCCTTAGAAAGGGCTTCTTAGGAAGGAAGGCTTAGGAGTAAAAAAAAAAAAAAAAAAAGTGGGAGGGGTCCAGGGTCCTCAGAGGGACATTAGAAAGCACGAAGTGTAAAGGGGCTGGTTGAGAACACACACACATGCCCCACGCCCATGGCACGACTTGGCTTTGTGGGGACTTGGCTTCCTTGTGTGCAGAGTGGGGGACTGATTGGGGCAGTGAGAGAGGGAAATGCTATCAACATATGGAGGCAAGGAAGGAGACCTTTGTGTGCTTACAACCACAGACCCCAAAAGGGGACCTGAAACCTTTCAGAGCTGGTAGGTGCCTCAACATCAGCAAGTCCAGGACCTTATTCATTTGAATAAAAGAAGCCACAGAGGGCAAGAAACTTGCTCAGAGTTACATAGATGAGAAACGGCAGGGTTGAGATGAAAACAGTATCTTCCCCAAGTCTCCTGCCCTGCTTTCTTGCATGACTGTGGCCAATCCTGCAGGAATTTTTTGAGACACAGCCTTCCCATCTGGGTATGCTGGCCAACCAAGGTCACAAACTCAGGCCCTTCCAGTCCCTGCAAGTGTTTCAAGCAAGTCTGAATCCCACGTGTCCTACTTAATAGCTGTGTGACTTTAGGAAAGTTACTTTACCTTTCTGTGCCTCTGTTTCCTCGCCTGTAGAATGGGTTTAATGACAGTATGTGCTGAGCAGGAGTGCTGTGAAGAGCACATGAGAGCTTGCATGTGAAGCAGGGAGCACAGTCAGTGACAGCCAAGAACTCCATACAAATGTGGGCTGTTTCGTAGTTCACTGGGGTAGACGAGGAGCTGATTTTCCAGCCGCTGCTTTTCTGAGAGGGATCCCCAAAACTAGGCACGTCAATCCCCTTGGAAAAGCTGCTAATACCAAATCCACATCTGCTCATGGCAAACCTAAACATCTAATGATCTCTGGGCCTCCAAGAGCTAGGCCACACCCCAGAGATACTCCGGTACAGAATCTCGGCTGGGCAGCCACTACTCCAGTCTGTCTTGTGAGCAGGTTTTACTCCCTGACTCCGTATACTAAAATAGCAGGGATTTTCCTTCCATGTACTTTTAAATTTCCATATCCTACCCTGAGGTTCTAAAGTAGTCTCTTGAAGGTAAGTAGGTCTCTCCACTGAAAGTCATTGCCACTGGGGCTCAGAGAGAGGCCCTGGGGGCTGCCGGACCCACCCTCCCCTACCCCACGCCAGCCCACCCTAGGGTTGCAGTCACCACTAAGGAATACAACACCCCTCCAAGGAGCGGGCAGGCCAGAGAAGTATGAGCCCATGTAGCTTGCCTAAAGTCACACAGCTACTAAGCAGGACACTCGGGATCCAGCAAGCGATGTTTAGACCGAACTACAGTGAGACCCAAGCCAGAATCCAAGGAAACAGCTGCAAAGGGTTAAGCGATACTCCCTCTCTCCAGCAAATACCAGTCCCTTGGGTAGAAACAGTGCTTCAAAAAGGTGAAAGGAAACAAATTTTCTGAGCATCACAAGTGTCAGGCACTTCGTCAATATTAACTCAACCAAAATCAAATCTGAAAGCATCCTCAGAGGCCTTCACTTCAGTATCACAGACTCGGCAGCTAGGGAGAGCACCGCCAACCTCTATCCTGCATTGATGGCCCTAGCCTTCATTGCCTGGTAAATATTCACATTCAGGCAGGACTAGTGATGAGGAACAAATTAAACAACAGATAAAATGGCCCTAAAAAGTTAAATGTCAGATATATTAACCATAGCGATGTAATGTGACAGTGACCATTTAGCCATTTCATCTTCAGACTTGTTTTTTCCACAGTTTTCTGTGATATAATTCAGTTTGATTATCTCTGCAGTATCCTTAGTGTGTCCCTTTTAAAAATGCAATAGCCGGCTGGGCGCAGTGGCTCACGCCTGTAATCCCAGCACTTTGGGAGGCCGAGGCGGGCGGATCACAAGGTCAGGAGATCGAGACCATCCTGGCTAACACGGTGAAACCCTGTCTCTACTAAAAATACAAAAAATTAGCCAGGCATGGTGGCGGGCTCCTGTAGTCCCAGCTACTCGGGAGGCTGAGGCAGGAGAATGGCATGAACCCAGGAGGCGGAGTTTGCAGTGAGCTGAGATAGCGCCACTGCACCCAGTCTGGGAGACAGAGTGAGACTCCACCTCAAAAGAAAAAAAAATGCAATAGCCAAAAATGGACCCAGAATAAGGCATGAAGCCAGTGGCTGGATTCCTTTCTTGTAATAAGGACTGACTTCCAGATGACATGTAGATTTTATGTATTCATTTTTCCCCTCCACCAGCTGTATTACATGGCTGATGTGCTATACTTCCCCTGTGGTCCACTAAGACCCCTGGATCATTTTCTGAAGAGCTGGAGTCATACATCAGTTCCATTCCTCCACAACTCACTAGGAGCCCCAATGTGAGAAAGGTATTCAGAAAAAAGGGAAGCCCAGCCCTTCTGATGTCACAGAGAAGCTGAGGGAGATGCCAGCATTTTGGCCTTAATCAGGAGCTCTCCTCACTGTGTTGTGCTTGGTAGTAGCAGGAGGATGTGTGTAATCCCAAATGCTGCATCCACTCTCAGCTTCTCCAAATCCACCCAGGGCCCACATTGTCCCTGACTTTTCACAGGTTTCGATTCATGTGCAGTCAGAGAAAGAGGGCAGACCTTGATCTCCTCTAGTCCATTGGCCTCCAGTCATATTCCTCAATCCTAACACTCAGCCATTACATAGTTACTAAGCACCCACCTATGGGTGTGTCATCCCTGCCCCTATGGGAGTCCAGGGATGCAGTCATTAAGAAAACCTGGTCCTGCCCACATGCGGTTTACAGTCCTGAAGACAGAGGAATAACAAGCTATTTGAGAGCACCACATGATGAGTGAGGTGAAGGGAATCAAATGTCCTCAGAGAACAGGGGGAGGAGGCCCTTCACCATGGACTGGGAACAGCAGATGATGGAAAAGCTTCTCAAAGGAGAAGATATCTAATGTCACACTTTTATGGATAAATAGGAGTTTCCAAGATCTTTGTATAGGAGGAAAGAGCAGACAGAGGGAACAGAATGTACAAAGGTTCAGAGGCCAGAGACAGCGTGGCATGGCAGAAAAGCTGCAGGTAGGTCAGTCTGGATGGAGTGGATGATTAACAGGAAGCACAGTGGCAGGAGATAATATGCTCAAAGGGTTTGCAAGCTTCACGACAAAGGCTCCCCTCACCCCCGAAGGTTATTGTTATTCATTTGTTATTCATTCATTTAGCAAATATTTATTGAACACCTACTATGTGCCAGAAACTGTTATAACTACTAAGGCCACGGCAGTGAATCAAAGCATTCCTTTGATTTGAGCTTACGTTCTAGTTGGGGACACAAATAATATGCACTTCAGCAAAAGGCTTTTTTTGCAAGTAATGACAAAGATTTTAGCAAGTAATGAGAAACTAAAAATGGTGGAATGCAAGAAAAGTGACTGGGAGGAGGGTAGGAGAGGATGGCTTTAGCCAATGTGGTCAGGCCAGGCCTCCTGGAGGAAGTGATTGGGTTGGCACCTGAAAGATGAGAAGGAGCCACCACGAGCAGACCTGAAGGGACAGCTGCAGCAGAGGGGATGGCAAAAGCCAAGGCATGTTCATGGGACTTGCAGGAAGGTCAGTGTGGTGGAAGCAGAGTGAACAAAGGAGAGAGTTGGGAGAACTGATCAGGTCAGGCCTTGGAGGCTATGGTCCTGAGTTTGGAGATCATTCTAGTTGCAACAGAAAATCATGTTGGAGGGCAATAAGTACAGGAGAGGCCCCTCTGGCTTCTGAGAGGAGAAAATATTCTGTGGGAAAGAAAGAGAAAGCCTGGAGATGATTATGGAGGTATATCAGTCAGCTACAGCTGTGTAACAAATAACCTCCAAAATATAGTTTAAAACAACACAAATTCTCATGATTCCACTGGTCAATTGAGCATCTCTGCTGATCTTTGTTGGCCAGGCTTAGCTGAGCTAGGCTGGAGTTACACGTCTGCAGTCAGCTAGTGGGTTAACTGGGTCTGGCTGGTCTAGTGTGGCCTTGTCTGGGCTGGCTGGCCTCTGTTCCATGCAGATCTTCCTCTAACAAGCTAGCCTGGGCTTGTGCTCATGGTGGCAGCATTCCAAGAAGTACACAAGGTCTCTTGAGTACTAGGCTCAGAAATGGCACACAATCACTCCCACCTCACTCTAGTCTTCAGTGCCCAACACAAGTCCCAAGGTCAGCTCAAATTCAAGGATGGAGAAATAACCTGTACCTATAGAAGGAAAGAGTTTCAAATAACTTGGATGCAGGGAGTAGTCCAAGACTGTGGGCAATTCTGCAATCAGCCTACCTCAAGAGGCTAGTGTGCAGTTCAAGAAAGACAAGGTTGGAGGCTTAAAGTAGGATGGCCATGACAGAAGCAAATTATTGAGAATGTATTTTGGAAGTAGAGCTGAAAGAATTTGTCACCAGGTTGAGTGTGGACAAGAGGGAGAAGACTCAGGAATGACCCTTGAGCCATCCTTTGGCCTGAGTGACTGTCGGGTGTGCCATGAAATGCAGTGGGAAAGAGCAAAAGAGAGAAAGGCACAAGTCAGGATTTGGGTTAGAATTGGTTAGATGGGAGATGCTGCCAGTATCCATGATGTTCCAGGGGTCATGAGGAACCACTAATGGGTTTGGAGCAGGAAATGATGTGGTGAAGGACAGATTGGAGAAGCAAGCCCAGAGACAGGGTACATTCGCTTCTCAGAGCTGCTAGAATGAAGTACGACAACTGGGTGGCTTAACACAACAGATTATTTCTTCTTCTTTTTTTTTTTTTTTTTTTTTTTTTGAGATAAGGTCTTACTCTGTCACCCAGGCTGGAATGCAGTGGCATGATCACAGCTCACTGCAGCCTTGACTTCCTGGGTTTATGCAATCCTCCAACCTCAGCCTCCCTAGTAGCTGGTACTACAGACATGTACCACCACACCCAGCTATTTTTTGTAGAGACAGGGCTTCACCATGTTGCCCAGTTGGTCTCAAACCCCTGGACTCAAGCAGTCCTCCAGCTCTGGCCTCCCAAAGTGCTGGGATTACAGGTGTGAGCCACAACACCCAGCCCAGGCATTTTTCTCACAGTTCTGGAGAGTAGAAGTCCAAAGTCCAGATGTTGGCAGGACTATGCTCCCTCCAAAACCTCTGGGGGAGAGTCTTCCTTATCTCTTTAGCTTCTTGCAGCCACAAGCATTCCTTGGCTTGTGGCAGCACAACTCCAGTCTCTGCCCCCATCTTCACAGGGCCCTCTTCTCCATGTGCCTCTGTCTCTTTTTAAGGGCACCAGTCCTATTACATTAGAGCCCACTCTATTAACATGATTATATCTGTAAAGTCTCTGTTTCCAAATAAGATTATTCCCAGGTATCAGGGGATAGAACTTCCACACATCATTTGGAAGAACACAACCAACCCATAATACAGAGACCAAAGGTGGAGTCAGAGGCCCAGGGATGGGTGGAGTATCCCCCTATGATTCCCCTGAGTTCATGGTAGAGTTGCTGCTGGAACCCACATGCTTAACGCTCTCCTCGACCTGTCCCCACAGCCACACCCTGCTGCCCATCTGTGCCCAGTGAAAGTGCCAGAGCTTGAGCCCCAGGCTGATGGCCCTGGGAGGCAGGCCCATCCCACTGCCTCTCCAGTGGTACATTCAGAGCCAGGCCTGGGGAGCTTCTCCCTCTGCAAACCCAAGGCCCCTGTTTGGAGACCTGTACATCAACACAAAAACCCTGTTCATGAAGTAACGTTAGCAGGAGGTCTAGCCCAGCCCCAGCTGAGCTGAATGCCACATCCTCAAGAGATTGCTTGGTGCCTCCAGAACCTCCAAGGAGGAACTGCTGTGGGAAGCCCACCTCTCAGACACCAGATGCACCTGTAGCGCCAGACTGAAGGTTTTTCTGGGGTTCGGCGTGAACTGGAAAAGGGAAAGGAAATGAAAGCAGAGAAGAGACCTTGTCCCACTCAAAACAGCTGAGGCTACATGGCTCCCTCTGTGGGTGCAGAGTGCTTTTATTCTTGGACCTCACAAGCATAAGAAGCCTTAGATTCATGTTCCTGACATCCTGACCAGGCGAGCCCACAGTGAGTCCTAAGATTCACAGCTTGCATTGAGAAAAGAATTTTTATCAGACAACCCCAAGCCAGCGTCCATCAGCAGACAGCACCACCTGCAGCACACTCTAAACGGGTGTTTTACAGACTCTGAAATTGCCTTACGAATAGTATAATTCTATTGCACTCCCTAAAACAGTTACTACCAGATACAGAAACAGACAAACACATATACCAGGAACAGATTCACACGTGTACTATCCCCTGGTTTATGGCAAAGGTGACACTGCGGTGCAGTGGAGAAATGATGGTCTTTCCAATAAATCAGGCTGGTCAATTAAATATCCATATGGAAAAAATATTGACCCTCTGCTTCCCACCATATGCAAAAATCAATTTCAGATGGATGCAGATTGTGGAAGTTTTTAGAAGAATGGTAGATGACAATCTCCATGACCTTGGGGTAGGCAAAAAGATTTTGAACACAACACAACAAGCTCCAATAATAAAAGAAAAATGTAATAAATTGTATTATATTAGAATTCAGAATTTCTGGCCAGGTGCAGCGACTCACACTTGTAATCCCAGCACTTTAGGAGGTTGAAGTAGAAGGAACACTTGAGGCCAGGAGTTCAAGACCTGCCTGGGCAACATAGTAAGACCTATCTATACAAAAGGAAACTTTATTTAATTAGCCAGGGATGGTGGTGGATGCCTGTAGTCCCAGCTACTCAGGAGGCTGAGGTGGTAGGATCACTTGAGCCCAGGAGGTTAAGGCTGCAGTGAGCCACGATCATGCCACTGCACTCCAGCCTAGACAACAGAGCAAGACCCTGTCTCAAGAAAAGAAAAGAATTTCTACTTATCCAAGACATCACTAAGAGAGTGAAAAGGCCAGCAACACAAGCAAGAGAAGATATTTCTTCTGACAACATATCTGACAAAGGACTCCTATCCAGGTGATATATTTTTAACTCCTATATATATTGGTAAGAAAAAGGCAGGTCACTCAGTGGAAAAAATAGGCAAAAGCTTCTATTAGTATAGAAACTTCACAAAAGAGGATAGCCAAGTGACCAATAAACATAAAAAATGTCATTAATCATCAGGATATGCAAGTTATAAAACACGATGCAGAATCACTACGCACACACTAGAATGGCTGAAGACTGGCAATGGCAAAGCCCATTGGTGAGAATCTGGAGCAATCAGAACTCTCACACTCTTGCCATTGCCCTGCAGGTTGGCACAACCACTTAGGAAAACTGGGAGCATCCAGTAAAGTTGAATATACACTCCTCTATGGTCTGGTATTTCCTATGCATACATACTGAACAGAACTGCATGCACATGTGCACCAATAGATGTAAGCACCAATGGACGTGTGCACCAATAGACGTGTGCACCAATGGATGTGTGCACCAATAGACGTGTGCACCAATAGACGTGTGCACCAATGAACGTGTGCGCCAATAGATGTGTGTGCCAATGGACGTGTGCGCCAATAGACGTGTGCGCCAATAGATGTGTGTGCCAATGGACGTGTGCGCCAATAGACGTGTGCATCAATAGACGTGTGCGCCAATGAACGTGTGCATCAATAGACGTGTGCATCAATGGACGTGTGCGCCAATGAACGTGTGCACCAATAGACGTGTGTGTTAATGGACATGTGCGCCAATGGATGTATGAACCAATGGACGTATGCGCCAATGGACGTGTGCACCAATGGACGTGTACACCAATAGACGTGTGCGCCAATGGATGTGTGCACCAATAGACATGTGCTAACTTTTGCAGCAACTTTATTCTATATAACCAAGAACTGGAATCAACCCAAATATCCATCAGTCAACAGTAGAAAGCATATCTTGCAGTATAATCATGCAATGGAATACCGCATGAAAACAAGAATGACCAAACAATACGGATGCATTATACACAACGTATTCTGCAAAAGTAGCAAAATACAAAAAAGAACACCTGTGGAGTTCCATTTATACAACCTTCAACCCAGGCCAAAAAAAAAAAAAAATAGAACCTAGACCTAATCTATAGTGTTGGAAGTCAGGATGGTGGCTATCCTTGGAAGAGGGGGTATGTGATCCACCGGAGGCCAGTTAGCTTAGAAAATTCATTGAGCTGTGCACTTGGGATTTATGCCCTTTATATGGGTATATTGTACTTTAGTTAAAAGTACATTTTAAAAAGAAATATACTAAGTGTTTTTTGTTTAAAAAAAAGTTCCGGTTTCGTTTGCTAAAAACAATAGGCTCCTCAATGGTGAAGCTATTCTAGTTCCTTCCACCTCCCAGAGGCAGAGGCTAAACCTAAGTCCCTTAAGGCCTGGCGCATGTCCTCCAGGTGTGCAATGACTGTGGCAGGGCGTGGCCTTGTGCAGCTGCTGGAGTAAATTTCTCCCCTTCCATTTCTTTCCCTCCTCTTGCCCTTCCCCTTCCCCTTCCCTTCCTGCGCCACCAGGTGGGGCTCTATCACAGCAGAAGGCTACTCTCCTGACGGTGTCCACGCTGTCTGGCCCGGCTGCTGGCAGAGCCGTCAGCCTATCCAAGGGGAAGCCGGGCCCTCGAGCCTAAGCCTCGGGTAGATGAACACAAGCCCAGCTACTCACTAACATCACTTTTCTGAGACTTCAATTCTTTTCCTCCAAATCGGGGCAAGAAATGCAAGTTAAAATAACCATGAGGTACCACTCTATGAGACTGAAACATGTTAGAAAGCTAGGGAAGGCCAATGTTGGCACAGACGTGGAAACGAAGGAAGCTTCATGCCTTGCAGTAGGAGTGTGGGCCACTGCAGCCGCTCTAGGTTAAATTACACATGGACACTGCAGGGACCTAGCAAGCAGCCCCACTCCTGGACGTATATTCCAAAGTTCTATCCCAGGAGATCTATTTAAGGACACTAGCACTGGCAGGAATGTCTGGGTGCTGGTGGATGGCAAAACAAGGTGAGTGAAAAAGATGGGAAACAGGATGAGAAGGGACACTCTAGTCTTAACACAAACTGAAAATACACACATACAACAACACACTGCTTACAAGAACACATGCAAATACATTCAGACAGCTGGAAAAGGATTGGGAAGGGAAGAAGGAAGAAATGAAGGAAGGAAGGGAGGAGAAATAAAATGTGAAAGAAAATACCAAGTTTCAAGTGTTGGCGTGAAAAGAAGAATCCAAGGGAAGTTTCAAGAGTCTCTAGCACTTAGCAGGCACCCAGGAAATTTTCATTTTCTACATGTGCCTTTAAGCACTAACATTTATTGAGTGCCTACTGTGTTTTAGGCAATGTGCCAGGCTTCGTAATACAGTAATGAACAAAGACCAAAAAATGAAAATTCCTGCCACTGTAGTAGCTTTGAGACTTATTCCACAAACTTGAGTATAGGAGAAATGGCAGAGCCCCCTAAATCAAATCACTAAAAATCTGATTTCATGCCCCTGTTGAGCTGGACTGGTGGAAATTCAATTTCCATCCCTTAGTGGGGCTCCGTCTCTTACACCCCCAAGGTCCTGGACAGAGCAATACCTTGGGGTAGGTGCCAACCTATACTGGTCACTGCTGAATTGCTGCAGGTCACAGCCCAAAAAGTTCACAAAGTCTCCACTCACAACAACCACTTCTCTACCCCCTACCCCCACCACTGCCATGCTTTCTTCTGAGGCTTATGCCTTCCTCTCACCCCAGTTCTCACCTCAAAGAGCATGGGCTTCCAGACCAACACAGGCAGGCTGTCTGCAGATCCCTTCAACTCCCTGCTTGGCAGCAGAACCTTTCTGTGGCAGGTAACTGAGCGCAAAGCTACTCTCCTCTGGGAAGGTGGGCAAGGGAGGGAGACAGAGAACAAAGGTCATCAATCTCAGGCTTTCAAAATCTTCTCCAAGACGATGAACAAAACACAAGTCAAAATCACAAGAAGCAGCCCTGACTTCATTCTTATTTCTAGGATTTTAATTTACCCAATATGCACTGGTTGAGCACTTACTGAATGACGTGTGTTCCAGGGCCTAATATGAGTGGTGTGGTTTCTGATGACATGTGAAGATGATGCTAGCAATGGCTGCACCTAACTTTGGCAAAAAAAGGAAAATATATGTGCATGTGTATATGTATGTATGTTTATATATGTATTGGTGCATGTGCATGTGGTGTGCATACGTGTGTGTTTATATGTATATATGTATATACGTATATGTGTGTGTGTGTTCCTACGTGTGTGTGCGTGATGTCAAGTAGCTTCTGGAAATCAGTCCAATCATTTCCTGGTCTAGTCTCTCTGGTTCAAGATACAAATTCCAGAAAGAGGGTCTCATTGTCCTCTCTAGGGTCAAGGCCCCCATCCCTTGGCCCAGGGAAGATGGAGCACCTAAAGTGCCAGTTCTACCAAGGCCACACACAGTGGACGAAGGGTAGTTTCTGAGGAGAACTGAGATACTTATTGGTTCTTTTGCTGGCTAATAATTTCTCCCCAAACAATAACAAATATGTATCATCCCACATGGTTCCTGTGGGTCAGGAACACAGTGGGGTAGCTGGGTCTGTGATGAGGTTGGTGTCAATCTGTCAGCAGAGCTGCAGTCATCCAAAGGACTGGCTGGGCTGGAGGATCCGTTTCCAAGGTGGCTTAGTCTCACAGCTGGCCAGCTGGTGCTGGCTGTTGGCTGAAGGTTTCAACACCTCTCCACATGGGCCTCTTCATGGGGCTACTTGAGTGTCCTGACAACATGGCGGTTGGCTTCGCCTGAGCAACCAGCCCAAAAGGGAACAGGGCAGAAGCTAGAGGGCCCTTGTTGCTGTCCCCTGGGAAGTCACACACCCTGCTGCATTGCCTCACTTCTGTAATGTCCTGTTAGTCACACAACTCAGCCCTGGTCAGTGTGGGAGGGAACAACACAAGGGTGTGGAGACCAGGAGCCAAGCATCACTGGGGGCCATGGTGAGGACTGGAGACCACAGGTGCCATTACAGAAGGAAGCAGACCTGGAGGCAAGGCAGGCAGGAATGACAGATACTGACCACAATGATGATGTCTTTGGAGCTCACAGTCTAGAGGAAGACAGAAGAAAACAATGCCCTCGTTAATTCATAATTACTCACCTAAGAACACCCTAGTAATGGGGGGAAAAAAAGAGGGTAGGACCCAAGAAGGGGCAGCAACTGACCTTCTCTGGAGGAGTCACAGGGGTACTTGCAGAGGTGGTGACATTTGCATTGGACCTTGTAGGGAAATAAAAGGTGGGATGAGGGCACCCCAGGCAAAGGCGGGAGATGGGAAGTGGGTGGAATCTAGCTTTGCTGAGTGGTTGAATGGGGACAGCACAGGAGAGTGGG